>NC_000005.10:90109807-90412837 GCF_000001405.40 Homo sapiens | reverse complement strand
AATTTAAAAAAAATTAGCTGAGCATGGTGGCATGCTTCTGTAGTCCTAACTTTTCAGGAGCTGAGGCGGGAGGATCCTTTGAGCCCAGGAGTTTGAGGTTACAGTGAGTTATGCCACTGCACTCCAGCGTGGGTGATAGAGGAACTCTTGATTTATTAAGGCTTTAGGAGGCAGACTAAACAAATATTTATGTCACTACCTTTTCAAAGCAGACATTTTTATTTACATTTGGCTGTCTCTGGAATTTCTGGTCTGATTACCATTGTACCAAATACATTTTAGTGTCCCATACAGCAATTTTTGTATTATTATTCTTTTTCACAGTTTAGTAAGTTATTTTTATAGAATTGTTGTTGAGATGGTCTTTGGAATACCTTTGTTCAATTCAAGAAAAATATGAGAATTTTGATTGCATCAAATTTAGGTTTAAAATATAATTAGTGTAACCACCTGTCTTATCTTTAGTAATAGATGATTAGACCCCAAGTTTCAGCAGAGCAGTTTTCCATCTAGAGATTTCTTGCCTCAACCTCCCGTGAAGCAAGAAGTGGTTGTCACTAGTTCTCACTAATTAAATATAATAAAAGTGATGCGTGTAAATTCCCTGTCACTCTCTTAAAAGGACACCCTATTGAAAACCTTTTAAAATCTGTTTGCCCAAATTATTTGCTTATAAAACGCACTCTGAGACCAAAAGCATCTCACAAAATCCTAGTGTTTCAGGAATGAGGTTTGAGAAACACTGGTGTTTAAGTATTCTGCCGATCATATTTAAAAAAGTATTTTCTAAACCCACTTTATATCCTAATAGAAAAGGTGTTACCTATTATTCAGTGCCTTTTTGACACTGAGATGATTTCCTTAACCTAACATTATAATTATTTAACACAGATTTATATTTTGAATTATCTTTGCACTTAACAAAAAAAAACTCAATTTAGTTATAGAGAAATGTTCCTTTAAGACAGTATCAAACTGACTTTGCTAACATCTAGGAATTTTGCACTTAAGTTCACAAATGAACATCAAACATGAGTCAGGCACTGGGGATACAATGGTGAGAAACATGCATAGCCTTCATCATCACTGAGCTTACACTGAGTGACTTTAAATGTTCTTTTAGGATGTGAAAGATTATGGCAGCTTCAAAAATTAAGCTAAGAAGCTCTCCATCATTTTCTATGACTTGAGTTTAAAGCACAAGATTTAGCTCTTATGATTTTTAATCATAAATCTGAGTGGGCTGGAGGCTTTTTATTTGTGAGTACAGAACTTTGGCATCTTTGTTCCAGTCCTGTCTGTAGTTATTGACTTAATTCAGTTTTCCACCTTTTTTGAGTTATGTTTTCCTTGAAAAGTGACTATTTCATTTTCTATTAATATTTATTGGCGGTATAAAATTGTATAAAATATTTTAATAATTTTTAAACCTCCCTTTTATTAAATTACCAACCTTACTAGTGGCACTATTCCTTTTCTTGTTACACTTCCTATAAGTCTTTGAATTTCACTGGTATTGCCAAAAACCAGCTTTATACTAGATTATGAGTACTTTATCAATTTTACCAATTTCCTTTTAAAACACTGTTCTCAAACTTTATCTTTACTAATTTCCTCTTCCTAATTTCAATTATACAATTTGTTCTTCGTTTCTAACATCTTCAAATAAATGCTTGGCCTATTTTTATTCTTTCTTATTTAAAATAATGTTCTCCTATAACTTGGTCTGTATCTTAAAATTTTAACATATAGTTTTTTTCAATATCATTATGTTCTAGTAACTACAATTTCTCTTTCCTTTTAGACTCAAAGGTGATTTATAAAGGTACTTTAAAATTTAAAATACGAACAAAATAAAAGTTCCACTTTTGTTTTTTAGGGGTGCTATCCCTTAGCTAATTTTTAGCTTATTCTATCATACTATCTTTCCTTGTGCAAATTTAGCCCATCCTTCTAGGTCTAACGTTTATGTCACCTCCTTTAAGAAGCATATCTTGTGTTCTCTCCCTTCTCTAAAATTTTATATACATCCCTTAAACATATAATGTTTATATATTCTCCGCCTTCAACTCCCATCCTCAGGCTATTTTATTCACGTTTATGAGATTTGCTGTTTAGCTCAGTATTTTGTGGATTTTCAAAAGATTCCACTCAATTTACCGAGCACCTACGCACCAGACATTTTATTAGGTACAAGGAAAAGCGTTAAATAGATATAATCACGGCCTCCAAGAAATTGAACCTAGTAAGAGACACGAATAAGCAGACATTCAAGTGAGCTTTAGGAGACTTGGTTTGGTAGTGAAGACAGTCTCATGTGTGTTAACAGCTTACAGCACTGAAAAATAAGAGACAGAAGGGAACAAATCCGTTTCAAACAGTTCAAAGGAGGAAAGAGAGGGAAAGGTGGTTTAGATACAGCTAAATCATAAATAGCCTGATAATCTAACCCTGTGATAATCCAAGTACAGCCACAGCACCTGCCTCAGAATCACTTGGAAGGCTTGTGAGGAGTAAAAACGCAGATTCATACCTACTGAAATTAGAATGGAGAAACGGACATTTAAGTCTGCATTTTAAACACATTCCCCAGGTACTGAGGCCATTCCAAGTTTTAGAACAGAGCACAGCCAATTTTCGCAGACCTTGTTCCTCAAGTACTCCCTCCTTCTAGCCGGAGGGTGGCCTGCAGCATGTCCCTTCCCTTCCCACCGCCGAAGCTGTCCATCCAGTTTCTGAATGGCGGCCCACAGACCGCACGGCTTTACGAGAGAGGAACACAGCGCCCACCCGCCAAACAGCCACACAGGGATCGGAGGCCGGACCCGCAAAGGATTCGGGGAAAAACGCATCGAGCCAATCCGAAGGGCGAGAGCGGCCCTAGATTGGGGGGGCGGGGGGGCGTTAGGAGGTGGGCGGGGCACAGAAAAAAAATTTTTTTTTCCTTGATTGACGTAAAACCTACCCAATGAAAATAGAACTGGTAAAGCTTCCGCCCCCTAATAGGCAGAACCATAGCGACATTTCAACCAATCCAGCTCAAAAGTGTCTATGTTGTGGGAGGTCCCTGAGGCCGCTGAGGTCGTTCGTGTCTGTTGAACGGCTGTGGGCGTCTTGCTGCCTTGGGTAGGGGGTTAAAATCGTTCTTGAGAGGAACGTCTCTGTGCGAAGAGATAATGAGTTTAGCTCTGAGGTCGGTAATAAGGAGGCGGCAGTGCTCTCCACACCCCGGAGCGGGGCCCAGGGAGGGTGTGTGTGGAAGGGAGGACGTTTGGGGCCGAGGCGAGGCAGGGGATGTAGTTTGGGACGCGGGAAAGGAGCCTAGGGCAGCCTGCCCGGATCACTCACCCTCTGGGCTCTGATGCCCTGCAGGGAACGAGACCAGTGCATTTCTGCTAAGGAGGTTATTTCTGTCAGCGCGTAGGGCTTTGGACTGCCAGAAGGTTGGGCTTAGTTGCGAGCGAGGTGGGAATGAAATATCGCGAGGCTTCTACTCTTGTTTCTCAGATCAGGTCGCGGACATCCCTTCATTCATCCGTGTGCCTGGTCAGGGCCCCACCTCGGCTGCTCCGCTGCTAATGCAATCACCCACCTATAAATTTTGGAAATAACAAAAACTCTTTCCTCTTCTCCCAGGGCCCTGCTTTACGGTGTAATTGGAGACCCATTTTAGTGACTTTAATTGGCAGTCTGTCTCTTGGATTTCCTAAATTTCTTGCATTTTTTTACCTTTCAGTTCTAACCTCTAACCCTCTGTTGCCCTCTCCCACTATGTAGACGTTGTACCGTAAAACTATCCATACACTTACGACACTCCGAAAATATTCCATGTTCTGCTAAGGGATAATCATGGTACCCTTGGATGGGGTCAGGGGTGGGTCGGTTCTGGACTTGGCCTCCAAAAGTCTCAGGAAGGAAAAGACTGACCCCAGGAATACCCAAGTTTGTGTCAAGTCAGGTCTCATGAAAGGAAGATCTTCCTCAGCTTTGTTATACTGCACCTACTAGTCACTTCCTAGCTTTTTTTTTTTTTTTTTGGAGCTTTCAGAGACCAAAACGACTTTCAAATGCAACTAGATAGGTGTTTTAAGTACAGTCAACTGGTTTGACATGTTAATGTGTTACCGGATTGTGTTTCAAAACTCGTTATTCCAGTGTTGCGGCTCCATTTGAAAATTTGGAGCACATTTAGATGGGCAGCTCTTAAGGAAAACATTTCTGGCTTTAAAATAATTTTTGCTTTTTTTCTTTAAGCGTTTCCAGAGTTTATGAGAAGTTAACCTCCGGTTTACATGTTAAATGAGACAAGACTCATCACATTTTTATATAGAATGAAGCACAAACATTGTATATTGGCATCTAATATTTGTCATATGTTTAGACTCATTAATATTTTCGATGGTTTGTTAATATCAATGGAGGAAATGACACATAAATTGCCAAACTGTTAAAAACGTGTAATCTAAAAACATTTTGAACCAACAGTGCTAAAATACTGTATAAGTTAATTCACTTTTTTTTTGTAATTTTATGAACATAATTATCAGAACTATCAACAGTAAACCGATATATAGTGATTGTCAGTTATGAATTTTGGTTTCATTTGGAGATTTTTTTTAAATTCTTTAACATTCTTGTAGGATAACGTGTTTTTGTTTTTTTGGTTGGAGTTGGTTGGAGTTTCAGACATAAAAGTAGTGTTGCTTATTCACAGTTCTTGTTTCTTCCACAGTAACATTAGTGGGAATAAATAAAAAGCTGGGAAAAAGAAAAGTTTGGTCCTCATTTCTTTTAATAATCTGTAACACTCTTTAGTTTTGCGAAGTTCAGATTTATAGCAATTTAGACTATGGAATAAACAGGTCATTGACTCATAAAGGGAAAGTTTCCCTATCTTTCTCCAAAGTACTTTCTTTTTTGAAATTTAGAAGGTAATTATTGGCTAATTTCTGTTAGTAAAGAGAATTAAAGTGGACTAAGGGCTTTTTCTTTCCATTTCATAGAAGTGAGCTTGTAGTGGACAAAACAAAGAGGAAAAAAAGAAGAGAACTGTCTGAGGAACAGAAACAAGAAATTAAAGATGCTTTTGAACTATTTGATACAGACAAAGATGAAGCAATAGATTATCATGAATTAAAGGTAATGGTATACTTTAAAATATTTGTTTCTGTGTTAAAATGATTTGCATTTTTACAGTTGCTTTACATTACATTTCTAAATAATTATTTTAACTAAATTGGTTTTGGAACTATGAAGGCATTTTAAGCATTCATAGTTAGATGCTGTAATAAAACTGAAGAGAACTCCTAACATAGTTTTTAGAAAATCTTTTTCACATGAGAAAACGAATAGTATTTTAAATGTAAAAATACATTCCCAGGGAAGGTGCTTATTTTTCACTGTCATAATTAAAGGATTTCAAACTGGAATTTATTCTTACCATCTTCTTTTCACTGTTTTTTGTTTTTGTTTTTGTTTCTTGGTGACTCATACTGTTTTCAGACTGTGGGAGTGTTGTCTTTTAATCTTATAATTTGGATTTGTTAGTAACATAGTCTCAATCCACTTTCTCTGGTGCAAACAACTTTAGTGCTGTTTGATGTTGACACATGCTAATAGGTAAAAATGTCAGCTTTAAGACCTAGAATGTCAAAGTGTAGGGAGAGATTTGTAAATTATTATTTGTCAGGGTATAAGGAGAGATTTGGGTTTAGGGTAGAATGGGACTTACTTTCAGCACAGTGGGAAAGATAGTATTTTGAGATTTTTAATGGCCTTAATGGATAGGTGAATGTAAGTGTTTATTTGGTAGTTTTAATTTTTGTAATTTCGTAAGGGATTTTTAAGCATTAGAATTCCAAGTAGGGATAGGAACTATGCAGTGACAGGATAGAATGTATAAAAGCAGTTAATAGGCCTGCTAAGTCTAGCTTTCTCAATCTTGCAGTCCTCTTTGGCTCTCTTTTCCCACTGTTTTTTTTGTTTTTTTTTTTTTTTGGTTACCCAGATTTGATCTTCCTTTATAATGTCTGTTCCATTTGTAACCATTGACTATCTTGGTTTGGGACCTTATTTCATACCTGGAGCTTCCTAAATGATTTCTTACTAGTTCACCTTGTACACTACCACTGAATTTAGATAGTTTAAAAATTCTTTCACCATTGCTCATAAATTGTTCATTGCTCATAAACCATAACTCCTCATTGTATACTACTTAAAGTTCAGATTCCTTTGCTTTCTACTGAATGTTCTCTACACTTTTGCCACCAACTACTTTTTTCATTTGCTAACTGCTTTCTTCCTCCTGAACTCTTCTAATTAAGGTGGAATTCACCTCCTAATTCAGGTGAGCAGTTTACCTCACCTGAACTTTTCTAATTCAGGTGAGGTAAACTGCTCTGTTCATTGTCCTTCGAACCTATTCGTTTCAGTGTTTCTTTTAATACCAGTCATCCTTCCCAAATACCCTACTGCTCCTCTTCATCTATCCTTCAAGGAACAGTTTGAATCTTTCCAAATAAGACTTCTCTAGTCAGTAATATGTCTCCTTCCTTATTATTAGTAACAAAATCTCTTTTTTCTCTAAACTCAGGGTCCTTAGCCCTATCATTTACCTGGTAACTAATCATGGAAAGACTGATGATAATTCTTGTTTTAATGTTTTATCTCTTCTATCATGTAACTGTTTAATATTTATGCCACGCCTTTTTCTCATTTTGATTGTTAATCCCTTCAGAACAAATAACAATCAAATTATCTGTGCAATAAGTTAGTGCATTTTATATAGTAAAATCTGTAAACACTTGTTGGTTACTTTGTCATATAAAAAATGCAATTTATAAATGAAAAAACTTATGCATACTTAATTTCAGTAGTGAAGAACAATTACACTATCACTGCTATTTTAAAGAGGTAAAACATGCAAAAAAGTTATATTTTATTAATGTGTTGTCATCTCTTAAGATGTAAAAACTTAATAATTAGAAATTCTTTTGTAAAGAGTGCTTTATAATTTGCTTTTCCTTTTTAATCCAAAAGGTGGCAATGAGAGCCTTGGGGTTTGATGTAAAAAAAGCTGATGTACTGAAGATTCTTAAAGATTATGACAGAGAAGCCACAGGGAAAATCACCTTTGAAGATTTTAATGAAGTTGGTGTGTATTTTAATAGTCTTTGTAATCAGCAGCTGTTAGGAAATTGTCTGATTAATATCACTTTTTAAATTTTAAATTCTCTAGGTTATGGAATTTTCTTATAGAACACTGGTGTATAATGTGACTCTTACTCAGTTTTGTTTTGTTGGTTTTTTTTTCAAAGAAAAAATATGGCTTTGCTCTGAGATTTATAGTTTTGTCTTTTGTTTTGTTGTGAAGATTCTAACCAAGGAACTATTGTGTAGCTTTTTATAGAAAGATGCTTTTCCAAGTTGTTTGTATTTATATTATGTGATAAAACTTGAAGGGTGATCAAAAAATTATTTTTGCTTAATAAAACAGAAAATTTGATATCCTGCTGTTTGGAAAATGTTTCCCAAGACCTTTCTGGTATGTGATTTTTGTTGGCTAAGTGGGAGAAGAGGGAACTGGTAGTAGTTGGTATCTTTGGCTGTAGATGAAATGCACGACTTCAGGTTGACAAAGTTTATGAGAGGCTACATCCTCTGGATGACCTTGATCTCAGTGGATAAAGTCATCTGTTTAGAGGGTAGTAGTAAAGGAGGCAGTGGGCATACTGGAAGCAGGAGAAAACATCCTAGTACCACCAACTGAAGATAATGTGTCATAGGCTTAATATGGCTAAATTTTTTTATAGTTGATTTTAGTGAATTATTTATAGCATATATAGACCAGGCTTTTTCAAAATAGAAGAGTCCGGAAGGCAAGGATGTTGCTATTATAACTTAAATGTATTGTCTAGAATATTATCTACAAAATATGTAAATATTCAGGTTTATTTCTTTTTTTTTTTTTCTCTAAACCAATGGGTCACGATATAAGCACATCATATAAGTATTTTAAGATATTTTAAAAATTTGGAAACAAATTCTGCTATATACACAAACCCCTTATTTTAAATATTAATCAAGAAGCAATAGGGGAAGCAAAAAGAAATGGCAATTAGTAGACGCAGAGAAAATTTAGATTCATGTCATTAGTCAGTTTTTTAAATCCAAAAGCTCAAGTCATAAGCAGTTGAGATGGAAAATAAATGATGAACCTAAGAGAAAAAAAACACAGCACAGAAGATCCTCAACTTATGAACTAATATATGACTGTTTAGAGAGGCAACTTGTCCATTGGGGACATTTTCCTTTTTTCCTCTAATTTGTAGAATTAATTATTTGAGGAAAGGGAGAGAGCCACCTTTTGTTCTCCCAGAATGGACACTCTCCTGAAGTTTATGATCGTAGTATTCCTAGTTTTACCTTAGATTGTTTATTTGTAGAAACAAGGTGTTTGTATATAGTGGAAATGGTACTATTAGGAAGGAGCTATAATCCAGGTATGTTTAGTACAGTATAGTGGTTTAGCACTTGGAACCAGATTCCCTTGGTTCATACCTTGGTTTTGCCACTTTACAGCTCTGGAACTTGGTCTTTTTAATACCCCATGCCTCATTTTCAACTATAAAGTGGGGATCATTGTATTCTCTCATGAGATTCTTCTAAGGATTAAGTTAATGATATGTGAAGTACCTAGAAAAGGGCCTAGCATGTTGTAAGTGCTACTAAGCATTTGCTATTATTATTACTTTAAAAAATTGTCTTTGTTTCAGGGGCTCGAAATAATCATATATGCATCACTGGGACATAAAATAGACTTTGTGTATATTTTTTATTGACTTTTTTCATAAAGGCTATTGTAAGCACTGTATCATCACTAATAATTTTACAAAATATGTTATTTCACCTTAAATGAACACAATTTAAAAATTGTGATTTTTTTTTTTTTTTTTTTTTTTTTCTTTTGAGACAGAGTCTCGCTCTGTCGCCCAGGCTGGAGTGCAGTGGCGGGATCTCGGCTCACTGCAAGCTCCGCCTCCCGGGTTCACGCCATTCTCCTGCCTCAGCCTCCCAAGTAGCTGGGACTACAGGCGCCCGCCACTACGCCCGGCTAATTTTTTGTATTTTTAGTAGAGACGGGGTTTCACCGTTTTAGCCGGGATGGTCTCGATCTCCTGACCTCGTGATCCGCCCGCCTCGGCCTCCCAAAGTGCTGGGATTACAGGCGTGAGCCACCGCGCCCGGCCAAAAATTGTGATTTTTATTGGCAGTTGGGACCAGAATCCCATGCCACCTCCACTTTTTCCTGACACCCCATCTGTTCTATGTTATTAACAGAGCAGAAATACTGGGTTCCTTCTAGAATAAATAGATGTGGCTAAACTTCAGCTTTGACACTAAAAGATTAACCTTTTGACAGGGTCAACATGTATCTTAGCTATCTTAAGGCTACCTATGGAGAGTACCAGGTGTCAAATAAAAATGTATTACTGTTTGGGAATCATTCAGGAACTATGTATTACCCCTTTTGTTGATTATTTTTAACTAATCACTGACCACAGATTAATATGTTTTATACTTTGGGACAGATGATTCTAAATCATAACATTTGAGTCCTAGTTTTATGAACTACCCAAGGACACTGTTCCACAGATATATCTGGATGAAGTTTGGCAGTTAACTATTATAGACTCTTCCTAGTACTGGAAAAAAGCTTTAAAATATATTTAATTTAAGTTTAGAGTCAAGACAGCCTGAGGCTAGTGAGTAACATAGATATTTTAGGAATTAGTGTCTTTAAGACTAACATAAGTCAAACGTTTGTACACTATTTTTGACATGTACTACTTATTATTGCTGATTGAGATTGTAATACTGTATTATTGTCTTCATTTTGCTTATTTAACACTGAATTTTTTGGTATTAGGTACTGTACTGGGGTTGGGAAGAAGACTTAATTAAAAGTTACTAAAAGGTTCTTCTTTCAGGGAGTTTACAATGTAAATATAGGTGACAACAGGCTATAGTACTATGTGGTAAATTGTAATTTTGTCTAGGACAGAAGTCAGCAACTATAGCCTTTGGACCAAATTCAGCTGCTGCTTGTACACCACCACACCCCTTCTTTTATGCAGCTTTTGTGCTACTATGGCAGAGTGAGTAGTTAGAGACTTTATGGCCCTCTACAAAGCCTAAAATATTTACTATTGGCCTTTTACAGGAAAGATTTGTTAATCCCTGATCTAGAGGAATTGAAGTCTTTGCAGAGGAGATTTTAAATTTAGGCCTTTGGAAATGTGAGTAAGATTTCATTCCAAGATTGCCAGGAAGAGTAGAGAAAAAGCATTCTAGGCTTAGAAAGCAGCAACAACAAAGAATGGTACTAGACGGATAGCATGTTTGGGAAACTAGGTAGTGTTCTGGGCTAGACATAGGGAAATGACTGGAAACATAGGATTGGGCCAGATTGGTAAAGTCTTGCAAAACATGAAGATTTTGAATTCTAGTCAGCAGAGATCATTCACAATTTTTAAGGGAAGGGGATATGATATGTTTGAGAAAGAAAACTGATGAGAGTATTATTGATGATGAGTTGGAAGGAAGAGAGACTGCAGACAGAAAATACTATTTTTTTCGCTGAGGATGGCGAGGGTGAAAAGAAAATACATTTAAGAATAAAAAAGAGGCTGGGCTTGGTGGCTCATGCCTGTAATCCCAGCACTTTGGGAGGTCAAGGCGGGAGGATTGCTCGCTCACAGGAGTTTGAGACCAGCTGGGGCAACAAAGTGAGATCCTGTCTCTACAAAAAAATTTTAAAAAATTAGCCAGACATGATGGCACATGCCTGTAGTCCCAGCTACTTTGGAGGTTGAGGTGGGAAGATTGCTTGAGCCCAGGAGTTGAGGCTGCAGTAAGCTGGGATCACGCCATTGCACTCCAGCCTGGGCAACAGAGCGAGACCTTGTTTTAAAACAATAAATAAATTAGAAAAAAAACAGTATTCTCAGTACTATAGGACCTGATTAAGTTTGTGGGACTGAAAATGATTTATGCTTTTCAAATATGGAATCTAGCTGTAAATGTTGCTGTTATCTTTTGGTTGGGGTAGGGGAGGCAGCTGCAGTTACTATGGTGGTAGTGGAATGAGTTTGGAGTCCAACATGTCTAACTGGTATGTTTGGATAGAAATTTCCGAAAGACATTGAGAAATACAGTTAAAGCTGTATTTCTAGCATTACCTATAATAATTTTTAATTTACTTTTGATGTGATGTTTTTGGATTTGCCGTATTCTTAAGTGATTTTTACACATTAAAGGTCTAAGAAAGTATTTTGATGAAGTACATTTCTGATAGTATGTGTAATTAAATCATTTGAAAATACAGTTGCATGGACAGAAATTTGGAGTTTTGTGAAATAAATGAAACCCACCTTAACTGCCTCTATATCAGTTTACTAATATTTTCATTGAAAATAAATATATTCCTTATAATTAAATTCTACTTTGTGGAACAAGAATAGAACCTGAAGGCATGGAGGAGAGTCATTATAAAGTTATATATTAGGTAATGTTTTTGCTGTCCAAAATGATGAGCATTTATAATTCCCAAGAAAAGCTGCATTTTAAGGAAGAATATTGATAAAAGAATATATAGACACATAGCTCTGAAATAACTAACACAATTAAAGTACCAGTGGGATAAGAATTTATACATCTTGGAGCCCCATCTGTTCCCCAATCACCCTGTTGCTTCTTTAAGTACATTAATACTTTCAGCAAGCTGCTTTTTTGGTTCACCTGTCATGTAAATTATTTAATTGGTGAAGAAAATTTCTTAACACTTTTTTTCCTTGTCCTGCTTTTTTGTTGGGACTAAATTCAAAATAAGTTGAGTATGTGCCATAGAGTTAAGTGTGGTATTTTATTTTGGTGTTATGGCTGTAGATATGCCAGCTTCTTTTTGACTGAATATTTATGAGCTTTGATGATTTGCATACTTACAGTAATATACTTCAATTAGTTACTTGGAAGCCTTTTTGGATAAAATTAATGGATAAAAGGAAACTATTGAAAATATGTGTAGATGATATAATAGTCATTTGAATAGGTGATTATTGAACCAAATACGGGTGAAACAGCAGCAAAACAACAGCTTGTTGGAGACTTCGATTGTATTTTTTTCATTCTGGGTTCCTTAAACATTCCAGTATTTTCCATCTATAAGCAGTTGCTTTTTTTTTTTTTTTTAATGATTCTGTAACCTTCAACAGGACCGAGTTATTTTTAATAGCATAGTAAAGGCCATAAATACCTTTTCTTGTAGTGGCAGATAGTGTATATAATTACTTCAGAGATACTTATTTAGATACTGTTAGAATTTTATTTAGTAACTTACCAATTTTTATGCCATAGATTTTTATTTTAATTTTTATTGTGGCTATTGATTAAAGACTGGTAAAATTGAAAATACTTAAGCTTATTACTATGTTATTACATGTGATTATATTTAGTGTATTAAAATACACAATTACCATTGAGGTTTGAAACTACATTTATTTTTAGTTAGTTGTCTGAGAGTGATTTATCCAAACAAAATGGGTAAGCTTTAAGGAGACCTTCTTTGCAGAGGTTTTTTTTGGGTGGGCTTTCCTGCTATAGTCAGATTTGATCCTATTTACTACTTTGTAAATTTTGGAAAACCAAGAGGTTCTTCTAATCACAAAGGTATTAGTGGAATTTTCAAATGCTGTCTGAGATTGTGCCTGTGTCTGCGATGGCAGTACTTTTTGTCTCTTGCAGTTTTTCTTGTTTTGAAGTTGGATTAAATTTGAGGAAGAATCAGTGTTAGTATGACGTTTAGTCAGCAAGCAGCTTTTATTTAGTTAGCTCCAATTATTTTGTTGGTATGTCTCTCCACAGGTAGATGACACACTCCTTGTGTGCTTGATGTCAGTGGAGCCTAGTACAATTCTTGATAATAGTAGATCTTAAATAAATATGGTATAAATGTAGTCCTTTTTATTTTGCCTCTGTGTGATATAGTTTTGCTTACTTTTATAATAAGACAAGTTGCTCATGATAAAAAAGGTTAACATTTAAAATATGGATTTGATTTTTCTAATTTCAGGTTTATCTCGGGGTTTGGGGATCTCATTTGACATTTTATTGTCAGACTAAAAGTTGACAGTCACAGCTTTAATTCTCATCTAATATTTAGTTGATTTCACAAATGAATGCCTTTGTGATTATGCAGGTTTATTAAAATATATATGTTTTTAAACTGTAGTGACAGACTGGATATTGGAAAGAGATCCCCATGAAGAAATACTCAAGGCATTTAAACTATTTGATGATGATGATTCAGGTAAAATAAGCTTGAGGAATTTGCGACGTGTTGCTAGAGAATTGGGTGAAAACATGAGTGATGAAGAACTTCGAGCTATGATAGAAGAATTTGACAAAGATGGTGATGGAGAAAGTAAGTTTTAAGTGAAACGTATTTTCCAGGTTTTCCTGATGCTACACATGTAATACATTTTTCTAAAACCAAATGACTTGCAAGACTTTTTTGTAAACTTAACTGCTTCTTGTAATGGACCTTCTGTCTAAATAATTCACATATTCAATTTAGAATGAAGCAGATCTCTAAAACCAATTATACTTCAAGAAGGTCCTTCACTTTTCTCTGAAGGTGAAACCACCAAAATTTCAGCCTTTCAATATAATTTCAGTCTTTAATGGCTTCTCCCTCAACCTACATGCTAAGTTCTAAGTTCTATTGATTTTCCCCTTCAAATGTTTTGAATCTGTTTTTATCTTTGTCCATTGTGGCTGTCCTAGTTCAGGCCCTAATTTCTAGTTAGGAATGTTATAATGGCCTCATTTATTCTTGCCTTGGCTGCCTACTGGGTGCAGTGTCCTGCGTGTTGACTGGTGCTACACAATGAAAAAGGCAGATGTGGTTCTTGCTTTCACTTTGCAGTCTCTTGTAGTGTCCTAATTGCCCTTTCGGCATATAAAAGTCTCTAATCTCTTCTTCAGTCTCTTGGTATCATTCTTTTCCTAAAATATACATTTGATAATGCCATTTCTGTGTTTAGACACTTGAAACGATTCTTCAGTGCCTACAGAGTAAAGTTCAAAGCCTTCTATGATCTATCCCACCTTGAGTAACTGATTTTACTTTCCAGTGTATTCTTTCACTTTTCTTCTTTAACCCTCACCTCCTGTATGTACACATTTTGTCAACATATGCTATCCTGAAAACACATTTTTATGCTATTCGTTTCATCCTGCTGTTTCTTAATCTTAGAATGCTCTAATTGTTAATTTCTGCCTGCTAAAATGTGATTCATTCTCTCAGGTAAATATTAAACACCATCTTTTTCCCAAAAGCTTCCCATAACGCTCTATGAATCATGAGACTTCCATTGAAGGCCTATAGCATTTAGAGAAACAAATTGTTTTGATACTTTCATACACTTAATATGGAATCTTTTGGCTGGAAACTAAGTTTTGTTGAGATAAAAACCACTTTATTTGTATGTTAAACTGCTAAAGATTAGACCTTGCTGTCTTTTTTGTGGACTTTAGTGTTCTTCTCTCTTTGTGACTTTTTCATGCTTTTCAGTATCTAAGAGCAATGAAATTTTAAAAATATTGGGTATATAGAATAATAAACATGGTGAATGTGAAGTTAAAGGTAAATAAGATGTACTACAAGATAGACATAAAGCTGTGGTAATGATACAGAAAGAGTCACTTCCCCCTGCCCCCTCAACAGCATATATAAAATAAAACACAGCACATCTTTTGGAAAAAATGAAAGGAACGTTTTGAAAAGCCAGAATGGATAATCTTTTAAATAATGATGATGTTTTTTAACATTTATTTAGCAGCTACTATATTGGATATTAGCATTAATTATGTCACTTAATTTCCATAATAACTTGTAAAGTAGATATAGTATTATACCTATACATGTGTATAATAGATGCATATATAGAGATGAGGAAGCTAAAGCTTTGAGAGATTATTAATCTGCCCAGGTTATCACAAAGCTAATACTGTACATGGTAGAGCCAGAACTCAAAATCAAATCTCCAAAATGGCAAAGAATGTGCTTTTAAACGTAATATTGTATTGCCTTTCGGGCTATGAAGTAAAATATTAACTAGACTTCTATGTTTATGGAGTTTTAAAAATTACATGCTATTATAGGAAGCAGTGTATTAGCAACATACTCAGTTGGAACTTCCAATTCTAAGATTTGCTTTTCCCCTTCAAAGCCAGATGGTCTCTAAGGTACTTAATCTACTTAGTTCTGTAAAATTCTTATTGTTAGCAACTTGTAATAAGATTTGCTCTATGAAATGGTTGATGTATGAAAAATTTTGTTAAAGAAGGCAGTATAAAAGGAAACAAAGTGTCATATTTTCTTGATTCAATAAATGTTTTACCAAAGCTTATTTTAAGCTAGGCATTGTGGTAGATTTATTAGATATAGGAACTTGATATAAGATATTGTTAATAGAGAAGGTTATAAAATCAAATGCACAGAGATATAGAAGATTGTCTTTTAATTGTCTACAAGACAATTAAAGTAAAGTAGCTAGTTTAATTTCCTGAGCCACTTTCTAATTTTTACTTTCTTGGGTTTAAGTAGTGTGTTTTTAGGTATGAATCATGGAATTCAGTTGTCCCTTGATAAGCACAGGGGATTGGTTCCAAGTCGCTTAAGGATGCCAGAATCTATGGTGCTCAAGTCCCTTGTATAAAATGGCATAGTATTTTCATATAACTTTCACATATCCTCTTGTATACGTTAAATCATCTCTAGATTACTTATAATACCTAATACAATGTAAATGCTATGTAAATTGTTATACTTTATTTTATTTGTATTATTTTTTATTGTGTTATTTTCCCAAATATTTTTCATCTGCAGTTGGTTGAATCTGCAGATGTGAGGAACCTGTGGTTACAGAAGGCTGACCGTATTTTAAATACTTTTGAAATGCTATTATAGTTTAAAGTTTTTGTATATAAACAATATAAAAATTAAGTGTTTTGTGGTTTTCAAACTTATATATGAAACTTAAAATTTGCAGTTTGAGTATTGAAATTTTACAGATCAAGAAAAAGTTCTAGATCTTTAAGTAACAAGTACTTTTTGGATTTTGAATATTTTAATCATGGATGTATTACACTGTTAAAATGATTTGTAATCAAATCATTCTAAGGCTGTTTTATGTTTTTTCTCTTAATACAGTTCTTAAGAACATACTCTTGCTTCCTATTTGGTCTAGATGCCTCAGTCTAAATCGGGAGTTCTTCAGTGAAGGTGCACACTGGCTAAACTGATTAATAATTTTATATATTTGAACTGTATTTATTGGAAAGAGAGAGGGATCATAGCTTTCCTAAGATATTCAGACATGGCTATTTAACTGCAAAGGTTAAAGATCACTACATCAATTTGTAAGATTCTTGAAAGTAGTTTGGAGTATTACAGATTTTGTATTACGTTCTTACCATGTTTGTCATAGTGTTTTGTAGATGTTAAATACTGATTGCATGGCTTCATAGTTCCCTGTCAGCTTCTGGAGGGTGCATTTTTCCTAACTCATAGCTTATTTCTGTGAGGCATACACTATTCTTTCTTTGACTGTATTTCTGATGGTATTCTCCCACCCCAGCTCTCTTTCTACTTCCTTTCCAAATTCTGTATTTTTATTTTAGAGCCCAAGTAATGATTTACCTTTACCTAAATTTTTCTTATTAGTAATAATTTTTACCATTGTGAAGGATTTTTTTTCAACACTGATTTGGTCTTTGTTTTAATAATAAATAGTATTTTGTGTTATAAAACATTTGTTCTGTTTCAAGTATAAAAACTGACTAACATAGTTATCAAAACCGGTTTTCTATGTGGTTTCTAGAACCAGTGCAGTATATATTCTTTTCATTCCCTATGACCATGTTTTATCTCCTCAACATTTTTTAATTGGTTAATTTTTTCTAACTGTTCATTATGAATATTCTCAAACAGAAAAATTGTCAGACTAGTACAATGAACACCATTGTACCTTCTGCCTAGATTTAGTAATTAGTATTTTACCGCATTTGCTTTACCTGTCGTGTGTATATTTTTTTCTCAATCATTTGAAAATAAATTTCATATATCAAGAACTCAGTCTTTAGGCCAGGCACCATGGCCCATGCCTGTAATCCCAGCACTTTGGGAGGCTGAGGCAGGTGGATTGCTTGAGCCCAGGAGTTCAAGACCAGCCTTGGCAACATGGTGAAACCTAATCTCTACCAAAAATACAACGATTAGCCAGTCTCATAACCCGGTCTCTAAATTAATTAATTAATTAATTAAATTTTAATAATAAAACAAAAACTTGATCCTTTAATATTTTAGCATATCCATCTACTAAGAACAAGGATATATCTTTCATAAAGCTATGATACCAATGTTACACTTAAGAAAGTTAACAATAATTTTATAATATCATATAATATCTTTCTCATTTCGGTTTTAATGTATTCCAGAATAGGAAGCCTGGTGTCTGTTTTGATATATTACGCAACACTTATTGTGGTGTTGGCATTCACTAGCCACTTAAAAATGTTTGATTCAATGGAGTATTTTCATATAATACCTTCTATGGTAAATAAGAGTTAAACAATCTAAAACATCATCTCATAGTTCAGTGTTTTCAGATGAAGGAAATGAGATGCAGAGCTGTTCTGTGCAGAGCTGTGACTAGAGACCAGGTCTTAAGTCTCAGTGTAGTTTTCTTTTGGCATTATCAAAATTATCATTCATAATTTATGCATTGTTTAGGTATGTATTAAGTCTTAGGGCTAAATGCTAAATACTTACCAGAAGTATCTTCTGAACATTTTTCTTAATTGATACGTGCGCATATGTCGGGTTTTCAAAATTATATTCTATAAGATTATCTGATTTCTTATTTCTAGGTTGCTGTCTTAAACATTATGTTTTATAAATTGGAGATTCTTACTATATTTATAATTTTGGCAAACTAAAAATTAGTCCTTATCCATGATTATTTTCTGCCTTTACATCTATATAGTTACTGGATTACTTTGGTGATTAAGATTACATCTGTAATCTTTTCAAATTGCCATTTTTATTGATACCTTTGAGGTATGGTGACCTGGTTTTAATTATTCTTTAACATAGGCTTTTAAGTATATAAAAGTTCAAAAAATAATAATTTAACTTCTTTTTATAATTTTATTATATTTTCATTCTTTAGAAATCTAATTTACATGCATGATATGTTCAAGCTTACTTGTAAAGGAAGGATTTGCTAAATGAACTAGTAGAATAAAGATTATAAAGAGGGTTGTTTAAAGAACCTTGAAATGTCAAGCATTTAAAATGTTTTAGCAAGTATGTACAAATATGACTGTGATTGACTTTTTTGGTAACATTATCTTTTCCCCAGTTAATATTATAGAATACTAATTTGTAATGTTTATCACATTATATGTATTTTTGCATCCAAGAAGTTACATTTAATAAACATGTTCCACTTCCTAACAAAGAAGTAAAAGCAAAAAGCCATGTCTTAATGTAATAATTTTGCATAATGTAAAATTTTTTAAATACTTAGTGTAAAATGGTAGTCGTGGATTCTGAAAAAATAAAATGTTTATATTTCTGACTATTTCATTTTCTTTCTTACCACAGTAAACCAAGAGGAGTTCATTGCTATTATGACTGGTGACATTTAAAGAATTACAAGGATAAACACTAAGAATGTTGCAGTTACCATCTTATATTCTATTTTTGTGCCTGGAGCCATGTGAAAAAAACCAACTTAGTTCTTTTATCCTAAAGGACCAAAAATAAGCATCTTATATATCTGTATTTTACTACTGTTAAGTTTCTTTGTATGAACTGTGTTGTTAGTACTCAGATAGTTTAGCTTTGTATTTATAATAGAGCTTTTATATAAAGTTTTAAAAATTGAATGTGTGATATGTGTTCTTTGAAGGTTTTTTAATTTAACATTTATAGTCACTTTTTAGTGCACACATTTTCCAGACTTTCGTTAATAAAATATTTATTTTATTAGAATTTTAAAGTTTGGTAAATTTGTTTTTATTCCTAGTATCTGTTAACCCTCAAGAGTGGATTTCTTAAATCTTCCCTTTATAATTTTACTAGTTTCTGAAACAAAAATTGAAATACAATTAGCAATAGAGTGGCACATTTTTCCATTACCTAACATTTCATCAATTTTGACATTCTATATTTTAATACAAGCTGACTCAATATAAGCCTAATTCCTTTTTTAAGAGTCCTGTCTTTGAGTTTAGAAGGAATAAGTATTGTGCAGATAGACCCATTTATCCTTGTGTATTATGTTTCTTAACTTGGTATCATTGTAAGTATGAAAGTTAATTTTCTTCTGAATATTTCCTTAAACAAATTGAATGAATACAATTTGAATTTTCTAACTTCTTGACTGAGAGATTTAAATTTTGGAATTTTGATTTGTTAAGGTAATTATCACTCAATTACATGTCACAGTGATGAAAATAGAAAACTGTAAGCCACAGAAATAATTTAAGTCTATGTTTTACCTATATGAAGGAACAGTCTGTGATTCACCAGGAAATAGTAGAGACACAGTTTCCAAGTACTGGTGGGCTCTTCTGCCTTGTAGAAGTGTATGTTAGGGGGAAACAAGTGGTTATGGAGATCGATCATAGAAAAAAATAGTACCTATATGGATCCTTCACTCATATCTAGTACTCGGTGTTATGGGCTCTCCCAGGAACGGAATTGAGTTGTCTATTTCAGCAATCTTTCTTTAGAATTCTTGTTTTAAATTTTTAAGTTTAAAGTGTAGTATCATTTGAGGCGCTTTAAATGTTGTGAGCCTTTTAAGAGTATTACATTAAGGGTTGTCCACTAGAAATTTAACACAAAATCAGTAGGGAATACTATAGCAGTAGTGACATTTCAAACAGTTATCTAGGAAGCAAGTGTATATTAAGTCATTCTTGTATTGCTACGAAGAAATACCCAAGACTGCATATTTTATAAAGAAAAGAAGCTTAATTGGCTTACGGTTCTGCAGGCTTTACAGGAAGCATGGTGCTTCTGCTTTTGGGGAGGCCTCAGGAAGCTTACAGTCATGGTAGAAGGCAAAGGGGGAGCAGGCACATCACATGGTGAAAACCAGAGTGAACAAGTGAGAGAAGTGCCAAGTACTTTGAAACCACCAGATCTCATGAGAACTCACTATTGTGAGGACATCTAATCACCTCCCACCAGACCTCACCTCCAGTACTGGGGATTACAATTCAACATGATATTTGAGTGGGGACAGATATACAAACTATATCAGCAGGTTAACTAGAGTAAAACTTAATTTTGAATACAAATTCAATGGTCACAGTCATTATATTCAGGGCAACAGACCTTGAAATTAAAAAATTTTTGTCGCACACTGATGAGTTCCCTCTGTCTTGATCATGAAATATATTGATTTCCAGGAAAGTGAAAAATAAAACAGTAAAAGTAAATCTAGTTTTGTGAGTCTTCTGTGACTTTATTGGAACAGTGAAGCTATTTTTTTGCCACTTTACGGATATATTGTCTTTTTTCTTTCTTTCTTTTTTTTTTTTTGTTTGGGTCAGAATCTCATTCTGTCACCCAGGTTGGAGTGCCGTGACATGATCTCGGCTCACTGCAACCTCCGCCTCCTGGGTTCAAGCGATTGTCCTGCCTCAGCCTCCCAGGTAGCTGGGATTACAGGCGCCTGCCACCATGCCCAGCTAATTTTTGTATTTTTAGTAGAGGTCGGGTTTCACCATGTTGGCCAGGCTGATCTTGAACTCTTGACCTCAGGTGATCCGCCCACCTCAGCCTCCCAAAGTGCTGGGATTACAGGCATGAGTCACCCCGCCTGGCCGTCTTTTTTGTTAATATACATAGTTTCTTCTTGGGATACTAACACATTTGTTTCTTCTCTTACTGTGGGTTAGAGAAGAGTGCTCATCTGGGCTCTTCATGTTTGTGGAAGACTTGCCTTACAGTAGGATATGAATTATTGTTGTTTCTTCTAGTATTCATAATCAGTAACTGTAGAGTGGAAAGGAAAAAATACTGACTAGTGGAGGTGGCTGTATGAAGAAAAGAGTGATTTTTTTTGTAAAAAGAGGGAGGTAAGATATTCGTCATATTTATCCTTATAATCCTACTTACCATGCAGTGGCATTTCATGATGTGAGAAAGTTATGTTACCTACTAAACTTGCTTAGTGCATTGTTACTCTGGTTTCCTGGTGAGCTTTGATGCTAGTCACTGGAAGTAAAATCTCTTAGGGATTTAATGGCGATGTGTTTTTTAAAGATTGTTTACAATGTTCTGATGACCAATGTGAAAAAAATAATTTAAAAAACCGTAGTATGTAACATTACAATTTTAACAGTGTAATATAAGGAATAGGTTACAATGGAGAACCAAAACAAAAGCAGAAAGGACACATAACTTCAGGTGGCAGCTACCACCCCTAGGCCTAGGGGACCGAGCTAGAGGTTGTGGTTACTAGACACTTTGGGGAGAGCTTCAGCAGAGCAGGGACTCAGACATTTGGGGAGGGGCCACTGGTAAGTGGTGGTAGTATAGTTAGGGAATGATGAGGCTGGTACGGGGAATGCTGAGAAAAAGCTGGAGACAAACCAAGTGTCGCTACTGGAATGAAGAGCTGTTGCTCTGGGAATGCTGGCAGGAATTACAAACAAACAGGAAACAGCAAGATTCTTTCCCTCTCCTGCCTTTATGTCTTTATCTTCTAGTCCTGCTATTAGTGGAGCCTAACAAAAATTCAGGTGGCAAAGGAGAAATGTAGTTTTCACAGTCCCAGCCCTAGTATTACACAGTTTGAGTGTAGAATAGTGGTTTGGAGTTGTGGGGAAAAAAGTAGTTCAATAACTAGCACAGCTGATTATGTATTTTATTATCTGAACCAGGTTACTTTTGAGAATGAAGGAGCTAGAGGGTAGGGGGGAGCTATTATTTAAGCTGGGATAACAGATGTAAATCAGAACTGTCCTAGGCAAATCGTAAGATTGATCTCTGGGAATAGTAACCACTGTTATTTTAGAGAAGTTACATATTTTAATCTTAATAACCTTTTGGGGTAGATACTGTAGGATTGTCTTTTACAAACATTTGGAGGGTTTAAATAACATGTTGGAGGTAATAGGTTGTAACTGAATTGGAATATGATCCCCAGCTGTTTTACTCTAGAGCCCACTCATAACTGATGCTATCTTCTTAACAATGACTTTTACGTACTCCCTCAAGATGTAATACATCAGACCTTTAAAACCACAAAACATGAAAGAGAATTTGAGCTTCAGAAGCTCAGCTGAAAAACATTCATGAAACATGTTGAAGTTAGCATGGCATTATATTATGTGCTATTCCATGTAAGTTAGTGTTTTGTGTCAGACCTCTGGAAGCTTATAATCTTAGATAACTATATAGTCATGGAGACAACACATTGAAAGAGTAGATCAGTTTGGAAAATAAATACATTAAAAATAGTGTTAAGCAAATACTTATTGAGAAAGTACACATTATTGAGTAGTGAAGACTTGTAAAAGGTTTTCATTTTGAGGGTAAAATTTAGGGAAACATTTTTCCACTTAATTTTTGTGGAGAAGATTTTATTTTAGGGACTGTTTAAAATGAAAGGAACTTTAGATTTAGAAGTGTGGTTGATAGAAGGTTGTGTGGGTGGTCTTAGGCATTAAGCCAAAGAGGAGGAGGGAGCAAGGTTTATGGACCTCAAGCTGGTAGTCTTAAAGCAAAGTTCTTGTAGGTCTCAGTTGAGGTGCATTGGTTGGAGGGGAGGGGTGGTCAGTAAAGGTCACTTTAATATTAGAATTGTGCAGAATTTGGGTTGTAAGCAGGAAATCTCAGAAGGAAATATGGCAGCCAACTGGATGAGAGCTTAGTTGCGTCTTGGAGATCTTGGAATAGATTTTCAGTTGGAATAGGTAATTTGTTTACCTTTCCTGATTCTGAATTCAGAATATACTGTAGTTAAACCATTCATTGAAAACTTCATCCTAGATGCTATGAAAAATTGCCAAATAAAATCTAAAATAAAACCAGGTTCTGGTTTATCTGAGCTTTATGATTGTATGTTAAAAGTTACCTTTGTGAGGTAAACTCTAAATACCAGGTGTTTTTATTAGTAATTTTATCTAACTGTCTACAGAAATCCAAATTACCTCTTTCATGAGAACTTTGGAAACCCATATGTCTTGTGCTATTCTGAGACTATGTAAAATATATTTTCATTATATGATGATTTTAGGAATATTACTAACATTTTATAGAATCAAACATCAGCAGGGTTACTTCCATTTTATACTTAATTAAGGATATTTTAAAATAGGTTTTCTTTATTCTATAATAAAATAAATAAGAGATAATAGAATCCCCGGAGTCCAACATTTCTGATTTAATATGCTTGTAACATTTGCCTAACACACCACTGTGCTCTCTGAAAAGGGCGATCATTTTCACTGTATGGTGTTACCTAGACTGCCTATCCCCAGGGTCTTCCAAAAGTCCATGTACGTTTGACAGCATGGAAACGTGTACTGTTGTAGAGCATAAATACTAGAGACTTATTGATGGAAGCCTATTTCTGATACGTAGCTTTTTAAAGACCACTCAATATACATAAACTAAATGTTAAGTGACAAAAATATTTTCAAATTATATTTCCTACCATTTAGGACCTCCTTAAATTTAACAGCAGGTTAAAGGTTTGGGGTTGGCTTATTTTTTAAGAAAATATACATTTTGATTGTTTTGAAAGTTTATACATTTAAGGTTTCTACCAAACAGGTAGATATAACCATACTTTCAGCAAGATTACATTTTCCTTTTTCTATTAAGATTTAAAATGTTCCATTAAATCTGAGTAGCTAGCCAAAACTGAGCTTTCCAGGAGACTTTCTATACCAGTCTTGCTGGGAGATAATTGTTGCTAATCTAAGTCCAAGGGATAGTGGGATGTTTTTCAACACTGGCAATAAAAACAAAATAACTCTTTCAAAGAGGGAGAAGCAAGATTTGGATTCTAAGAATTTTCCTTGTGAAAGAAAACTTTGTTTATATCTAATTGGTTGATTTCACTACTGTAGCAAAGATACAAGAAAAAAAACTGGGAAAGATTTTTAAAAACTAGAAAATTAACAGTCTATTTCATGTCGTTTGGGGAAAAATTAAATGACATTATGTTTGTGAAAATGTTTTGTGAATTGCAAAGTTATATTAAAATTAATTGTTATAGTTATGCTTCTTCTGTAGTTTGAATTATTGGCCTATGGGCCCAAGTGCTTATAGTTCTACAATCTGATCCTGGAAGTTCTGGGGTCTTGAGGGCCTCTAAGGAGCTGTTGGTTGTACCCAAACCTAGCTAGCTAGGATACTGCTTGGGGGTAAATTCTAAACTCAGATTAGTTTCTTTGGAGTATTCATAAACAGGTGAGCAAGGCAGTGTTCAGTCCATTTGGAGGAAATGTATTCTTAGGGAGCATGGATAAAATATATGCTATTAACATTTGGTTGAAATCAGCTTAAAAATCATGGTTTATAGTTCTACCTAAGTTATATTAAAGTCAAAGGTTTTTAAAAATTATTTTCAAAAAGCTAAACTTGATTGCTGGCAGCTATTAGGGTCTAAAGAGTTAATTCATGTGAAAAAGAGATAGAAAAGGCAAATCTTTTTAAAAGAGTTCTTAGTTTCTATTTTATTTATACTTTATGTAACATCTTTTTTTTTTCCAAAAAAGGATTGTAGCACACTTCTCCAACACAAATTCAGTAAGATTATTAAATTAGAAATAACAGATCACAAACTATATAGAAATAAGAAGAGACAAATGCAGTCAACTTCAGTTATTTGGGGTCAGATGGAGGAGTGTTCAGATCAACCATATTAAACATAGCAGAGACCTGGACAAGGCTCATCTCCCAACCAAGTAATTGCTGCTGTTTACCACTTTTGCTCTCACCTTCTCCCCCTTGTCTCCCACGAGATTAGAGAAGTGCTGAGTTAACGAGAGGCATGTCTGGTTAAAGTAGGGTTGAGAACCCAAAGGAGACCTTCCCAGCACTACAGGGGAGGGAAAACGCTAGACATCTGCTGTACTTTAATATTGTTAGTCTACAGACCAGTCAAATTGCTCCTATATAATCAAGAAATTTGTTCTAGGAACCCAGGATGAAATAAAAGGTGCATGAGGGCCTAGAGGTAAAGGAGAGCTTAATTTAGAATACAGCTTACAGTATGGATGTAGAGGTTTTCTGAAGTGTAAATTAATTCACATACTCTTTATTGGTTCAATGACATACTCCATATACTACTTACTTACTGAAAAAAATCAAGAAACATGAAATTAAAGAGATTAAGATTGCTGTAGTGTTTGACCATCTAAAAACATTGCTCAGGATTCTGATGAATTCAGTGTTGAGGAATACACCATCCATATCAATAGCTGCTTAGTTGTTCTTAAGCCTCAGGGAAACCAGAGATTTAGGGCTTATGTAGGGGAAATGTACAGGAGTCACAGGGAAATGGTGAGCGGCAGTGGGACGCTGATGCCAGAGAAAGGACTCATGGAGTGGTTATTGACCTATAGGTTCAAGAGATTTGCAGCTCTATAATCGGATCTTGGATGTTCTGGGATCTCCGGGACCTCTACAGTGTGGGAAACAGTTACAAAAAGATAGTATCATCTAAATTTCAGTTTTTGCCCCAGGCTGACACTGCTGGAACTTTCATTTTCAAGAGAGTATGGAATGAAATCTGGGTTCCATATTGTTCCAAGTTGATTATGCTTCTGGGTGGGCATCCACTGGTAGAACTGAATGGGAACACATGGTTCTGGTCTCACTTTAAGAACTCCTGTTTTATTCATGCATAGAAGTTGACACACTTTTTCCTTCCATTATATATCACTTGTTAAGGTATCACCTCATGTAACCCAACAATGAAGGGTGTATGTATCTCATGGTATTTCCATATGGTAATTGTCTTGTGAGTCTTCAATGAACAACGATTGTTCTTTCCCAGCTAAGGAGACATTTGCCTTGTATACAGGAATATATATATAGACCAATAAGAGGAATCATTAACTAGACTCTTATAATCTATGAATGTGATTTTTAAAAGCTTCATTATTTTGCATATTTAATTTTGTTAGTCTCTATCAACTAAGACTTTATGTTTTGGGGAATGTTCTTTCTAGGCAGAAGGGTTTGATTCCTGCAATTATGAATGTTACTAGGTACAAATTCACCTGCAGAAGGGATGACAGTCAATTCACAGGCCTTCTAAACTCCTTCTTTATTCATTTATTCAAGGAAGAATGGCACTTAATTACTCAAATTAAGATAGTGACTTGGAAAGAGAAAAATAGAACAAAATATATTTTCAATCTCCACCAGGGGGACCTATTGCTGCAACAAAAAAATGAATCTGAGGAAGAACATTTGTTTTACACAACAGTTACATGATATTATAGTTTTATTTTTTAAGTGTATACACCTATTTGAAAAAAAGTGCTTTTTATATTCCACATAATGGTATTTCTTGTGGTATAATTTTATTTTTACATTATATCTAGTAATTAAAATAGAAAAATAAACAAAATATGAGGTTTTCTTGATTTGTTAGTTAAGCTTTTTAAAAGTAGAATAAACTATTAAGTGAAAATATAAATTCAGTCTTTATTTGAGAAGAATTTCTGTTTAATATATCTACAAGATTACCTAAAGAAAGCAGAGAAAACTCTTTTTCATGAAAACATATCTTCCTAAATTTTGCGAATTCAGTATGTCTTATCCCCTACTCCACTGGCTTTTGTCTGGGATTTAAAGGCTTATAGTTTTTATGAAACATTTTCATACTATACTATTTATAATTACAAAATAGGTAAGTTCTATAATCACAAAGTTAGTAAATCTATCCTTTTGCCTCACTTCTAGTTGTGAGACATTCTATTTTCTGCTTTGAGATTATGCATGCTTTCTTAGCATCAAGTGCTATTTTATTTATTTATAGTCATATATATCTTAATATTCCTTATTTTTTACGGTTCAAATATTCTCTTTCTGAGAGCTGTATAATTTTCTAAATTCTAGATGTTTTTATCTGACTTATATGACTACCTCCTTTCTGAGTTCATTGATTAGAAGTGATTTATATTAATGGGTGTCAGTGGTGAAGAAAGTTTACCAACACTGTGGGACAGATATTACCATGTCCATTTCTCAGATCAGGAAATTGACGCTGAGAATGATTACGTTACTCAGTTAATGTAATGTTTTCTACCATATGATTCTAAGCCCAATATTATTAAACACACAGTTAATTTTAACACATCTCAGATATGAGCAAGCTATTGTTCTTGACATACTTCCTCAACCTAGACCAGATTAGTGAACTCATAATTTGAGTGTTAATGGGCCTTCTATCCCAGACATATTCTTCTGCGTGATAAATTCCTTGTTCTAAATAACTTATTTGGATAATTTTCCTTGTCCTGAATAAACACCAACCTACATAATACCATACTTTAGATGTAGCAAGAGATTTTTAAATATATATACTGCAATTATACATTTGGCCAAGCAAGGTTGTAATGATGCCTTTGAACTTTTGGTTACATGTACACACACATACAAACATAAACACACACACTACTTTTTTCTCCAAATAAAATTATTAACTCTACCTTATGAAGAACTGAATAAAGTTCAATAATAATGAAATAAAAATTTACATTAGACATATGAAATCACTCATATTAATGAAATGCAAAATTAAAGTACACCGAGGTACCACTTTTACTTATTCAATTATTTTTGTAATATACTCTGTTAAATGCAAGGAGGAGGGGAAATAAACCAGAATCCTTTCACTGCTGGCATTACAAATTGGTACAACTCCCACAGAGGGCAATTGGTAACATTACAAATAACTACACCACATGATCTAACAGATCTCTTGGAATTTAGCCTATGGATATACTTGTACACATGCAAAATTGTTTATGTTTAAGACTATTCATTATAGGTTTTTTATAGCGAAAATTGGAAACAAATCAAATGTCCCTTGTTGGGAGGCTAAATAATTGGAATACTATACAGCTGTTAAAAAGAATGAGCAAGAGGTCTATACTGATATGCAAAGAGCTTCAAGCAATATTAGATGAAAATGGCAAAATGCAGAACAGTCTTATAGTAATCTATTTGTGTAAAAAAGGAGGAATAAGAATATATATTTATATTTCATTTTATATACATAAAGAAACTCTTGAAGAACACATAGAGAACTAATAAAAGTGATTACCTGCTTGGGATTGGAGGCAAAGAGGCAACTGGTGACAGACAGGGGTAGGAAAGACACTTATTTTCTTTTGCTAGAATATTCTACCTATATTTTAAAAAGTGTGTGTGAGAGAGAATGAGAGAGAGGGAAAGAGAAAATGTGTAAGTCGAGTTTAAGTAGACACGTATACTTTTACTCCCTAAGATGACAGTAAAGGGATATTTTTAAAAAGGTACATACCCACAAGGACAAAAAGAATGGAGGAGAAAGAAATAGCAAAAATTTTGGAAGCTAGAAGGCAGATGAATGAATAATATTGACTCAGCAAACTTAGAAAGCCAAATTCTTTGTTGCTGACTTGGGAAAAGCTGAGAAACTTTTACACTGCAGAATATCCAGAAGGTTCAGGAATTGGCATTTCCAGGTACCTCTGAAAATGAGATTGAAAATGGGGCTAAAAATAGGAAGATTGGTTGAAAGTTTCCTTAAGAGGCCATTAAATAAATCCCCAATTGTACAGGTGGGCAACTGCCTTTACCCAACTTGATGGGGTTAGTCTCCAAAGCAGATAGAACAAAACCTCTCTGGATTGACATGCATCAAGAAGAGTAGTGGTGGTAGGGTGGGGTATTGCGGAGGTCGGGAGGAGCAATACTTGCTGAAAAAAGGGATTAATTGAACATTTGCATATTGAATATTCAGACTCCTCTCTCTAATCTTTCTTTCTCCACTTAGCTCTCAGAGTGTCCACAATAAGTCTAGGCAAAAGATGCTTCTTTGGGAAATCTGAGCAGTCAAGAGAAAAGACAACTGAAGAACCAATGAAATGACCAGCCAGAACCCCCTATAGTATAGATCACAGTTGACAGGCTCCAGGTCGCATTCAGAGCTTTCAGATAACTTTTTAGTACTGCACAAAAAGTTAAAACTCACCAAGTGAGGAAAGCTTTATTTAAAATTTTTCTTTTTGAGATGGAGTCTTGCTCTGCTGCCCAGGCTGGAGTGCAGTGGAGTGATCTTAGCTCACTGCAACCTCCACCTCCTGGGTTCAAGCAATTCTTGTGCCTCAGCCTCCCCAGTAGCTGGGATTACAGGCATGCACCACCATGGCTGGCTAATATTTGTATTTTTAGTAGAGACGTGGTTTCACCATGTTGGCCAGGCTGGTCTCAAACTCCTGGCCTGAAATGATCCCCCTGCCTTGGCCTTCCAAAGTACTAGGATTACAGGCATGAGCAACCGTGCCTGGCCATGAAGAAAACTTTTAAAATAAAAGCTAAAGACCGTAGTGGAGGGGTCATAGCTGAGTGACTAAAATGTGCTACCTTGCCCGAGGTTACATCCTTTCCCCAGAAGGAGCCCATATTCAAAGGCTGGTCTGTTAGGATGGGCCTTAATCCAATCTGACTGTTATCCTTGTAAGAAAAGATTAGTCCTGAATTGCAATGAGTACAGAGGGAGGCACCACAGATGCCTGAGCACAAAGAAAAGACCATATGAGGACACAGTGAGGGAACCATCTCCAAGCCAAAGGGAGAGGCTGCGGGAGAAACCAAACCTGCGAACACATTGATCTTGGACTTCCAGCTTCCAGAACTGTGAGAAAATAAACTTCTATTATTTAAGCCACCCAGTCTATGTTATTTTGTTATGGCAGCTCTTGAAATCTAATACATTATTAAATTGTGGAAAGATTTGGAAATAAATACCAAAAGATTAAATTTTAAAAACTGAAACACAGGTTGCTTCTGGGAAACAGAATATAAGGGCAGGGAAAGAGATTGTTGTTGTTGTTGTTTAAATAAAAGTTTATCAAACTTGTTGACTCCTTAAACTATGTTTGTTTGTTTATTTATTTATTTTGAGACAGGGTCTCATTCTGTCACTCAGGCCAAAATGCAGTAGCACAAAGACAGCTCACTGCAGCCTTGACTTCCTGGGCTCAAATGATTCTCATGCCTCAGCCTCTTGAGTAGCTGGGACCACAGGTGCGCCCCACTGGCTAGTTTTTCGATTATTTGTAGAAACAGGGTCTTACTTTGTTGCCCGGGCTGGTTTTAAACTCTTGGGCTCAAGTGATCTGCATGCATCTGCCTCCCCAAGTGCTGGGATTACAGGCATGAGCCACTGTGCCTGGCCTAAACTACGTATATTTATAATGTTGATAAAAACACAAACAAACCAAAAAGGTAGTGTCTGATAAATGAGAATTATTTCTTGTCTCTTTCATCTGGATAGTGAGGTTTCAGGTGAGACTCTCAAGCACCGTGGACATTGGGGGCTCTATAGAGGATGCCATCAATAGGGACTAATGGCACATTAGGCACTTTCTATAAATGCAGGCTACATTTAGTCTAGCTTATTAATATCCTGGTAGCTCCTTGGGACTCCTGGTTCATGGACAGGAACCTGGATTCACCAGTAACTCTTGTAGCCAAGCCACCTCTGAAAAAAACTGTGATGTAATTCCACACCTCTCTCACATCATTTGACAAGAAATATTTTACATTTGCTATGGAAGTAGTATTTCTATATTATATTTCAATATATTTTCCTTTATCTGACCTCTGTTTTATCTCCCTATGGCCCTCTCAACATTTTTACCTCAAGGAAGTTAGTGTGCTTTTGGCTGCAAGCCACAGAAAGCCAACTAGAAACTAGAAGTGTTTACCCAAAAGTAAATATTATCTCACGTGAAAAGAAACCTTGAGGTGAGTGGTTCTAGGTAGGATGTCTAGCTCAGTGACTCAATGACATTATTAAGGACCAGGTGTTTTTCTGAAGTCTCGGCTGCCATCCTTAGGGTGCTGGCTACTCTCCTCATAGCTGCAAGATGACTGCAGCAGTTGCAGGCCGTGGTCCTCATAAATAATATCCAAAGGCCGCGTGGGAGAAGCGGTCATTTGTCTTCATGTCTCTCTTTAAGAAAGTGTCAGATGCATTTGAACCAGAGCAAATCCATCTTCAATAGGGACTGCTGGGCTGCATTCCCAGTAGGTTAGACATTCTAAGTCACAGGAGGAGATAGGAAGTTGGCACAAGATTCAGGTCATAAAGATCTTGCTGATAAAACAGGTTGCAGTAAAGAAGGCAGCCACAACCCACCAAAACCAAGATGGCAATGAAAGTGACCTCTGGTTGTCCTCACTGCTACACTCCCACCAGCCCCTTGAGAGTTTACAAATGCCATGGCCATATCAGGAAGTTACCCTATATGGTCTAAAAAGGGGAGGCATGAATAATCCACGACTTGTTTAGCATATAATCAAGAAATAACCATAAAAATGGGCAATCCTGTAATCACAGAAGTTTGGGAGACCAAGGCGGGAGAATCACCTGAGGTCAGGAGTTCAAGACCAGCCTGGCCAACATGGTGAAACACTGTCTCTACCAAAAACAGAAAAATTAGCTAGGCATGGTGCTGTGTGCCTGTAATCCCAGCTACTCAGGAGGCTGAGGCACAGGGATTGCTTGAACCTGGGAGGTGAGGGTTGCAGCGAGCCAAGATCACTCTACTGCACTCCAGCCTGGGCTATAGAGCGAGACTCTGTCTCAAAAAAAAAAAAAAAAATTGGGGCGACCAGCAGCCCTCGGGACTGCTCTGCCTATGGAGTAGCCATTCTTTTATTCCTTTACTTTCTTAATAAATTTGCTTTAACTTTACTCAATGGACTTGCCTCAAATTTCCTTCTTGCTCGAGATCCAAGAACCCTCTCTTGGTGTCTGAATCAGGACCCCTTCCCGGAACAAAAGGAACACTTTGCCAGAAGCCCCCAGCACGTTTCTCCTCATATCTCAGTGGCCATAATTATACCACATGCCATTCCTAACCAACTAGCCAGAGAAATTAAATTGCCATGCTTGGCTTAATCCAAATTATATTTTTCTCTCTGAAATTGAGGAGGGGCTCAGGCTCCCCTAAACACACCTCCGATCCATACTTGAACAAAGTCAGGATTATGTCAGTAGAGAATGTGGAGGAGAAGGGCAAATGCCATGGAATAGGGAAGAATAAATAGAAGTTTTTAGAGACAGTTCTGGTGAGATAGGGTGGCAAAGTAGAAAATTATTTTACTGGGAGAAGAGAGAGAAGCGGAAGGGTCAGAGATGAGTGTCCTGCCTGGCTCCCTACTTAAGGTTTAAGCCTGGGGAGGAGCATTGTAGGGTGGGATTGAGGGGGATAGAAACATCTGAGTTTCTAGTGATGGGATCCTTAGTCCTAGCTTCTTGAGACATAGCTGGGAAGTTGCAAGTCTTTCAGAGAAGTCCAGAAATTGGAATGAAACCACATCCAATCATGCCACTGTGTAAGGGATAAGATGGCTGAAGGATGGGGATAGGTGAATGGGTCTGGCCTGGGGTTCAGGTTCTATATAATTCAAAGTTTCTGCAGAAGGTGGATTTTATGCCTGGAGGCTGTGGCAGAGGCCAGGGGCTCTCTGGGTTACATTCAAACGAATTCACAAAATCTGCTGCGCCACATGGGAGCATCTCTACTGCCACTGCCTGAGGAGTCAAGGCTTACACCCTGCCCCACTCTCTCAGGAATGGGAAAGGGGAAAGGAAAGTGAAAATAGTCCTGGGAGGGACTTTGAACTTTGCACTGACTGAATATTTACAGTTTTAAATGCAAAGAGACTGAATGCATTTAATTGGCAAGTTTCTGTATCTATTGGTAAGGGGCTCCAGAATAAGAGATCAGTTAGAAAGAATATTACCTTTTTTTTCCACCTCAAAGTATAAAACTTCTGGCCTTGCTATAGTGTACAGATTTCAGTATTATCTACCTTTTTCAACTTTTGGGGGAACATTGTGGGAAGGTGGAAAAGGAAAGAAAGAATGTGAAGGTGGAGGTGCAGGAGGCCCTCTTGAGAAGTGGCTAATGCTAGATTTACATGTGTCCAGGGAACGTCAAATATGTAAAAATAATGTAAAATTGTTTAGCTAACCACTTTTTCTCTAAAAATTATTAGTTAATAAAATATTTTTTAGTATAAATAAACCAAATATGACCTCATTCAACTGGGTTTTTAAAAATGCATGCATTAAAATGTTTTTTTAATTATGTAAAGATAACCACTATTCAGTACAGAAACAAGCTACCAGGTTACTTATATTTATTTTGTTAGCATTATGTTTTCTTTTTACTACATATGTTTAACCAGGTGGAAAACAACAGAAAATTTCCATTTTAAAAAATAAATATAACCTGGTCAGGAATCAAATTTGCATTCTAATTGCATTATAATAAATCAGGAATGTTTATGGCCACATCTAGCACCCAGTTAAAACTCAACACATGTATAACAATAATAACAAAATTTGTCAGTCAAATATTGTAATAGCTACTAAAAATACATGAATAAATTTTAATACCCAGACAGGAAACAACAGACATACAGTGTGTATTTGAGGCACATGTATCATTTGAACAGGTGCCAGAGTTATGTAGCTAAAGATTAAAGTGTGATTTAGAGATATATTCCACTCTGTATGCATGTACATCGCCTTCATTAGCATTAATAGAATTTGCATGCACATAGTTACAGGAGAGAACTGAAATTTGTTGAAAGGCAAAGGAGGAATGATTTTTAACTTTGCCTGTAATTCCAGGAGCGTGGGGCTGTATTATTAAAAGCTCTGTGAAAGGCCTTAATTTAGGAACTGAGATATAGAAGCTCTATATCAAACTATTACATGTATACTTTGTTGTATTATTAGAGAAGAGTGAGCCAGGAAAGCTGAAGGATTTGTCAAAGGTTGTACTGGGATTATGGTCCTGTGTAGAAATGGGTAGCTACATATGCATTTCGGATGTGGATTAATTTGAGGTATATGAGCAGTATTTAACCTGCAACAAAATGTAGATGATCTTATCGTAGCAATTAGCAGGCATGCACACACCCCCATGCATGGGCACACACACAGTTACTTATACTACTTAAAATAAAAGATAATAGATGCTTATAGATGCTTATCTATAAGCATCCATTCCCTACCCAGGCTTTAGGAAACTACAATTATTTCTAGCCTATTCAATGTATTTCTTTTTCTTACTGCAAGATTATCAAATAAATTGTTGAATCTTAAAGTCCCAAGAAAAGCTCTTGGGGAATTGCAGGGAAAAGTAAGTTTGTGTCCTCCCATCAGCTACCTCCCAGCAAATGTTTCCTATTAAATATAGCAATTCCTTTAGTGAGTATTAGGAAGAAATAAATCAGCTAAATAATGAATCAGACCAAGATGGCGACAAGCAATAGATTTAACTTCCTGTGGGAATGATTGTATTTGAAAGTGCTATTTATTTTGGAAAGCCCTTGGGCGATGTATTAATTCATTAATTTAGTACATTCTCAGTGAGTGTCTATGATATGTTCATCACTTTTCTGGTTCTACTGACCCAGAGGCAAATAAGATAAAGTTCCTAAACTCATGGATTTTGCAAGTGAGCAATATCCATTAAGAACTTTAAAAATGTCCGTACTTGGCCAGGCATGGTAGTTTACACCTGTAATTCCAGCACTTTGGGAGGCTGAGGTGGGCTGATCACTTGAGGCCAGGAGTTTGAGACCAGTCTGGCCAACATAGCAAAATCTCATTGCTACAAAAAAAAAAAAAAAAAAAAAATTAGTTGGGAGTGGTGGTGTACTCTTGTAATCCCAGCTATTTGGGAGGCTGAGACATGAGAATCACTTGAAACTGGGAGGCAGAGGCTGCAGTGAGCCAACATCATGCTACTGCACTCCAGCCTGGACAACAGAGGAAAACTGTCTCAAAAAAAGAAAAAAATCCATACTTTTTGACTTAGTTATTTTTTTAATTAATTTAATCTTAGAAATATATGTAAAGATTGATATACATAAATTCCCATTGCATCATTATTTTTTTTTGCGTAATGAAGAAAAACTATAATCTCTCTTTTTTTTTTTTTGAGATGGAGTTTTGCTCCTGTTGCCCAGGCTGGAGTGCAGTTGTGTGATCTCAGTTCACTGCAACCTCCACCTCCCAGGTTGAAGGGATTCTCCTGCCTCAGGCCTCCTGAGTAGCTGGGATTACAGTTGCCCACCACCACACCCGGCTAATTTTTTGTATTTTTAGTAGAGATGGGATTTTATCATATTGGCCAGGTTGGTCTCGAACTCCAGACCTCTGGTGATCCACTCGCTTTGGCCTCCCAAAGTGCAGGTATTACAGGCGTGAGCCACCATGCTCGGCCAGAAAAACTATAATCTTAAATGCACAATGGAATGGCATCTATCAAATGCCTAGAAATTTTTCCATGCACAGTTTACTTTTGAAAAATGTAGATTTGAACCTTGTAGGTCCACTTATGTGAGGAATCTTTAAGTAAATATACTGGAAAATGTTTTGGAGATTTGTGACAGTTTAAAAAAACTCCTAGACCAACCACATGGCCTAGAAATATAAAAAAATAAAAAAAGTAAGGTATGCCATGAATGCATAAAATACATGTAAACACTAGTCTATTTTATTATTTAAGACCAAAAAATACACACAAATCTATTATAGAAAGTTAAAATGTATCAGAACTTATGCACACAGAGTGTATGTGGTGCCATTCACAGTTGAAAGAAATGTAAACAAACATAAAGATGCAGTATTAAATCACAACTGTATACAATGAACTGTAATAATACTGCACCACTATTAATAATATTTTAACCCCCATCCTTTGGTATTGTGGTGAGCTGAAGTGTTGCAAATGTCTGCTTAAAATGCTATGTGACTACCAATCATCCCCACGTGAGCAGTACCTCTCTCCAGTAAGTTGCTTATTGAAGTAAAAAGTGATCTCTTGTGATCCTTGTGTATTTTTCATCATGTTTTCTGCGATACTGTAAACCTTGGCTAACATCACAGGACCCATAAGAAGTACCACTAGTGATGCTGCAAGTGCTCCCAAGAAGCCAAGAAAAGTCATGATATTACAAGAGAAAGTTGAATTGCTTAAAATGTGCCATAGAGGTCTGCAGATGCAGTTGTATACCATTTCAAGATAAATGAGTCCAGCATAAGCACCACTATAATAAAAGAAAAGGAAAGTCATGAAGCTGTTATTACAGCTAGGCAAGCAAGTTCGAAAACCTTTCACTTATTGTGAAATACCTTTTTATATAGTATTGAAAATGCAACTTTTATCTGCTTACAGGATTGCTATAAGAAAGGCACATCTATAGACTCTAATATGATTTGAGAGAAAGCAAGGTCATTATATGACAACAGAAAGCAAAAGGCAAGTGAAGAATCTATAACTGCAGAATTTAAAGCCAGCAAAGGATGGTTTGATAATTTAGAAAGAGGTTTGGCTTAAAAAATGTCAAGATGAGAGGAGAAGTAGCTTCTGCTGACCAAGAGGCAGCATACAAATTCTCAGGTGCATGAAGACAATCATTGAGGAGAAAGTTTATCTGCCTGAATAAGTTTTTAATACAGATAAAAGTGCCTTATTTTAGGGGAAAAATGACATAAAGGACATCTATTAGTAAGGAAGAGAAACAAGTACCGAAATGTAAGGCAGGAAGAGATAGACTAACTCTACCCTTGTGTAAATGTAGTTGGGTTTAAGATGAGGACTGCCCTTAGTTATAAAACTGCTAACTTCTAAGCCTTGAAGAGAAAGTTAAGAAACAGCTGCAAATCTTTTGGTTGTAGAACAAGAAGTCCTGAACAAGAACTCCATTTTTAGGACTGATTCTATCAATGCTTTGCTCCTAAAGTCAGGAAGTACCTTGACAGTAAGGGACTGCCTTTTAAAGTTCTTTTGATATTGGACAATGCCCCTGGCCACCCAGAACCGCATGAGTTCAACATCAACTGTGCTAAAGTGGTCTACTTTCCTCCAAACACAATGTCTCTAATTCAGGCTCTAAATCGGGGGCCATAAGGACCTGTAAGGTTCATTATATGCAATATTCTGTGGAAACCATTTTCAAGGCTTTGAGAAAGAACACTGATAAAGAGGACATTATGAAAGTCTGGAAGGATTGCACCACTGAAGATGCCATTGTTGCTATAGAAAAAGCTGTGAAAACCATCAAGCCTGAAACAATAAGTTCCTGCTGGAGAAAACTGTGTCCAGATGTTGTGCATGACTTCACAAGATTTATGACAGAGTCCATCAAGGAAATCATGAAAGAGATTGTGGATATGGCAAAATAGGTGAAGAATGAAGGGTTTTAAGATAGGAATCTTGGAGAAATTCAAGACCTAATAGACACCACATCAGAGGAATTAACAGGAGATGATTTGATGAAGATAAGTGCTTCCAAACCAGTGCCAGATGATGAGCCAGAAGACGTGGAAGAAGCAGTGCCAGAAAACAAATTGATATTTGTTTTGGCAGAAGGGCACTAATGATTCAAGACTGTTTTTAATTTCTTTAGTGACATGAATTCTTCAATGATATAGACATTGAAACTAAAGCAAATGGTGGGAGAAGGATTTGTACTATATAAAAACATTTTTAGAGAAATGAAAAAGCAAAAACATCAGACAGAAATTATGATGTGTTTCTATACATTTACACAAAATGTGCCTGCCTCTCCTGCTTCTTCTTCCACCTTCTCCACTTCTTCTGCCTCTACCACCCCTGAGACTGTAAGACCAACCTTTCTCTTACTCCTCCTCCTCAGTGAACTCTATGTGAAGATGACAATCCACTTCCATTTAATGAATAGTAAATATTTTTCTCTTCCTTATGATTTCCTGTAACATTTTCTTTTATCTAGCTTACTTTATCATAAGAATACAGTATATGATACATACAACATATAAAACATGTGTCAACTGAGTGTAAGTTATTGTGAAGGCTTCCAGTCAACATTAGGCTATCAGTAGTTAAGATTTTGGGGAGTGATATAGTTTGGATATTTTTCCCTGCAAAAATCTCATATTGAATTTTAATTCCCCACTGCTGTGAGGTGGCACCTAGTGGGAGGTGTTTAGATCATGGGGGAGGATTGATCCCTCATGGCTTGGTGCTGTCTTCGTGATAGTGAGTTCTTGAGAGATCTAGTCATTTAAAAGTGACCTCTCCCTGCCCCTCGCTCCTGCTTTCATCATGTGAAATACCTGCTCCTGCTTCACCTTCTGCCATGATTGAAGGCTCCCTGAGACTTCACCAGAAGCAGATCAGATGCCAGCATCATGCTTCCTGCAAAGCCTGCAGATCTGTGAGCCAATTAAACTTATTTTCTTTATAAATTACCTAGTCTCAGCTATTTCTTTATAGCAATGCAAGAAGGGACTAATACAGGGATTCAAAAGTTATACATGAATTTTCCAACTGCATGGGGGATAGGTACTCCAAACCCCCTGCACCATTCAAGGGTCAACTGTATTTGGAAACTATGGATATCTCTAGGTAGCGAAATTTGAAATATTTTTGTCTTGTTGCTTTTCTGCCCTTTCTGAAATTTCTGAGAACACAATGCTTTTTTAAATTAAAAATGTTTTTATGGTGCTTTTAATCTAAAAATGTAAAATGGGTAGACTTTGGCAGTAGAAGATATTTGTGAAAAGCAAGGGCTCACTATTTGCCTTGCCTACACAAATTGTCTTCCCCTGATTTCTGACAGGTTGCCAGTTCCTATGCCAGAATACCTTACTGGATTCTTCCGTATCATAAGAATCTAGCTCAGAATGTTTTAGGTGCAGGATATGTTTGGGCTAGAAGTGAGTCTTAGGTGAGAAAGACTAGAGAGAGAGAGAGAGTAGGAGCATTCTCCTACTTCTCACTGAGAAATGTGAATTGTCAGGTGCTCAAATGCAAAACATGTCATTATGTATTCACAAGTATGCCATTCTTCTTCCAGGAATGTGGAAGGGTTTAACTCCCACCCCCTCTGAAGTTAGGTGGACTATGTCACATGTTTTGGCTAATAAACTGTGAGCAGAAGTGCTATGTGTCAACCAGAGGTGGGAGTGAGTGTGAAGAGTCTGTGTGTAGTCTATTAAGTTCCCTTGCTGTGATCATCATGAATCTATGTGTTAAAATGGAGCTTTCATAGCCTTGATTTCTTAGTGACTTAGGATTGAAATCTCCTGTGATTCACCTTTAATATTTAGCATGGAGATAATTAAATTGGTTGTGTTAAAGTGCTATGTTTTAGAGGTTGTTTATCATCACATTACAGTCTAATTTTGTTGGATCAAAAAAAGCAAAAAATTAAAAAAGCAAAAAGTTAAAAAAGCAAAAATTATGATTTTTAGATATCATAACTGCAGACTTTCATTCACAAATCATTCACTGAATAATTGGTCTTTCAGGTGAATAGTTTGATTTATTTTTTAATGCAAATGGTTATCATACAGTGGTGAGTTAGGAAGAGATGCTAATCTTTAAAATCTCAGACATCAAATAGTTTATACTTTCAATATCCACCCCTTCTAGAGCAACAAGTGTCTAAGTTTTAACATTAGCATTCTCTGTGGGCCTTATTGTCACATGCAATTCACAAGACAATAGAAGTTGTTTCAGCAGCTTTTATACTCAGAGCTACCAACAGAGGTGTGGAGAACAGTCTGAATGCTTTGGTGCCACAGTCACAAAAGCCATCTACAAATGGGGCCACTGAGGATCTTTGAAACATTGACCTTGGAGAATGGATAATGCTTAGTGTTTTTATTTATTACTTCTTTACTTATTTTTAGTAAACTAATTAATTCATTTATGTTAAACTAGAAGGTTCCAAGTATGATTCTGTGACTCATGGTTTACCTGCTATCCTATTGTATTTCAGGTAAATTGTCACAAACTGCAAAGACTATTCTTTATTAATTTGTAAAGCATCTATTACTAAGGAATGTCATGCTCTTATAAAAAGGATAATTACGAAGCAACTTTCTAAGATTGGACACACTTTCCTTGGTATGTCTGATTTACTTTTTTTCTCTGCAGATTGATTTTTTTCCCATGTATAATATGATTTGGCTGTATCTCCCACCCAAATCTCATCTTGAATTGTAACTCCCACAATTCCCATGTGTCTTGGGAGAAACCTAGTGGGAGGTGATTGAATTATGAGGGTGGGTCTTTCCTGTGCTCTTCAGGAGAGTGAGTGAGTCTCATAAGCTCTGATGGTTTTAAAAATGGGGGTTTCCCTGCACAAGCTCTCTCTCATCTCTGCTGCCATGTAAGATGTGCCTTTCACCTTCTCCCATGATTGTGAGGTCTCTCCAGCCACATGGAACTGCAAATCTATCAACCTCTTTCTTTTGTAAATTGCCCAGTCTCAGGTATGTCTTTATCAGCAGCATGAAAACGGACTAATACATTAAACTGGTAACACAAATTGTGTGTTGCTGAAAAAATACCTGAAAATGTGGAAGTGACTTTGGAACTTGGTAACAGGCAGAGGTTGGAAGAGTTTGGGGGGTTGAGAAGAAGACAGGAAAATGTGGGAAAGTTTGGAACTTCCTATAGACTTGTTGAATGGCTTTGCCCAAAATGCTCATAGCAATATGAACAATAAAGTCCAGGCTGAGGTGGTCTCAGATGAAAATGAGGAACTTATTGGGAACTGGAGCAAAGGTGACTCTTGTTATGTTTCAGCAAAGAGACTGGTGGCATTTTGCCCCTGCCATAGACATATGTGGAACTTTGAAGTTGAGAGAGATGTTTTAGGGTATCTGGCAGAAGAAATTTCTAAGCAGCAAAGCATTCAAGAGGTAACCTGGGTGCTGTTAAAGGCATTCCATTTTATAAGGGAAGGAGAGCATAAAAGTTTGGAAAATTTGCAGCCCAACAATGTGATACAAAAGAAAATCCCATTTTCTGCAGAGAAATTCAAACTGGCTGCAGAAATTTGCATAAGTAATGAGGAGCCAAATGTTAATCCCCAAGACAATGGGAAAATGTCTCCAGGGCATATTAGAGACCTTTGCAGCAGCCCCTTTCATCAAAGGACTGGAGGTTTAGGAGGAAAAAATGGTTTCATGGGCTAGGCCCAGGGCCCCTCTGCTGTGTACAGTCTAGAGACTTGGTGCCTGCATCCCAGTTGCTCCAGCCATGACTAAAAGGGGCAAAGGTACAGCTCAGGCCATTGCTTCAGAGGTTGCAAGCCCCAAGCCTTGGTGGCTTACATGTGGTGTTGGTCCTGTGGGTGTGCAGAAGACAAGAATTGAGGTTTGGGAACCTTGCCTAGATTTCAGAGGATTTATGGAAACACTTGGATGTACAGGCAGAAGTTTGCTCCAGGGGCAGGGCACTCATGGATAACCTCTGCTAGGGCAGTGCAGAAGGGATATGTGGGGTTGGAGGTCCCACAGAGTCCCTACTGGAGCACCAACTAGTGGAGCTGTAAGAAGAAGGCCATGTCCTCCAGACCCCAGAATGGTAGATCCACTGACAGCTTGCACTGTGCACCTGGAAAAGCTGCAGACACTCAATGTCAGCCCATGAAAGCAGCCAGGAGAGGGGCTATAATGTACAAAGCCACAGGGATGGAGGTGCCTAAGGCCATGGGAACTGACCTCTTGCATCAGTGTGACCTGAATGTGAAACATGGAGTCAAAGGAGATCATTTTGGAGCTTTAAGATTTAACTGCCCCATTGAATTTTGGACTTGCATGAAGCCTGTAGCCCCTTTGTTTTGGCTAATTTCTCCCATTAAAAATGGTTGTATTTACCTAATGCCTGTACCCGCATTGTATCTAGGAAGTAACTAACTTGCTTTTGATTTTACAGGCTGATAGACAGAAGGGAATTGCCTTGTCTCAGATGAGACATTGAACTGTGGTCTTTTGAGTTCATGCTAAAATGAGTTAAGACTCTGGGAGACTGTTGGGAAGGCATGGTTGGTTTTGAAATGTGAGAACATGAGATTTAGGAGGGGCCAGGGGCAAAATAGTATGGTTTGGCTGTGTCCTCACCCAAATCTCATCCTGAATTGTAACTTCCACAATTCCCATGTGTCATGAGAGGAACCCAATAGGAGGTAATTAAATTATGGGGGTTGGTCTTTCCTGTGCTCTTATGAGAATTAATGAGTCTCACAAGCTCTGATGGTTTTAAAAATGGGAGTTTCCCTGCACAAGCCCTCTCTCTTCCCTGATGCCATGTAAGATATGCCTTTTACCTTCTTCCAAGATTGTGAGGCCTCTCCAGCCACATGGAACTGTAAATCCAGTAAACTTCTTTGTTTTGTAAATTGCCCAGTCTCAGGTATGTCTTTATTAGCAGTGTGAAAATGGATTAATACAATATATTAATAGTTATTCCAAAGTTCCAGAATTTATATGGCCTCAGTTTTGTTTTTTTCCTTATGTTTATAGTTTTATTGTAGCAAAAGGATACAAATCAGAATTAGCCAAAAGAAGCAATGTATAGGTCTAAGAGGCTCCCAGACATAAATCTTCTGGTGTCTTCTCCTCATGGAGTCAGAGATACATCACCCTCCTGGCACCCTCCTGCCTCCTGTGTAGCAATACACAGACTGTTACCATCCAGGGAAGCTTGCCAAAGCTTCATTGTTCAGAGTGTTTATTGAGGTTATATTATGTAGGCATGACTGATTGAATCACTGGCCAACATTGAACTCAGTCTCCAGGGCTCATCCTCTCCCTCATCAAGGTGATATCACATGGCTCAAATCTCCAACCCTCTAATCACATGTTTCATCTTTCTGGAGTAGCCACCTGTATCCTGAGTCATTTCATTGGCACAAACTATCTGGAAGCCCACCATAAGTCACCTCATCAGCATAAAGTATCAGAGCCCATTGTGAATAACAAAGACACGCTTATCACTTGGGAAATTTTAAGGACTACCTTCTAGAAACAGGGGACAAAATCCAGCCAAATTCTTTATTACGTATAATTCACATCACCTTTCCCTGTTCATCAATACTATTTCAGATCTTAATTCTTGGTAATGTCAATCACATACTTTTTCAACATTTTGATCTTTCAGTTCTTTGAATTTGTCTCCTTCAGTGATTTTGCCTTCCCACTTACCTTAATCATTAATTCCTATAGTCATAACTTAGATCTTGACTAATTACTATAACTTCTTCATAATTTCAATTTCATGCATCCCACTCTCTGACAATCACATGCTATATTTCCCTCTTTCTCCTCTAGTACCTGGACTCCAATAATTATAATTCTTTAACCCCATTAGGAACTTTAATCCATTGATCTTTCACCATTTCACTTCTCAACATCTTCATATCCTCTCTCCCTTCCTTACTTAGCTTAAATCAATTATAATTCCCCCTTGCACATTCCCTTGATACCATTTTGGCTTTCTTGATTCATTGTCCTTGCTGAGCCAAAGCCACATTCCTAGTTAAATCCAACCTTCCACTTGTTCCATGCCTGCACGCATGAAGCTGAATGTGGTTAGTAAAAAACACACAGTCCTACTAATGGGTTTCATTTTAACTCATGATCACAAACCTCAAGTGCAACCCTAATGCTGCCTAGTAACCATGCTATACATCCTTAGTCCAGGAATTGGGAGAACAAATGGATGATTATTTCACACTTCTTTTCATATCATACTTCTAATACTTTCCATTTCTTTCTCAGCTAAAGACTTTTCTTCCTACTTTACTGAAAAAGTTGAAGAGAACATCCATAGAATCCCATAGTCACATCTATAAGCATTTGCATTCATGTCCTCAGTTTTTACCACTGTAAGAGAGAAACTAGAATTACTTAATTCTAAAAACGCTTTCCTGAAAAGAGAAGCTTTGGCCACAATTACCTGGTCCAATTAATAGTGGCCCATGTGACCGTGTCACTGAACAACATATGGCTGATATGACCCATCTCTGAATGAGATGGAATATTCATTCTAAGAGAAGGAGGCTGACACAGTGCAATGTATATGCTTCAGATAGCAGTTGGAATACAGTATAGTAAGTTCTTTACTTAATGCTTCTCAAAGCTTTGTCTTCATCTTCAGCTCTCCTGAATTGGAATAACTCCAGTGTTCTACCCTAGGCATACATACTAAATTTGAGTGAAATTTCTTGAAGTGGAGTCTAAGAGTTTTTCTTGTAGCAAGTGCATTAATTGATTCCTCTATACAATAAAGTTTGCTCTATATAGTAAAACAGAGTTTGAAAGATTTCCAGTGGCAACCTTGAATCTACAAAAAGGATTTACTCATTCATGACTAGTTAACCAAACATTACATTAAAACAAATAATCTTCTAATTGTTTTGATTAATTAAAGCTTTATTGTAATATGTTTGGTTGATTGATTCTATTTTAAAGATTCTATTTGTACATTTTAGTCACACAGTGAGTGAGAATGAATATTTAATGACTGTTTTTTTATGAGCCAGGCATTATGCTAAGAGTGAAACAGTATAGAGTGAGCAATGTAGTCTAGAACTCAGGCATCCTTACTTTTAGTACAGTGCAATTTGTGTTGGTTTTGCCTATCTATGGTTTTTTTAATGTGTGTGTGCCTTTCATGCGGTTTTTAGTTCTAATATAATTAAAACTTCATTCAAATATTTTGATTTTATTATTTTCAGATTTTATTAGGGGTGTTTCTTTTTGTGGTATAGTAGAAAGATCACTAGCTTTGAGATCAACCTGAATGTGAATTCCATTTCTGCCACTTATTAGCTAAATGTCTCAGCAAATTTAGTAAGTTCTCTGAACCTCACCATTTTCTCATCTGTTAAAAGGGGATAATAATGCCTATATTATAAGGTAATTGTAAGGATGAAACAAATAAATGCTTACAGTCCTGTTTACTTTTTTTCTTATAACATTTTCAACTAATTTCAGTTTGTGTAGATTAATTTAATTTGACTAAAGGTATTTAAAATTTTCAAATTCCCATTTGCGTTTACATTTTTCTAATAGGCAGTTTGAATCAAAGAGGTGTTTTTCTGATTAATTGGCTGTCCTTTCTATTTGTAGCATGTAATATTGATTTATCTTCCTTTGTAAGGAAACACGTTTTAAACTTGCAAGGTAAGGAGCACTTCTTACTCAAACCATATCTCCTTCTGTAAGCAAGAGCTGTGGCACATGCTTCCAGAGGTGCAAAGAAGAGAGTTATAAGATATGAACTTTTTCCTCAGGTAACTTTGATTCACTGGCTGGGGAGATGATAAACAATTGGGAAGTTAAATAAAAACGGGATTTAAATAATATGCAAAGCAACTTTAGAAGAGCTGCTCCAGGTAGCACCTGAGTAATTGTCACACCACCATTAGCATGAATATCCGCTAATGCAACTCTCTAAAGAATGGTGAACCTTTGTGTGAAATAAAGGAATTCATCTGAGGCTGATACTGGAGCCCAGAATTACATTTTTCCCCCTCCTGTTTCCAGGGCAACCCGTGGAGGGCAAAGGAATACTGTCTCTAGTTATTTACCAATCTCTATTACAAGGTCATAAAACAGAAAACTGTACCTTCCTTCTTAATGTTGGAAATTATTCCTGAGAATAACATTGAAGTATGCAGTATTTAATCTTTATTTGTAATGGTCATACTAGGTAAAGAGAAAGAGGACTTAAACAATGAAGCAGATGAAATAATTCCTTTTTTTCCACTTATGGTATTAGAGCACATGATATAAAATAATGTGTATGCTTTGATACTAAACACCCTCCAGAAAAGGGTGAGGAAGCTGAATATGCTTACCCAGGTAAAGTAAAATCAAAAGTCAAGTAAAAGTTAAATTAATTAATTTTTTAGTCACCTAATTTGAATATGCCTGTTAATTTTTTGTGTTCTACCTTGCCACTAGTAATTTATTTTATTTTACATATTTCTCATCTTGTTTTTTTCACTTAGGTTTTGTGAGATTTGTATATGTGTGCTTGTATGAACTATATATCAACATTACCTATATAAAATCAAAGAAATATGAGGGAAGTCTAAAATATTAACATTAATTAATACAAGGGGTTGGGATTTGTAGGAGGATGAGAGAGAAAGGGAATTATTAACTTAAAAAAAGGTACTTTCTTGTTTGACATGTTAAAATAGATGCAGATTTTGTATAATTATTTTAAATTAAATAAAAGAAACAGTGAAAGAAAAGGGAATACAAAAACAAACGAAAGAAAATAATCTCATAGAATAAACTGGAGATTTTTTAAAGTAGACATCCTTACAAGGTAGAGTCCAGCCCCTTACAGATTGTGGCAGGTCCTAGGAGAATGCATTTGAAAATGATCTGAAAATTGGCCGGGCACGGTGGCTCAGCCTGTAATCCCAGCACTTTGGGAGGCCGAGGCGGGCGGATCACAAGGTCAGGAGATCGAGACCATCCTGTGAATGGTGAAACCCCGTCTCTACTAAAAATACAAAAAAACAAACAAACATAAATTAGCCGGGCGTGGTGGCGGGCGCCTGTGGTCCCAGCTACTCGGGAGGCTGAGGTGGGAGAATGCTGTGAACCTGGGAGGTGGAGCTTGCAGTGAGCCGAGATTGCACCACTGCACTCCAGCCTGGGTGACAGAGCGAGACTCCGTCTCAAAAAAAAAAAAGAAAAAAAAAAAGAAAATGATCTGAAAATTATCTCCAAGACATTTTGATTCATACACCCTTGCTATGCTTTCCCACTTAACCTTGCTATTCCCACCCTATGTCACAAGCTACTACTTACAGAAAATAAACCTTCTTGGTTAATTGATTAATATATCCTACTCCTTTATAACCTAGTAATAATATTTTATAACATTTTTCTTTTAAATTACTCTGATGCTGGTCACACATATAAGGGGTGTGTAACCATTGAAATCAGGGAACCTGTGTTCTATTCTTAGTTTAATATTTTTTTCTTTCTAAGAAGTTAATCCACATTTAAATTGTGTCTCTTCAAAAGGCAGTCTTGGTTGAGCCTTGGCTATGTGTTAGACTCTGAGGAAGATTTACAGAAGTGAAACATAAGGCTTGGTCACTGCCTTGCAGATGTCATGGGGAGATCAGACATCCAGTCTAAATCAGAATATCTGGCTTCAAACCTGGATCCCCTGTTATTACCTACCTGACTCTTTTTTCTAATCTCCAAAATGGATAAAATAATAGGTGTACTACAAACCTTATAAAGTTGTGATTTAGAACAAAAGGTGAAGAGGATAATATTAATAATAATAATAACAACAGTAATTTATTAAGCACTTAATGTGTAGAAGATACTTTGGTTAACATAAAATATCATATACAATATCTTAGGTAGTCCAAATATTATCTATGGAAGCAACACAATAATCTCATATACAAGTAATTATTATTTAGAAATTTTAAAGCACTACAAAATGTAGAGTGTAATTATTGTTGGTATTATATTAGAAAATCACAGAAAGGAAAACTATTTTCCTTGGGATTTAGAAATTTTGCCTTAGCAATTGAAAAACAAATCATGAAAGGCTAAGGTTTATAGAATATTCCAGATATATTGAGTAGTCTCATTAAAATATATATATATTTTACTAGGATATCAAACTGGTTTGCACATATTTAAATTTTAAATTTTAATAAAAAGTTTGAAGAGAACACACAAATCACTTTCACTCATACTCACTTCCTAAACTCCTGAAATCTTATATAATCATAGTATAATAATCAAAATCAGAAAATTAACATTAACCAAATACTAGTAATTAATTTACAGGCCTTATTAAAATCTCTCAGATTTTCCCATTAATGTTCTTTTGCTAGTCCAGGATCTAATTCTGAATCCTACTGATATGGTTTGGCTGTGTCCCCACCCAAATCTCATCTTGAATTGTAGTTTCCATAGTCCCAACATGTCATGGGAGGGACCCAGTGGGTTGTAATTGAATCATGGGGGCAGTTTACCCCATGCTATTCTTGTGATAGTGAGTAAGTTCTCATGAGATCTGACGGTTTTATAAGGACTCTCTGTTCAATTCTCATTCTTCTCCCTCCTGCCACCATGAGAAGAAGGACGTGTTCACTTAGAATAATGGCCATCAGCTGCATCCATGTTGCTGCAAACAACATGATTTTGTTCTTTTTTAAGGCTGCATAGTATTTCATGGTATATATGTACCACGTTTTCTTTATCCAGTACACTGCTGATGGGCATCTAGGTTGATTCCATGTCTTTGCTATTATGAATACAGCTGTGATGAACACAAAAGTGTATGTGTCTTTATGGTAGAATGATTTATTTTTCTTTGGGTATATACCCAGTGGTGGGAATGCTTGGTTGAATGGTAGTTCTGTTTTAAGTTCTTTGAGAAATCTCCAAACTGCTTTTCACAGTAGCTGAATTAATTTACATTCCCATCAGCAGTGTATGTGTTCCCTTTTCTCCAGAACCTCGCCAACACTTTTTTTTGTTTTGCTTTGTTTTTGTTTTTTTTTACTTTTTTTTCTTTTATTTTTTAGACAGGATCTCACTCTTTTGTCCAGGCTGGAGAGCAGTGGTGTGATCATGACTCACTGCAGCCTTCACCTCGTAGGCTCAAATGATCCTCTCATCTCAGTCTCCTGAGTAGCTGGAACTACAGGCCTGACCCACCATGCCGAGCTAATTTTTGTATTTTTCTGTAGAGTCAGGGTCTTCCCATGTTGCACAGGTTGTTCTCTAGCTCCTTTGCTCAAGCGACCCACCTGCCTCTGTCTCCCAAAGTGCTGGAATTACAGACATGAGCCACTGCACCTGGCTGACTTTTTAGTAATAACCATTCTGACTGGTGTGAGATGGTACCTCACTGTGGTTTTGATTTGCATTTCTCTAGTGAATTGTGATGTTGAGCATTTTTTCATATATTTGTTGGCCACATTTATGTCTTTTAAAAGAATTTTAGTAATTAGTTTTTGGAGTACAGATGGTTTTTGGTTACATGGATAAATTCTATAGTGATGAATTCTGAGATTCCAGTGCACCCGTCACTTGAGCAGTATACACTGTACCCCCCATATGTAGTCTTTATCCCTCACCCTTCCCACCCACTCCTCCCTGAGTCTTCAAAGTCCATTATATCACTCTGTATGTCTTTGCATTCTCATAGCTTAGCTCCCACTTATAAGTGAGAACATATGGTTTTTGGTTTTCAATTCTTGAGTTAGTTCACTTAGAATGGCCTCCTGCTCCATCCAAGTTTCTGCAAAAGACATTATTTTGCTCCTTTTTGTGGCTGAGTCATACTCCATATATATATGCCCACCACATTTTCTTTATCTATCATTGGTCGATGGGCACTTAGGCTGGTTCCATATGTTTGCAATTGTGAATTGTGCCGCTATAAACATGCATGTGCATGTGTCTTTTTCATATAATCACTTCTTTTCCTTTGAGTAGATACCCAGTAGTGAGATTGTTGGATCAAATGATAAATCTACTTTTAGCTCTTTAAGAACTCTCCATACTGTTTTCCATAGAGGTTGTACTAGTTTACATTCCCACCAGCAGTGTAAAAGTGTTTCCTTTTCCCCACATCCATGCCAACATCTATTGTTTTTTAACTTTTTAATTATGGCTACTCTTGCAGGAATAAGGTGGTACCTCATTGTGGCTTTAATTTGCGTTTCCCTGATGATTAGTGATGTTGAGCATCTTTTCATGCTTCTTGGCCATTTCTATATCTTCTTTTGAGAAATGTATATTCATGTCATTTTCCCACTTTTTAATGGGATTTTTTTTTCTTGCCGATGTGTTTGAGTTCCTTGCAGGTCCTGGATATTAGCCCATTGTTGAATACATAGTTTGCAAATATTTCCTTCCATTCTGTGGGTTGGCTGTTCACTCTGCTGATTTTTTGCTGTGCAGAAGCTTTTTCATTTAATTAGGTTCCATTTATTTATTTTTGTTTTTGTTGCATTTGCTTTTGGGGTCTCAGTATGTCTTCTTTGAGATGTGTCTGTTCTGGTCCTTTGCCCATTTTTTAATGGGGTTGTTTGTTCTTTGCTTGTTGAATTGTTTAAATTCCTTATAGATTTTGGATATTGGACCTTTGTTGGATGTATAGTTTGCAAATATTTTTTCTCATTCTGTAGGTTGTCTGTTTATTCTGTTGCTAGCTTCTTTTGCTGTGCAGAAGCTCTTTAGTTTAATTAGGACCCTTTTGTCAATTTTTGGTTTTGTTGCAATTGGTTTTGGGGCTTAGTCATAAATTATTTGCCACAGCCAATGACCAGAATGGTATTTTCTAGGTTTTCTTCTAGAGTTTTTATAGTTTTAGGTCTTACATTTAAGTCTTGAATCCATCTTGAGTTGATTTTTGTATATGGTGAAAGGAAGGGTTCCAGTTTCAATCTTTTGCATATGGCTAGCCAGTTATCCCATCACTATTTTATTGAATAGGGAATCCTTCCCCATTGTTTGTTATTGTTGACTTTGTTGAAGATCAGATGGTTGTAGGTGTGTGGCTTTAATTCTAGGTTCTCTAATCTGTTCCATCAGTCTATGTGTCTGTTTCTTTACCAGTGCCACGCTGATTTGGTTACTGTGCTTTCAATATTTTGAAATTATAAATAATTTTGCAATGAATAATCTTTTGCATATATGTTTCTCTTTTGTGGCAAGTGTATCTTCAGGGTAACTTCCTAAAAGTTGAATTGTTAGGTTAAAAGGTAAGTGCATATAGGTAAGTGCATATCTAGTTTTGTTAGGTATTGTCAAATATTTCTCCAAAAGGGTTGTACCAGTGATGTCTGAAAGTGCCTACCTCCCCAAAGCTTCACCAGCAGAATGCATTCTCACACTTTTAAAATGTTACTAATATTATTTTTGCAGATTTTAAGTTTAATTCTTCTAAATTTTATTGTTGTTAGACAAATACTTTGAGAATTCCTTACTTTTTAGGATCTCTCAGATAATTTCTTTGAGATTCTGTCAAGTTTTATTATTTTTTTGTCACAATCTTAAGGTTCTATCTATTCATTTACTCACTGACTATTCAAAATGTATATTTGAGGGCTATTTCCCATACAATGTGCTTGCCTTCAAGAAGCTTACTAACAGATAGGATAAGGTAAGCAAATAATTGGAGAATTATAACACAATGTAAAAAGTGCCTTATTATTTGAGAGGGAGTGGGCTGATGGAAATAAGTATAAAGTATTAAGGAAGCACAAAAGGGAAGTGTTTCCTCCTATTTGCAAGGGGTGTCCTGGGGGAAGCATTTTTTTTTTTTTCTGAGAAGATTTTTAATGGAATTAACCAGTGGAAAAAAGAAGAAAGGAGTAATTGGTGAGCTTTCCAGATACACACAACTCTGCATGTACAAGACCCTCAAGTGAAGGAAGAGAGAGACAAATACATTCTGGAACTGTCAAGGTTTAGTGTAACTGGTGTATAACATTCATGTATACACTCATAGATGTGGTGAAGTAAGAGAGAAGCAGAAGGAAATATGACCCAAGAAACATGTATAGAAACTTAAACTTCATCCAGAAGTCAAAAAGGCTTACTAAAAAGTTTTAAGCTGAGTAGTGTTATGATTAGAATTGTTATTGTGAGACTGACAATTCAGTGTTTCCAAGGAACTCAAGGTTTGTCCTCAAAGCATTAAACTACACTGTATATATAGAAATATGCTAAATCAAGTAGAAAAGTGTAGTGATGCTTAGGCCAATAATTGACAGTGATCTTAAGAAAGGTAGTCAGCAATCACAATAAAAAAAGAAGGGGGAATATCTTAGAGGTAGACTGTCTGTTTCAGTGGCTGAAAATGAATCTTTTTCAGAGAAAAGGAGCTGCTTTCGGTAGCTGAGATTTTTCAGTTGAATTTGAAGAACACTGGTAGTATATGTGTTGAGATCCAAAGCTGTCTATGCTTACACAGCTTAAAATTTACATTAATTCGATTTTACTGTTATGTTGCTTCATTAATGTGGTATTATTATTTCACTATCTTTATAAGCTTGATTTTATTATTTCAGAAAAGTTTTGCCCAGGGAGATAAAAGTTGCTGATAACTTTATCGTTCATTTCAAAAAGTTCCTGGAAGTCCATTTAAACATATATTAAACTACTAAAATTAAAGCAGCATTAAATAGCTGTTTACTAATCAAGGACTGCATTAAAACCCTTTTTTCAAAACCCTCCTCTCTCTCTGTCTACTAATACTAAAACATCTCAATCTTGACCCATCATAATCAAGCCCCCACATTCCACAGCAAGAGACCCACCTTAAACCAGATCCCCCAAATCCCATAAATACCCTATCTTTGCCCTTTCCTCTTCTGAGATACCATAAAGCTTCTTGTCAAGGTGGTGGCCTCTGTTACTGTGGCAAGCACAGTAACTCAGATCTGCTTTATCAACAGGTTAGTTTGATGGTGTTTGCAGGGAGTAAAATACCTATAAGATTCATTTCTTATTCCACCAACAAACGATGCATTTTGCATAAATGATAACCTATAGTTTGAAACCATAGGCCTAAATTAACAGTCCAAGAATATCTTAGTTAACTTTCTAAATTTGTCTCTTTCTTTCAATCTGACACATGGCATTTACAACCAGGGAGGCCTTGAGGAATGTCATTTGTGTGGTTCAGTCAAAATCATTGTTTTTCCAATTAGTGAATCTAGAAATGTATTATGGTTACAGGAATAAGTAAGTGAACTGTGTATCCCGGCCAATCAGCCTACATCAACCAAGAAAGACTTTTGAAAAAAGCTATATAGATTTTATGTAAATTTGGTATTTATGAGCACCAAACTTTTAGCACTGACATCTGCCTGAGAAGAAACTTCATTTACAGCAGTGGCAGAAATGAAGTTCACTGTGAACTAGTTTTGGATACCATATGCTTTAACAAGCTGAAGAGGAGGGGGGAAAGAGGCATTTTAAAAACAGATTTTTCTTGCTCTCACTGTGGATGATGTTGCATGACAACATTATGACATCATGGCTTACGCTATTTTACTTGCTGTTGCACCAATATAGCATCAAGGAGTGTAACAGCACCTTTGATGTAGAGTGCTTTCCTCCTATGGAACTTACAGCACTTCACAGGCATTTTCTTTCTAAACCTCACAACATCTCTCTAAGGTATTGCCAAACTGGAGACAAATTTCACAGTTTAATTATGTGGAACACATTGGTAAATATAGATGTGCCTTTTAGAAAGTTGCTTCAAAGTGTATTTTGCAGCTCACGAGACGTTTCTCAGGGTGTAAACCAGTGGTGTAATGTAAAGCTTTTGGCCCTCCCCCATGCGAGCTGGGAGGATAGACGTGCTTGGCATAACACTCACAGTGGCGCAAAAGGAAAGGAGGGTAATGCAGAAAAGGCAGGCTGACTATTTTGTTATGTGTCCTCCCCTTCTCTTCATGTCTCCAAGGCCAAACAGGGGTGCCTCCTATTCCTCCACCTCATTCTTTTCTTTTCAGCATCAAAAGTGAAAACTGAGTTATAAAACTTAATTTGTAATTAAGAGTCTGGTTAGATTGTTAGGACAGAACGAAAGAGTCCATTTAAAACACAAGGTCCGTTGATTGTAATCCCAGCAATCTAATCAGTATTTATAACATAGTTTTAATGGAAAAGGGGTTCTTATAAAATGGGAATGTAGAACATTGCAAACATGCCGTTGCCTGCCCTAATCTCTCCAGATCTACACAGTGAAAGGGAATGGGCTTATTCTCAGAATAATTCTCCCTCCCAAACCCCATCTTTTTCCTTCCAAGACCCTTACTTCTCCCAATTCCCTAGAAAAGATTACTTGATATGGAGCAGAGACCTGAATGTGAGTCCTAGTTGTGTCTTGTAATAGCTGTAGGAACACTGTCATTAAACCTCCCATAAATACAAATTCCCAGGTAAACCAGGATGTACACTCATCTGACATATACAGGAAACCTTTGGATGGGAAGTGCATGTGCCTAATTGTACATGGTATTGTGGATAGGGATGTTTGCACTGTAAGAATAAATGCAATTTATTAAAAAGCTTGCATTCTATGAATATCATTTATTGTCCACATACCTCTGGAATCTGTAATAGATACTTCCTATTTTCAAAACGATGTATAGCTTGCATTTCCCAAAATGTGATAATGTGGACAACTGGTGGTACATGAAACCACTTAAAGTGGTAGACAGCAAACATTAATTTTTTTAATCTATCAATCATGTTTAGTCTATAATTTTGAAAGTGAAAATTTTTGTTTTAAAATAAATTCACCTAGGTAAAATTTTGAATTGATTTAAAGAAAACAATTAAGCAGGCCAGGCACAGTGACTCACCCCTGTAATCCTGGAGGCCGAGGCGGGATGATCGCTTTAGCCCAGGAGTTTAAGACTAGCCTAGGCAACACAGCAAGACCCTGTCTTCTCAAAAAAAAAATAAAAACAAACAAACAAAACAACAACAAAACCCAGGTGTGGTGGTGCACACCTGTAGTCCCACTTACTTGGGAGGCTAAGGCAGGAGGACTACCTGAACCCAGGAATCAGAGGCTGCAGTCAGCTATAATTGTGCCACTGCACTCCTGTCTGGGTGACCTTGTCTCTTTAAAAACAAAAACAAAACAAAACAAAAAACAAAAAAAATTGAGCAAATCAAGCTATAATTGGATTATAGATGTATAAAGTTTGACCTGGAAGGACTGATATGTGGGAAGCCCTGCTTTATAAGACACAGCCAGAAAGAAAGAACACGCTACTTAATATTTGAATAAACCACACAATAACCTGTGACTTTCATTCAAGGAAAAGTGCTTTGCCAGGGTTGGAAATACAAAACTAATTGTGGCCCAAATTAGAGAAATAGAAAAGAAATAATTTCAGTTTGAGATTAGCCTCGGATACATTTCCTGGTAGGTCCTCGGACTCACCATAATTTTTGTATATTATTAATGTAAACTATATACGAAGAATTGACAAAAATGGGCAGAATTCTGTACATATGCCAGTTAATTCTTTGTGGGGACATTTTATGCATGCATGATTCTTTGAGAAACATGACGCAGGACAGAGAATGAGCTGGCCTTGTCTTAAGAATTTCAGAAATAAAGACTCCTCAAACTCTTTGAGTAGTTCATTTAATTCTGTGGTAATCAAAAAGTTCTTCTCGATTTCTGGCCCCAATCCCTTCTACTTTAAGTGCAATCTCTGAAGAAACAGAAAAATCGGGAAGGTTTTGCTATTCCACCTCTCCATATGTGGTTATAGAGACAATGACAGCAGTGGACATTCTAATCATCACCTTGCTTTGTTTACACTCAATTTTATTTTTGTTTGTGGTATCTGTCAATAAAAACATGAGCACTTCCTATTGTTTTTGTTTGCTTAAAAGGGGAGGTAATTTAAATAATGTATCAAGCTACTTGGTATGAATGATCAGAAGTGAGTCATTAGCAATTATATCCTTTCCTAAAACACATCAAAATATTTGAGGGATGGTCATTTACAGATATCTGTGTGCACTGGAGCTCAGAGTTTATAAAGGTTTGCAAGTATTTATGTATGATTTTATGTGTATTTTCAGAGTTATTTTTTCTTATGGAACTTTGAAAAATGAAGAGAATTAAGTTGTTTCTAAAAAGCCAAAGCAGCCTGCCATCTCTTTTTCTTTTCTGGGCTACGGTCCAATTTGCACAGCAGTTGCAAAGAAAAAGCAAACGCATCACTAGATTCAGCGAGAAATATTGTAACAGTATGTAATCTCTGTCAAGATAAAATTGCTTTGTGATTTACATTACAATAAATCCTGACCTTTACGTGCTGCAGACTAAGCTAATCTGTGAAGCACTTTATTTCAACATTGAATCAGCGAGTGCAGCTCAACCAAAGTGACTGTATTAGTCCCACTGTGGTGTGGTTAAAGAGCCTATATATATCGAAGCAGATTACAGAACATTGTTCTATGTGTACTATAATAAGTAGAATAATTGAAATATTCAGTCTGTTTCATCATTGTGAAATAATAGAATTATTTTAACCTCCCTTTTGTTTGCCTATTATGGGAATTGTAAGTAGCTACATTTAAATATCATTAGGGCCTGATTTAGATTGATTAGAATAAGGAAATTCAGAATTAAGGTTAAAATACCACATGACATTTCAGCCTTAATTCACTTCTTAGGGCTGTTATTTCTTTTCTTTTTTTAGTAAAATAGTTAAGATGTCACATGGAATTTCTCAGTAACAGCTTTGAATTTTTGGCTTTTTCCCTGCCCAAGCCAAGTCTTAGGCTCATCAATCATTGGAAAGTGGACTGTTCTCCAAGATATTATAAATTTAAAAAGTAACAAGAATTTATTGAATTTGGAAGATTTTTAGCCATCAATTCTTCAAATATTTTTTCTCTCCTCCCTTCTCTCAGTTTTCCTTCATGTATTAGACAACTTGACAGTGTCCCAGAGGTCACTGATACTTTTTTCTGTCTTTGTTTTTGCCTCTGTGCTTCCTTTGGATAGTTTTTATTGTTTCTTCAAATTCATTGATTTTTCTTTTTTTCCTCTGCAGTTCCCAATCTGCTGCTAAGACATATCTGGCATATTTTAAATCTCAGCTACTAAATTTTTCATGTCAAAAAAGTTTCATTTAAAAAAATTTCTTCCATTTGTCCCCTCTTTACATTCATGGTCACTAATTCCATCATCTCTGTTGTGCATGCAGCTTCTTGTGTCTGCTAATTATTGATTGGATACTGGACATTGTGATTTTGGTTTTGGGTGCTGGAAGTTTTGGTATTCCTTTAAATACTGTTGAATATTGTCCTGGAATGCAGTTAAGTTCCTAGGAATCAGTTAGATTCTTTTGAAGCTTGCTTTAAAATGTTGTTAGGTTGATCCAGAGCAGGGTTTAGTCTAGGGCTAATTTGGCCTCACTACTAAGCAGTACGCCCTTGAAGACCCTTCCTAATGCTTTGTGAATTATGTGGTCTTTCCACTCCGGCTGGTAGGAACACAGACTATTTCCAGCCCTGTAGGAACTGTGGGAATTGATTGGCCTAATGGTTTCTGCGGCTTCCTTATGTGGCCAGAGTTACTTTCTTCTCTTGCATGTACAGATCAGCAGTCAGCCAAAGATTTGAGGAGAACCCTCCACAGATCTTTGGAAATTTCTTTGTAGCTCTCTCCTCTCTGGTATTTTGATCACAAATTCTAGCTGTCTCAGCCTCCCTAAATTTCAACCTCTGTCTCTTCTACTCATGAGACCACAGGGCTTCTTTTTTCTGAGGACTGGAAACTATCTTCAGGTAGTAAGCTAGGGCAAATGATTCTTTCCAATATTTTTATAAAGTTTCTCATTGTTTAAGGAGGATGTCTCCCTGTTACTCTATCATGGTCAGAACTGATGTGTTAAATAACTAGAATTTAAAAGATAGTTTAAGGTTTTTATTTAACTATTTACTCAGCATTATTGCCAAGCAATGTGTCTGGAGACAGGAAAGTAATTGATAAGAAGGTTATTAAAACAAGTTAGGACACAATTAACTACAAAAATTTTTAATGCATATTGTCCAATCACAAAGCGATGTAATAATTGTAAAGCACATAGGGCACTGTAACCATGTCAGCTCCTTGAATCAGAATGTTGAATTTAGTCAGTTATATTTAACAAGGTGTTTTGTGTAGTGCTAGAGTGCTTTCCATTGTTTCTTACGGTAACTGTTGCTCTACTCTATTTTAAAGTTACATTGAGTGAGGTGAATAGTTTTAATTTTAGTAAGGCAAACTTTTTTTTGTCATTTTGTGTTTTTTTATTTTAGATTTTTCTAATAAATTTATAGAGTGCCTTGAGGGCAGCTCAATTTGCATTGTAGGGGGCCACCTAAGAAACTCACCTGGGACAGACCACACTGTTCTGCCTTGGAGCATTACGGCCTGAAAACAGATTTTGTTCCTGAGATACTTCACATTATAAATAGAGTTATCCTTGGGGCACCATATCAATGTATACTAGAGGGTCTTCTCATACATTTTGAGGGGAAAACAGCAGTTTCAATATCCCCAAGATGACAGAAAGTGTTCCTGATGCTAAAAGGATACTTTAGCATTTAGCCGAAAGATTAGTATTTTGAAAGGTCAGTTTTATAGTTCCAAACAATTTCAAAGTTAAAATATAGTGATTTTCTAGAATCATTTGCTTTACTGCCAAGAAAGAGTATGAAACTAATTGTTTAAAAGAAGATTATATTAAAATATTGATAAATTGATACAGATAATGTTACATACACACAAGCAATGTCTTTTGGGTTGCTATTTATTTTCTTATCAAATTTTAAAATACTGACAACTAATAGACAGTTATTACCTGGTTACTTAATAATATTTAAATTTTCTGTGGCCTAATCTTCAGATTAGGCACAAGAATATCTCATCAATCTTTTTTGATGTCAAGTAAGTCAACATATACCTCTAAAACAGCATTTTTATTTTTATTAGGAAGAAGCCTTGTTTTAGCTGGTGACACTTTCTGATGCTTTGAAGGTTTTGCTGTCCTCATGTCTGTCAGGCACTCCTCCACCTCTTTTCACACAAATGCTGACCCCACACATGCCTTGTAACTGTTGACATTTTCTCTGCATCTGGATCTGGGGGCTCAATGGGATGCCTCTTTTGTTTTAGACATTGATCTGTGGGTGTTTTTGCTTTACTATCATAATTGTCTTTTGTTTGTATGTTGAACTTTGGGAAAATTCAATACTACCCAACTGCCACCATTTTCTTCCCAGAATTTGCCCCTACCTTGACTTCTTAAAGCTTTCGAGATGGAAAAGGGACCAATCTTAGGGGCCTGCTGCAACCACCCAAGCGTAGAAATAAAGGAAAAATTCTGAGTCCCTTCAAGGGAAATTCCAGGCATCTAGCTAGCCCTGAGGAGTAAATGAATAACCCAATAAGTAAGAAGATAATAGTAACTTAAACAATAGTCATCCAACCAAGTCAGGGCCATAAGGTGTTTGGTTCCCCATAGAAACTAAAAGATAACATATTAACACACTTTCTTGATTTGTTTTTCAGAAACCAAGATCCCCATCGATGGAGAATGCTGACCACTGTCAGGTAGACCTCAGGCAAAAAGAAACTGAAGACTGAACTCAGGCTGTTTTAAATTTCTTCCCAAGGAGCCTGGAGACAGTCACACCTGCAGGCGACCAATCTTGCTAGACTCGTCACACTGACCCAGTCTGTTGTGACTTGCTCTCATGACTTGACTCTGGCATAGCACCACTTGATGATTAATAGTTTTCCTTATCTTAACAAATAAATGTTAACACCAAGCCTTAACATACCTTTCTGCTGACCCCAAGGTTTTAGACAAAGGCTTGTTCCCTTAGCCAGTTGCAAATCAGAGAATCTCTAAATCCACCTGGGACCTGTTAGCCCCTGCTTCAAGATATCCTCCCTTTGCAGAACAAGTCAATGTATAACCTCCACGTATTGATTTATGAGTTTGCCTATTACTTCTGTTTTCCTGAAATGTACCCCTGTCTTTAAAAACGCTTGTAAGCCACTGGGGAGGTTGGGTCTTAAGTGTTAGCTACCTGTTCTTCTTACTTGGTGCCCTGCAATAAATGTCCTTCTTTCTCTTCCTGCAAACCTTGGTGTTGGTATTTGGCTTTATTGTGCCAGGTGAGTGGATCCAAGTTTGGTTCAGCAACAGTTTTTTTCCTCATCTGTTAAAATAAAGAGAACTGAATGATTTCCTAATATCCCTTCCAACTGTAATATCTATTTGGACCTGACAAGACCCAAAATTGTGGAGGAAGAAGTACATGAAATATTACCTCACTATCATGTTTTCAGACCCTATATGTTTATGATTAAGTTGTTATCTGCTATATTATATTATATTTTGTCATCTGAGTCATTATTCATTCTAATATAAATTCACCCATCTATCCATCCATCCTAAGAACAAACACCCAACCACTATTATATACTAGCTTTGTTTCTTCAGGTACATATTCGATTTGCCATGCTATTTAAAACTATACATAATCACACTACAAATGTCATTACTAAGATATATGATCACCTAGGGAAACTTCATTGTTACTTGGAGGTGAAATATGAGTGTTATGGGATTTTTTTCTTGAGACAGGGTCTTACTCTGTTGCCCAAGCGGGAGTGCAGTGGTATGAACATGGCTCACTGCAGCCTTGACCTCTTGAGCTCAGGTGATTCTCCCACTACAGTCCTCTGAGTAGCTGGGACTACAGGTGCATGCCACCATGTCTGGCTAATTTGTTTATTTTTTGTAGAGATGGGATTTCACCATGTTGCCCAGGCGGGTCTCAAACCCCTGGGCTTAAGTAATCCTTCTGCCTTGGTCTCCCAAAATGTTGGGATTATAGGTGTGAGACACTGTGCTCAGCTAGGATTTTTTTTTTTTTTTTTTGATAAATGATTTCAGCTTTTTCTACGGAGGGTTTCTTGCCTGCCCCCATAATCCTGGATCACTCAGCATAATCAGCAAAGGATTGAGATTTCTCTACGATTTAGTTATCAGCTAAATAAAGCCAATAGACCTCATTATTTGACCAGTAGCCAGAGTATGAGCTTGGAAGAAGCTCATAAGTCCTATGGCAGGTCACTGGGGGGATATTACTTATAGGCAAGTAATATTTCAGAGTTGTCAAACAGTCTTGTATCAGGGTTTTCTAGAGGGACAGAACTAATAGGATATATGTATATATGAAAGGGAGTTTATTAAGGAGAATTGATTCACATGATCATAAGGTGAAGTCCTACGATAGGCTGTCTGCAAGTTGAGGAGCAAGGAAGCCAGTGGTGGATCAGTCCAAGTCCCAAACCTCAAAAATAGGGAAGCCGACAGTGCAGCCTTTGGTCTGTGGCCAATGGCCCAAGAGCCCCTGGCAAACCACTGGTGTAAGTCCAAGAGTCCAAAAGCTGAAGAACTTGGAGTCTAATGTTTGAAGGCAAGAAGCATCCAGCACAGGAGAAAGATGAAGGCTGGAAGACTCAGCAAGTCTTCTCTTCCATTTTCTTCTGCCTGCTTTATTCTAACTGCCCTGGCAGCTGATTAGATGGTGCCCCCCTAGGTTGAGGATGGGTCTGTCTCTCCGAGTCCACTGACTCAAATGTTAATCTCCTTTGGCAACACCCTTACAGACACACCAAGGAACAATACTTTGCATCCTTCAATCCAATCAAGTTGACACTCAATATTATTCATCACAAGCCTTATGCATGCAGCTGCCCACTCTGTACTATGAAGGCACTGCTCTGCTGAATAATTGTCAGAGAGACTCCAGCAAATGGAGGCGGAAGACACACTCAGGGAATATACAAGGCAATGCTTTCTTCCTTCGGAAAGATCCTGGGCCAACAAATATCAATCACCTACCTTTCACCACATTCCTTGAAATCATATAATTTATATAAGATGCATTTATAGAAAACCTACTGTGTATCAGTCATTTTCTTAGAGACTTTCTTTACCTTTTATTCTTAAGGTAAATTTTTCTTACAAAATTTATACTTACACATGCTTAACAAATCAAATAATGCTTCAAGACTCATAAAAAGCTAGCCCTTGTTTTATTTCTCTCTTCTCTTATTTTCTCCAATGGCTACTATTTAAAATTATTTGTAGCTGCTTATTTTAATGTTTGCTTTCATACACCTAAATAGAAGCTTATATTGCTATTTCTTCATTTGACAGTTTTAAATATTGTTTCTTGTATGTCCTGCTGTAGAAGATATGGTTTAGTTCTCTTATATTTGTATCTCTTTAACATATAGATATTTAGCCCCTTACTCATGCTTCCAAAAATTATATAATCATTTTTATTTAAATCAATGTTTATTTACATTGTTATGACTATATAACTATTACGTATAAATAATGAACCATACACTGTATTTCATTTCTGGTTATAGTATGCTTTCTCTAAAATTAAAAATTTCCTCTTTTTTTGCTTTTTACTTTTCTACATAGGTATCATTAATCCATCCCAATTCTTGAATAGAATTGGAATCCTGACAGTGTAGAAATCCCTTCTAGAGCCCTCTGTCTCCTGCTCTAATCCAGACTGGTTGCTCTTTATGCTCACCACACAGCTGTCATCTGAGATTTCCACTTAATTCCTGTTGGACCTTTCTACTGTGCTCCATTTCATGCTCATGCTTTTTCTGGCTTTTAAGTTCTTTTATTCTGCTTATGTTTTAGTTTGAATTATTTGTTTCTAAAGAGCTGTTTTCCAATTTATTATCCTTTCTCTCTTGCTAGTCTAGTCTATTGTTACACACATCTATTGATTTCTTAATCTCAGTTATTTTATTTTTCAGTTCTGGAATTTTCATTTGATGCCTTTTAAATATAGATTTCAGTTCTGATAAAATTCTTCATCTTGTCATTTTTTTCCCTTGAATATATTATTATAGCTATTTAAAATGTGAATTGATACCTCTAAGATCTGGACTATCTATCCATGGGGGGTGGGATTATATTTTTTATTTTTTTGTTTTTAGTCATTTTTTGTCATCCTGGCATGTCTGATAATTTTTTACTTAATGCTGGACATTGTAAGTTAAAAATTATAGAAACTCTGGATGATTTTATCTTTTTCAGAAAGAATTTTTTTTCCTCTGGTAGGCAGTTAGAAGATGTGAAAATCAGCAAATGCCCTGAGGAGAAAAACCACTGGTGAATATGAGGCTCGGACCAATGTATTTTCAATGTATTTTCCTTTTCTCTGCGATCCTGGCTCTCCAAGTCCTGGCTGCCTCAGATATTTCCAATGCCTTAAAATAGCTGTTTTCACCCAGCTTTTCTAATTGCTTTAGGTGGCAGGCTTAGGTGGAAAGATACATGATGGAAGTGGACCTTAATTGTTACTTCATATATGATGTTTTTATTTCTCCTTTCTCTGGAAAGTTTTAATATTTTTTCTTTATATTTATAGACAGCATACTAACTTTTCATGGTAGTGTATTTTGGTGTAGGCCCTTTCTCACTTATTAGATGAGAAATTCAACAGAACTTTTCAGTTTGGAAACCTGTGACTTTTGGGATTTGAAAATTTTTCTTGTATTAGTTTTTTAATGATTTGTGTCTCTCAATTGTTTATTTTTATTTTTTTGTTTTCTTTTTCTGCAATTCCTGACATTTTGACACAGCACCTCCTGGATGGATCCCTTAATTTGCTAACAGTTTTTTCCCTCATTTCAGTTTCTATGTCTTTTCCCTTTAGCCAGTTTATTCAGTCTATTAAGAGAAGAATCTTCCAATCTTATGCCTTAGGGGCTTAAGTTTGGCTACCAGTGTTTTGAGAGGTAAGTAGTGGATGGAGTTGGGAGAAAGGCTATTCAGAATGTAGACTTCCACTTTGTGCCCCTGTGTTCAACTGGGTACCTTGCCCATACATTCAGTTGTATCTTCTGTTCCTGAATGCAGAAGTCTCCTGGTTCATTCTCTGCAGATAGTAAACCTCAGTCTTCAGCACAGATGAAGGAAGGAGATCTCTCTAAAATTTTGTTTTAAGTCCCACTCTATCCCCATCCTTCAGGAATACTTCTGTTGTCAGTTTTTGAGACTTTCCAGGTTCTGTGGCACAATTAGATTGCAGACTTAGGTTTCAGCTTTCTCTGATATGTTATGACAATTACCCTTTATCCATTTGTTTTTCAGATTTTAAAATCATTGTCATCTTTTGTATTCTATATTCTCTCCCATTTTTGTTGTCCTTGTGGATTTACATTTAATTTTTTTCTTTTCCTTTTCTTTTTTAAAAAATCTAGAATTTTAGGGGAAGAAGCAGAGAACAGGTGTGTTCAATTCACCATACTTAACAGGAAGTTTTAGGTGCTTTATGTACATCACAAGAAATTTCCACAGCAGGTATTACAGATAAGGGAAATGCTGAAGTAACATAGTAAATGACAGAGTAAGAATTAAAAATCAGACTATCTGGCATTAAAACCCTCATTTTGGAATGACTTTTTTTAAACTGCAATTTCCAAGTTTTACTCACAGTATGAAAAAATTCAATATTTTCAAAACCAAGTGATTTATGAATTTAGGCATTTTTACAACATGCCATTACTTTCTTGATTGACTGGTATAAATTCTTATGTACTTATCACAGTATAATAAATTATACATTTTTGAAAACCTATTGTAATTTTACTCATATGTTTTTCATTGTAGCTTTTTGTCTTGTACTTGAAATTGCTAAAACCAAACTCTGGAGAAATTATTCCCTAGTTGAGGCCTTTCTCTATGTCATAATTATGTTTCCCAATAGATTATCTGTCTTTTACTTTACAGAGAATAAAGTTCCTTGCTTGAGGTTTGACATATTCTTTGCTAAAGTTAGAAAATTTACAGAAAGTTTCTTATTCTGTTTCCTTTGGGCTGTTCCAGAATTCCCTTTTGCTTCCTCTCTGCATATCTTTGACCCTATTTCTGGAGATCCATGAAAAAATTTTCCCCACATACTCACCATAAATTAATAATTTACTCTTATGAGAAACAATTTAGATTTGTGTGACAATAGTAAGAGCTTTTTCAAAAGATAATTTATACATTTTTCAACAAATGGAACATATAATGTTTGGAAAATTTCTGTAAGAAATATCCAACTAAAAATTGTGTTGGCTTGTACTTTCATATTTCTTCCTTTTTTTTGAGATGAGAGTCTCACTATGTTGCCCAGGCTGATCTTGAACTCCTGGGCTCAAGCAGTCTTCTTGCTTCAGCCTCCTTAGTAGCTGGGATTACAGGCACACACCACTGTGCCTGGCTATATGGTTTCATATTTCTATTAAAGAATGCAGAAGTCTTTGCTTATGGGAAAGTTTCACATGAGGAAATGGAGCTATGTTAGGCTATCTTCACTTTCAAACATCTTTGCCCCATGAGAGTTTTAAAGAAACATGTGTTCCCCCTTTGAAAGTGTCATCAACTTCAGGCAAAACCTTTCTTTGACCTCCCCCACCTCTTGCCTACTTTCAAGAGGTATGGTGGTTTATATCTGCTAAACATTTATAGGACAAGTATCCAGATAATCAGAGAGCTGAAACCAATGTAGAAGCATCAGATGTGTAATATTGTTTGGATTGAGAATAACTTAGGCCTCAGTCAAATTATTTCATTGGTCTTTTAGGTTTCTTGGTACTCTGAAACCTGTGCATTATTGTCTGTTTCAAAGGAATAAAAATGATTTTCTTTTGTTAAGTGTCCAGCAGAGTTTTTCACTATTTTTCAAATTTCTACTCCCTAGAAACTCTTTCACCCTATCAGATCAGAAACACTCCCTTGCTCTGAATCCCTACTGAGTGATTTGTGTGTTCAGTTTGCTCTATCTAGTTTTCCTATAAACTTGCACTTCATTTTTTTTTTGTGGTGATCCCTGAATGTTCCATGAAGTTCTGTATCCCTAGCTAGATTACAAGTTCTTACAGTTAATAAAAAAATGCCAAGCTGACATCATATAAAAATATTTTTAAAAAATATTGTTCTCCAGAAAACCAAACACTGCACGTTCTCACTCATAATTGAGAGTTGAACAACGAGAACACGTGTACACAGGGAGCGGACATTCACACACCGGGGCCTGTTGGGGGGTGGAGGGCTAGGGGAAGGACAGCATTAGAATACATACCTAATGCATGCAGGACTTAAAACCTAGGTGACAGGTTGATGGGTGCACTGAACCACCATGGTACATGAATACCTATGTAACAAACCTGCGTGTTCTGCACATGTATCTCAGAACTTAAATATAAAAAAATTTTTTCCCTTGAATATAGAAAATGTATGTTTTTGTTTTAATTTTATAGTGTGTGTTCTTTAGTGAAGGAACTGATGAAAGATCCCCATGTCTGCTCATGGTCAGCCATGAGTGGAGAGATAACAGGTGGCTGTCTGTCGGGAGTCTTATAAAATAGAAGAGTGACATTTAGGATATTCTCTCTGATATCTTATTGGTATACACAGACCAGAAGAAGATAAAAACTAACTAAATAAAAAGAAGCCATTTCAAAGTAGAGTAGTGAAATCCTAGGTAATTAAGTGATCAATTAGCAGAAAGAGGCATATTGAGGAATTTTCTAAGAAAGTTAGCAAAGGGAAATCTAGAAACCACAAAAGAATACATATATAGATGTATTATAAATCATGGTGACCTCTTCTACAATAAGGGCAGTTTCCAACAGGTAACTCTGGGTAAGAATTTAAAAATTGGTGTTAAAGCCAAGTGGAGAAAAATAAGCACGTAAGCAAGAATAGCTTTAAAATCACTCTGTTTCAAAGCCTTTTAAGGATAACAAAAGAGGAGCAAACGGGAATAAATCCCCGAAGGAAGAAAGGTACAAATATGATTAAAATTACAAATGTTAGAAAAAGAGGATCACAAATTAATGATATAATTTTTCCCTAAGTGTTGCAGAAAAAGAGATTTAAATCATTGGGAGGAATTCTCACTTTCTGATGTAGAAATTGCTTTTCTCTTTTAAATACATAAGTTCTGCAGAAATATAAGTTCTTGGCTCAAGCTTGGGTTTGCTTTCCCTTGCTTGTATGTCTTCCTCATGGCCTTTCATTTGGTCTGTGAGGAAAAAAACTCATCTGACCCTCTGCTGGCATGTGCGAGGACTTGATATTTTAGCCTAGCCTGCTGGGTGAGACATCAAACACTAAAATAGCAGCTAGTCACTCAGATGATTGAATAAGACATGGAGAGGTATGGTGCAAGCAAATGGTCACCAGTCCCTCCCATACAGCAGGATTCAATAAATAGTTGATGAAAGAATTAAACAAATGAATACAATTATAAATGCTGGAAGGAATTGTCCCAGAGTTGATGGGCACACCAAAACAGGTAATAAAAATAGCTATCATTTATCAAGTCCTTTTCACATGCCCAGCACTGTTCTGGGAATTTTTATATTTTCTTTAATTTGTAAATTAACTTCAGTAGCTAAATATTTTTTTCTCAATTTACTGATAAAGAAACCAAAGCTCAAAGATGTTAAGTGTCTACCCCACAATCTTCCAGCCAGTAACCAGTAGAATCAAGACTAAAATTCGAGTCCTTCTAACTGTAGAGCCTGAGCTGTCAGGCAATAAGATGCTACCTCTTCTCCTTGAACAAGACAAGTGAGGGCAGAACTTCTCTCCTGCTGCCTATAGAATGAACAAGCTTCTGCTGTAGCATGGTAGAGAGTTTGTTTGTTTTTCTCTGTCAGTGCTCTACCTGTCCAGTGGACATCTTCGTCTGCATGCACCATAGGTGATAGCGATTAAAAAGCCTAAAACAGAGCTCACTATCCTGCCTGCAAATCTTTTATTTTTGCTGCTGCTTCTTTTTTTCACCTCTATTATAGTTAATGGCAGCATGATCTACCCAGGAACCTATAAATTATTTTGGTCCCACAGACTCCACAGCCAACTTAGTCACTAAGTCCTGAGCTTTCACCTCTACAATATCTCTGGAGTCTGAACCCTCTTTCTATTCCTGCTTCTGATGCCTTTGTCAGGCACTCATTTTCCTCTCTTGTACTACTTCAAGAACCTTTTGATTTGTTTAATTGTCTCCCATCATTGCCATCTCCAATGCGACTTCTGCAATGCAGCTGGAGTCATTGCCCCAGTTAAAAAACTGCTGCCCTAGGGGAGAAATAAATCTCTTTTGCTTTCATGACCTCATTCACCATCTGTATGCTGAGAAATCACAAATTTATATCTCTAGTCAGATCTCTCTTCAGAGCTTCCACACTAATGTTTCCAACTCCATAAACAATACCAGCATCCACCCAATACCTCTGACTTTTTCACTCTAATACACACCAGTTGCAAATTCTGGCAGTTCTACATTCTGAATATCTCCCATTTCTGTCCATTTTTCTCCATTCCAGGTGTCTCTACTTTGGTCCAGTATTGAACTTCTGCAACAGATTGAGCAACTGAGGCAGCCATAACAATACCCTCCTAACTAGTCACTTTGTACCCATGTTTTCTCACTTTTAATTCATTTTCTTTCCACATATATTACATTTTGTCAACTTTAACATGCATTTTTTGTTTTCCACTTTAACTTTTCTAAAATTGGAATATGTCTTACAATTTATTTTGCATCCTGGTTTAATTAACAGTGTTTGCTTTAAATTAATCACACATAAAATAATGGTACATTTTATAATCAATGGCATCTTAGATTTGATGAAATACAATAATAGAAAAAACAGTCTTTCTGTATATGCTAATGCCCTACAAAGAACCTTCCAGAATTTCCCATTGTTTTTAAGATAAACTTCAACATCTTAACATGCCTATTAGGCTTTGCATGTTTGGTTCCTTGCTTACCTCTGTAGAATCATTTTGTTCTACTCTTCTAGTTATCTATCCTTCAGCCACATTCATCCAACAAATATTTATTGGGTGACTACTGTGTGCTAGGCACTATGATGATGTGTCAATGAGCCCAAGCAATGGACATAGCTACTGCCCTCAGTGCTGACCGGGTAGTAGTGTAGCAGGACAAGCTGCAGACAAAACCCCTCAGACACCGAGTTAAAGAAGGAAGGGCTTTATTCGGCCTGGAGCTTCAGCAAGACTCATGTCTCCAACAACTGAGCTACCTGAGTGAGCAATTCCTGTCCCTTTTAAGGGCTCACAACTCTAAGGGGGTCTGCGTGAGAGGGTTGTGATCGATTGAGCAAGCAAGGGGTAAGTGACTGGGGACTGCATGCACCAGTAATTAGAACAGAACGGAACAGGGCAGGGATTTTCACAGTGCTTTTCTACACAATGTCTGTGATCTATAGATAACATAACCAATTAGGTCAGGGGACGATCTTTAGATCTTTAAATACCAGGCCCAGGGCGTGGCGCCAGGCTGTCTGCTGGTGGATTTCATTTCTGCTTTTAGTTTTTACTTCTTTCTTTGGAGGCAGAAATTGGGCATAAGACAATATGAGGGGTGGTCTCCTCCCTTAGTAGAAGCTCTCCTGGCCTAGCTTGAATTACATGTTATTTCTTGGTTCAGGACCCTTAAGTATGCTAATCTCTCTCTCAGTCTCCCCTCTTTGCCTAGCTGATCCTTACCTCCTCCTCATCCCTCAGGGTTTATTTTACCTTGCCCTTTCCCCAGCTACCCCATGCAATGCCTTCATGGCTCCAGCACCTCTTTTCATGAAACTCACAGCACTTGTTTTCTTGGAGTCTGTCTTCATCTCCCCACTGTCAGGTCCATGAAGGCCAGGACTGCACCTGTCCAACTCATGGCTCTTGCCCCAACCCTTACTCCAATGCTTGGGCCACATTTGGGTCTCTCTAAATACTTATGGAGTATTTAGAGAGCTATTTTGAGAGCTACTTAGAGAGCTAAGTAATGGAATTGGAAACATAAATTCAAAATTGAGGTTTTGAATTCTGAGGTACTCTGAGTTTTCTACCACTCAAATGTATTATTAAACCAAAACAAAACACAACTAAAAGCCATCAATATATGGAATTACATGTGACGTTTTTGGTTGACAACTGAGGAGAGACAAAAGCATATTACCAATTTCAAACTGAGATGCACAGAAGTTGACATGAAATATGATAAATATTTTCTTTCTTGAAATAAGAGCTGTACTACTCTAGAGTTATAATTTTCATTACAAATCAATATATTGACCAACATTTGTACAACAGTTTTCGTACTTCATGGATTAGATCATATTCTTCCTCTGCTGGTTTTAAAGGCTTCCTCCTCCTTGGTCTGCCCTTTGTATTGCAGATAGGCTGCCTTTGTGCGTCATAGATGAGCTTAGCGGGTTATGTTTGTGAATTAGTTGTAGATTCACTTCTAAGACGTGAGTTACCCTAGTACTCCATACATAGCCTGCTGTTTTGCAAACATGAGTCCAGTTATATTCTGAGAAGGCAACTCAAAAAGCTCATTCGTGTCATGTTTTAAAATATAACATGTTTTCATTAGAGTTCGGAGGAATCTTTGCTTTCTTTTCTTTGCTCTAGATATAAATTTTTCTTCAATTATATATAACCTGGTTCATTATGGAATTGTATGCATCTTGTAATTGCCTCTACATTTATATTAGCATAATTTTTCTCCATGATAGCGAAGAAGAATTTGAGAAATAATAAAAAAACCCCTCAAATCCTTACCTTTAAAATGTTTCACAATAAGTACAGAAAGAACAACATTAGGCTTTCTAGTTACTGAATTTTAGCTCTCCTATTTTTAGCAACATCTCCCCAAATCCTTGGATGAAAGGGCTATAACATTTGAAGTATTACTACCACAACCTATAGCAACAAACTATTTCAACATAGGTATAATCAAAAGGGGAATTCTTATAACCATATTCATATTCAAAGATCTTGTGATATAAGCCAACCCCTGTGGGGGTATTGTTTTCAAACATAACAGGTTGACATTACATAATTATACACTGCTGGATATTGAAATATCGAAGAAGGAAAAAGTGCTTATGGTAGTACTCACAGCATGCTATTATGAGTATTCACATTACCCACACATCTTTAGAGCATTATTTCTAGTTACATATTACAGAATTTCGCAAAGATTTAGTGACTTATTTAATATCAATATTAGGTTTTGACATTGATGTCTTAGCAAGCACATGGAGGTGTGAACCTAAGACTCACTTCCACTCGGTAAAGGGGCTCTGAAGTGAACCTCTTCTCCATTGTTCTGTGTTCAGTTTGTTAAACAGACATTTCATATATGTATGTGTATCTAAATATTCAAAGTCCCATTCAATTATTCTTATAATTTGCACTTCCAATCTACTTAATTTTTTCCTTTATTGTTCTTTCCACATTTGATGATGACATTTTTCTTTTCTAAGATAAATTTTTCTCTTTTGGTCCCAATTACCATCTACTTCCATTTCCTGCTTCTTAATGTTACTTTCCTCCCATTTAATATCTGGATTGTAAGCAGCTTTTACCTTTCTCCATTTCAGAGGTCACGTTTCTAATCTTTCCATTTTTTCCCCTTACATGAACTTTTTGATCTATGTGGTGCACCATGAAATATAGTTTCATGGACATTTAGGCCCCAAATGCCATCTTTCCTGGAACTTTATCTAGTCTTTTTCTCAAGACTAGATAAGAGTTGATAATCCAGTCTCAAGACTAGATAAGACTTGATAATCCAGTCTCAAGACTAGATAAGACTTGAGAATCTTAAGTTTTTTTTTTTTCTGAGACTGATTCTCACTCTGTCACCCAGGCTGGAGTGCAGTGGCGCAATCTTGGCTCACTGCAAGCTCCGCCTCCCGAATTCATGCCATTCTCCTGCCTCAGCCTCCCAAGTCTCTTCTTTTTATTCTGTTATGTAGGTACAATCTAGTGGCTGCCTTTGGATTTCTTTCCTATCCATACCTCCCTTCTAAAATAGGTTACATATAACTGTAGGATATATCATTTCATATTTAATATGCTTAGCAATTTTGTTCTTTTCTTCTAATGTGACTTACTTATGGAGAATAAAGGAGAGACAGAAATCTAGAGCAAGAGACTGCAGGGCAAATATAATCTATATGGGAGGAAGCATTAAGGTGGCATAGAAAAATACTATTTCAGAGTAAATACTGGTAAAGCAACAAACTGGCAGCATGGTAGCCCATATAATGGCATAAAGAATAAGGGAACTACTCTGTTACCATCAATCAAAATCAACCAGTTAGTCAATCAACCAACCACACAATAACAGAATAGACTGTGACAATTAAGTGAGCTCAGATTTCAGTGGGTACATGGCCAATAAAGGTGAACCAAGACTTTTCATGATAGTTATGAGAGGATCGGAGGTCTAGGACTTTACTAGGCTACCCCTGATCATTAACTCTGTCATCTCTCCTTCTTAGATCTCTCTTGCTCTTTCTTTCTATTGGCATAAGCTAAGGCCCTAGATGCTAGGATGCAAGATGAAAATCTTTGACTGTCACTTCCTCAACCCTCTACCCAAGGAGCAGAGTCATGATCACAAGAGATTTCCAATAAAACTTTATAGATAGGAATGTAAAGTTGCAAAAGAAATTCAATTAACTTGGTTGGGTTGCTTGTTTGCTTTAAATAAATTATACATGGGGACTCCTTTCTAAGAGTACCTTTACTGGGCTTTAAAAACTTCTGTGGGTGTCATCTTGAGGTATACAACTGAAATCATTATCTTTCAACAGAAATAAAATTGGAAAAATCTTCTTATCACCAGAAAACTAGAAATACATGAAAATAGGCATCAAATAAAAATAAAATGTAAATACTCCGGAGATGTAATATGACTCTGCTTTATTCTCTTAAAATCTGCTCTTCACACCCTTTATGGCCTCTTTGGGGTGTTGGTGTTCATGAATAAAAATATTACTTTAAAAACAAAACAAAACTTTCTTTGCTCTAATTAGGCAAATTGAAAGCCTTCTGTTACAATTTATATTATTAAAATTTTGACATTTTCTAATGGTATAAAGCAAGTTCTATTTTTAACAAAGTCTTATATTAGAAACATGTTTTGAGGAGATTTACAAGTTCTAGTGATGCCTGAGTTTTTGTACTTATTACCTGATACCAAACATTATGGTGTAATAAAATAATTTTGGTAGTCCCTGCTTTCAGTTTAAGTAGTAATTGGCTTCTATATTGGTATGCATCCAGAATAATGCTACTTGTGATGGAAATGTAAAAAGATAATTATTAAAGTCACACACATAATAGAAATGGTCATTTCCTGGCAACAGAATCTTGACTGTAAAGTCGTCAAGCATGATTGTCCCATATGAAACGACTCGAAAGGATTCTAAAATCTGGGGATTCATGAACACCACGAAAATGTTCAGAATGACTGAAGCATATTTTGGAACAACTATAAAGGACACAGAATGAGTTCTGATCTCGATCTTCAGTTATTTCTCATTATAAACTGGTGATAATACTCAGAGTGTGACAAAGGGTAATTTCTCTGCTATAAGCCTGAATTATTTTTTCTTTCATAGTTTACTGGATTTAAAAAATCTTGCAGCATCTTTTCTAGCATATCTTTTTCTTGCATAGGACCTTTATTAAAATATTTGAAGTATGTAAGTTTATGCCAAATAAAGTCTTTTTTTGGAAATTTTGCTTTTTCCAAAATATCATCTAATGAATAAATTAGAATTAATTTTCTATTAAATTTTCTAAAAGTAATGGCTATTTTTTGCTGCAATTCTGTCTTACTCTATTCAAAGCATTTTGGGCCTGTGTTCACTCTGTAAATATTTATTGAGAACCTATGAGAAACAGGTATTATGCTAAAGACTATAGATATAACAGCGAAATAGAAACCATCCCAGCCCCAAGGGAACTTATAGGCTAGTGGGGAATCAAACAGAAAAGTAATTACCATATGCTAACGAGCTCAGATTGAGATAAAATGAAAGTGCTGTGGGAACACACAGGAAGGGCATCTAGTCTAGTCGTCTTCATAGATCAAAAAGGGCTTCTCAGGAGAAGGGACAGTGAAATTTAACCATGAAGGGTGAATAGGAGTCAGCCAGATCAGGTAGAGGCGAAGAGTGCAAAGATTCTTCCAGGAAGATGAAACAGCATGTACACTCTTAAACTGTCCAGGTTTTCTCTTCTTCATGAAAGAAGTACTAAAACTGATACCCTGAAATGCATGAAGCTTTCTCATTGCTGACATCCACTTAGTAACAGCAACTTGGACACATTGATGGACTAATCATTTGTATACAATACAATAAAGCAAACCTATGTCTGTGAGCTTACTTATATCTACCGAACAGGCCTACTCATTATTAAACTGTAGAAAATAAAAGAAAAATTGTAAGGAACATGATTGATAAGTTAGGATGGTGTTGGCTGCAAGTAACAATAACAACACAATCTAAATTGATGAAACAATTATGAAAGTCACTTCACATAATTGCCAGGAGTAAGGCAGTCTTCTTGTCATACAACAGCTGGGGCTAAGTCTTTAAAGCCCCAGGTTCTTTCTGCCTCTATGCTCTGCCGTATTCAGCATCAGCTTCATCCTATGCCTGCTTCCCCTTGCAGTTATCATTAGGGCCATTGGGACTATATGATTTCTTTTTATTTCTCATATTTTTCTTTCTTTTTGGAAAAATTGTATTTTCTTTTTAATTGACAAATAATAATTACATACATTTATGATGTATAAGGTGATGTTTTGATATATGCTTACATTCTAGAATGATTAAATTAAGCTAATAACATATCCATCACCTCACATATTTATCAAACTTTTCTGGTGAGGACATTTCAAATCTAATGCTTAGGCAATGTTGAGGTATATAGTCATTATTATTAAGTATGTCACCATTCCATGCAATAGATTACTAAGGCTTATTCCTCCTGTATAGCTAAAACTTTGTACCCTTTGATTAATATCTTCCCTTTCCCTATCCACCCACATCCCCCGGCCACTGATGCCTATCATTCATTCTATTCTCAACTTCTACGAGTTTGATTTTTTTATTTTCCATGTCTTAGTGAGATCATATTCACATCCAACAGGAGAGAGTGAGATCCCATACCTCAAGTATGAAATTAGATTGTTCCTTTCAGTCAGATTGGCATGACTTAGGTCATTTCCTACACTGGCCCAAAAGCAGTTTGAAGACTTACACAACGTTTTGTTTGCTCAATGGAGAGATAACACTTAGAGAGGGCAAGAGGTCGGAATATCCTCCCCTGAATTGTGGGGAAAAGGCATAGATACCTAAGGAAATCATCACTCTGTTGGGAAGGAGAAAGGAAAAATGGTTTTGGGAGGGGTAAGTAACAGTGTGAAGCCAAGTTGTTTGCCGTTTCTTCATATTCGTTAAATTCAAATGGAAAGCAATCTCCTGACTCAGAAAATAAAAAAAAAACCAAAAAACCCTTCCATATCATTGGGGATAAAAGGGCATAATTCTAATGGGTTCTAATTCTTTGAACTATGTGTGAATTAGTAAATAGAGATGAAGTAAATGTTGAGTTGTGGAGACCGCTGTCTTATTTTTCCTTCCCTTTACTTCCTGAATTATACTTATGAATTTCTACATTGGTTTCTGTGGTCCACATTTACCATAGAGTAGAAAGAAATTACAGGCATTTATTTAGCTGTAAAAGTATTTTTAGATGTTTTGTGGGCTGTGTATCAATTATCATGTAACATAGATTTAGGAAGGAATGTGCAAAATATATTTAGCAACTTTTGATAATATTTTAAGAGCATTTGATTCTGACACGTGCTATATAATTTATAGAGATGCAGGTTACATCATTAAAAGGTTACATATTGGGGCAATGACAAAAAACATTCTTAATAAAAATACCTTATTCTTGAAACATGGACTGAGAAATATTCCCTCAAAGGAAAAAATAGGTGATGATTGCTCAGGTTTTTCTTTTTAATTTATTTCTCTGTATTTTCTTCTTGTACTTCATATGCAAGTACAGTTTTGTGGCTTCTCATCATGACAAATAGATGATTGAACCAGAAGAAGTGAATGTCAATTGGATGATTGACCCTTATTTTTTATTCAGCACTATTCTTTCCCTCTGGCTACACAGGGTGGAGTGATGTGCTTGCCAGAGGCTGGACAAAGATAAACATATTCCCCTAAGGAAGTGGCAGAGTGCAACTGCATAAGCAAATGCAAAAGGTTTTTTTTCTAAGTTTCTTCAGGGCAACCTTTGATGGCCAGAACAGGAAATAAAATTAGTAGCTTAAATACTAGAAAATAATAATTTCTACCAAATATTTGCATAGTGACATATTTTTCTAAGTGTTTTTGTATACATTATTTCATATAATGGAGTAACCCTGTGATGAGGAAGGGCTGGTAATATTATAAGCATTTCACAGATTAGGAAATTAAAATGTATAGAGGTTATATGAATCTCAAGTAGAACAACCAGGCTTAGGAACTCAAACTTTTGGTTTGTTTCCGTGTGTGTGTGTGTGTGTGTGTGTGTTTGTTTTCTAGTAAAATATTTCACTTCATCTTTTTTAAAAAAGAGAACAATAAATACGAAAACAAAAAAAAAAAAAAAAGAAAAAGAGAGTTGAACAATAACAACGAAAACCCTGACATGTTAAACACACACAGTGATCAATTTCTAAAGAATAGATGTTTGCCGGATTAGGTGCTCTCCCAAGGTAGTAATTGTAAATTTGTAGAAATTGAATGACTTGGCTGGGCACAGTGGCTCACACCTGTAATCTCAGCACTTAGGGAGGCCGAGGTGGGTGGATCACTTGAGGTCAGGAGTTCGAGACCAGCCTGGCCAACATGGTGAAACCCTATCTCTACTAAAAATATAAAAATAACCCGGGCATGGTGGCACATGCCTATAATCCCGGTTACTCAGGAGGCTGAGGCAGGAGAATCGCTTGAACCTGGGAGGCAGAGCTTGCGGTGAGCCGAGATTGTGCCACTGCATACCAGCCTGGGCGACAGAGTGAGACTCCGTCTCAAAAAAAAAAAAAAAAAAAAATAAATAAATAAATTGAATGATTTGAAATATTTTTTAAAATATAGTATTTGCTTTTTTGCACTTTATTTCCTATCAGGCAGAAGTCTTACATACCCAGTGACAGTCTGTGTAATCTCCATCAAATGCATTTCTTATGCTTATTATTTCATACTCTTACCTAAGTCATTCCTCACATGGCAGTGTTTAGGGCTCATGTTACTTGCAAAGACTCTACTCAACGCCTCAGGCACCAGTGATGTGCCCTCTCACATTATTTAGAGGGAATCTGTTTTGGAAAGTAAGTTAAAGGGAAGGGGCTATCGCTGGGAGTCTTTGAAATCACATATGTCACATGGTGGTTACCCATTTCTGGAAGTTCCCTAGATACAATAAAAAATTTGATGATTGACACATAGTTGGCCCTCAATAAACAGCTCTAGATAGCTACTGAGGGTGCTGCTGGAGTGACTGTGTTATATGATTTTGTGCTTTCTGAATACAAAATAGATCTCTGAGTAAGGGATGCTTTTTGACAGCTGCTGATAACATCTGAGAGACAATTTAATTTGTCTTCAACTAAAGTAGCAGAAAATAAAAAAAGCAAACAGGCTACATTACTATCCCTGCTTATTTGATGAATATCAATAAATATGGATGAAACACCTGAAGGAGCACATGAATGCCTAGTTAGCAAATTTGCCAAATATTCAGACAATGGGTATACTACATGATTATGTTTGTGGAAAATAAAAAAGAAAGACACATAAATAGGCTAGTGAGAATGAAGATTCAGTGACAGCATCACACAATATTCATAAAGTATCTTTCATCTGAGTAGTTGAAAGCATTTTAAAAGTGTCCTTATGACACCCTTCTGGTGCTAGTAGGTGGTAAAGAAATATCAACTCCATTTAAATTAAAAAGGATGCTGAAATGGGAGTTGAAAAGTTAAGTGAACTGCTCATTGTCTTGGTTTCACATATGAGGCTGTGTCTATCTGTGGCAAATGTATTGTGTCATTTGCCCCAAACAATCTTTTTCCAGCTCTGTATAAATTATCTACCTGGCAAAAAGAAGACTGAAGCTGGGAGCAAAAATACACTTCTGTGGGTGTAATTGTATTCGTGGCCAAATAGAATTTGGACTTCTTCCATTAGCAGGAATGCCTGGTGGTAGTACTAACTTTAAAATCCTGAGTTGTCAACAAACAGAAGGAGCCCAGTTGAGCAAGATCAGAGAAGAAAAAATGGAGAGATGGGATAAATATGCAGGCACTTTCAAGGATTTAACCTAAGACTCTCCAAAGAGAGATGGATTTGTGGGAAGAGCCTTTCCTTGTGGCTGGGCTCATTTCTTTCCCTTTTCTTCCTCAACTATTATTCTTGCCCCCTTTTGCCCCTTGGCTTCTCCAGAAGTACCAGAAGTGAGTACTGGGAACAGCCAGAATCCAGAGTAAGTTTCTTCCCAGCCAAAGCTAGCAGTACTGACGGTGTTCCTTCTTCCTGTGGAGGACATTGAGCATTTCTCTGAAACACCTTGCAGCCTCATACTTCTCTTCATCTCGTATCTTGCTCACAACTGCCCCACCCTCGCTAATCCTTGACCTTGCACAAGTAATAAGCCAGGCATATTCCTGCCTCAGGGTCTTTCTACTTGCTGTTTCCTCTACTGGAAGTGTTCTTTTTACTGAAAGAATATTTTCATAGTATGTCTTCCCTTGCCTCTCAATATAGATTTAGAGTGACCAAAGATCCTATTTTGCCTGGGACTGAGGATTTCTAGGACGTGAGACTTTTCTGGGCAAATGAGGAGCCCTGGTCACCCTGTCTAAACAACAGCTCCTTCTACCTGGCTTGCCCCCCTTTACTTTTCCTCTCAGCATTGATCACGATCTAATATACTTTACATTTTACCTACCTATCTTTTTCAGTATCTGTCCCTGTGCCACCTCCTGCAATGTTATCTCCATGAGGGTGGGCGATTCTAAAAATTGTTTAAATTTGTTTTATTCGCTCTTGTGTCCCCAGTGTCCAGCATGGCTCAGGGCAGGAAATCAATAACAGATTTTTAAAACATAAATAAATAAATAAATAAGAACTTTAGAAAACATTAATTATATATGAAGAAACCATGTTGTGGGGTAGTATTTCCTGAAGTAGGTTATTGAATCCATAAAGTCTTAGTCAAGTGTAATTTGACTCTAAATATAAATGCATTATTTCCTAATGATGATGAGTTTCTCAGGAAATTTAAACAATGTTTTTGTTGGTATTTTAAAATCTAAGAGTTATTTATTTTAAAAATAAATGTTTGTAAAAATAAACTACTAGAATAGAATGTAGTATTATACTTTGATATCAAGTTGGTGGATAACTTGCGTGGGTTTGGGTCAACTGATTTTAATCTACTGGCATATACTTGTAAATGTAAATTTAATAGTTTTAATCCATGTAAATCTCTTATTTGCCCCCAAGAAAATGTAGGCATATGTTTAATCAACAAACATAACACATTTTCTATTAATATTCAGTTATTATTGACTGAATGAATAGCTGGATGACTTCAGAAGGCAAATATACAGAAAACCAAATCAATTATAATATCTTTGCTGGACAAGAAATCAGAAGTCAGGGGCTTCCAGATACTTAGGGTGACATTCTTGGGTGTCTGACTTTTATTAATCTTGGACCTAACCTGGGGAGCCTGACAGAGTTGTGTACTGTAATAGTAGACAGAGTTGTCTACTATTTGCAAGCATTTTAGTTGTCTCTCACATGTCCAAGTTGGTGGGGTGCTGTGGGTAGAACACTAGATTTCGGGGCAGAAGACCTGGGTCCTCATCTCTTCTCACAATTTAAGTCTCCATGTGGCCTTGGAAGATCACTTAACTTCTTAGAACCTGCACTTCTTAACCTGTGAAATGAGAATGTTAAAGGTTCACTCATATTACTACATTGCTGTAAACTCCAAATAGGAGTGCAGATGCTTTGAACAGCGTTAGGTTATATATTGGGTTCCTCTGGATAAACAGACCAATAGGATATACATATACATATATATGTATACAGATATATATATACACACACACACACATATATATGTATACAGATATAAACATATATGTATACAAATACACACACACATATAAACACACATATGTTAATACATATAGGAATTGGCTCACATGGTTATGGAGGTTGAAAAATCCCATCATATCGTTATCTGCCATCTGTAAGCTGAAGACCCAGGGAAGCTGGTGGTATAACTCAGAGTCTGAGTCTGAAGGCCTGAGAATCAGGGGAGCCCATGATGTAAAGCCCAGCTGCAAGGCGGAAGAAGAGATGAGATGTACCAGCTCAAACAGTGAGACAGATAAAATGAATAAATGCCTACTTCCTCTTCCTTATGTTCTACTGAGGTCCTCAACATATTACACAATGTCCACCTACATTGGGAAGGGCAAGATGCCTTATTCAGGCTATTGACTCAAATGCTAATCTCAACACATTTTGAACAGATTTCATAGAAAAGAATGCTAGGATAAGCCAGAGAAGAGAAGAGATCGGAAGCACCCAAAGTAAGTAAGTAGAGGGTTTGAGGCAGCTTGCTCAGCTGGGAACTGACTGAGAGCTGGGAGAGGCTCCTGCACATGAGGAAACAGTAAGAGAGAAAACCCTAGGGCTCCAAAATGGGGTTTTGTCATCTTGCCCAAGGGAGAAATCCTCGACCTACTAGGGAATGGGTCTGACATACAGAGCTGCCTAAAGATTGCACAGAGATGTTGCTCCAGAAAAGGCATCCACACAGAATCTTGTAGGTATCTGACCCTGGAGCATCTCAGCTGGGAGTCATTTTGATCCTAGAGACCGGGGGATCTACAGACGTGGCTGCTGCTGCTGCTGAGCTTCTCCAAAGAGGGAGAAGGGAGAACAAACATTCCCATTCACCCCTGGAAGGGTCCCTGCTGCCCTGCTGAAGGCTGCTGTTGAGACTGGGACATGAGTAGACCGTACTCCCCACAGCTTCTTGCCCACACTGTCTGCTTGGGAGGAACCCTGCCCTCCCTGGTCACAGGCCCAAGATGCCATTTTAAGAGTTTAATGCTGGGCTACATCCCACCCTCTGGCCAAGTTTGACTTGACATGGCTGCAGCCACCACCTGGTTGAGGTGAAACAAGGAAGCCAGGCTGTCCCTATGGGCTTCTGTAAGATTGAGACTCAAGAGAATCACACTCCCCACAGCTTCTTGCTCATGCTATTTGCCTGAGATGGGCCCTGCCCTCTCAGGTCACAAGCTGGCAGCTGGCACCATTTTGAGAGTTTAATGCTGGGCTGTGCCCCACACTTGGACTGAATTTGAGGCAATTAAGCTGTAGCTACCACCCAGCTCAGGGAGGGACAGAGAAGACAAAGCTCTCTTAAGCACTCTTAGGACAGTACACACTGCCATGCTACAGGTGTCTGTGGGACTGGGGACTAACTTGCCCAACACATTGTAGCTTCCAGCAACACCAACATGGACTTTTTGGGTCCCAGTGGGTTTCTCCACTGCCATCACCTACATGAAATACCAGTTGCCCAGAAGCCTGAGAACTCACACCACATACTGGGCCCACCACTCCCAGTACTGGGTTCTAAGAAAGCCACCTGGAAGCCTAAAATTCAGCCCTCCAGGACCCACTGACACCAGAGCCAGTGGAGGCTGACCTGAGGCCTAAAAACAGGCACAGTCAACCCACTGCTGCCACCACCAGGGCCTGAAGGCTGGTTCAGTTGGCATCCAAATCTTCAGCTAAACTTCATCACAACTTCAACTAATAACTGTACCCTAAGTCACCAAGGAAATCACACAGACCTTTGACTCTGTGTACTACTGAAGAAGTCATACAAAGATCACAGTACTTCAGGCACCCAAAATCAAAGCCAACGTATCTTAATCAACAACATACATACATCCTGAGGAAAAATTTCTCTCCTACAAAAGCAATTTTAAGAAAACAAAGATTTTGAGAGTTTAATGCTAGGCTGTGCCCCACCCAAAGACTGGAACAAAGATTGGGCATGGTGGCTCACACCTGTAATCCTAACACTTTGGGAGGCTGAGGTGGGTGGATCACTTGAGATCAGGAGTTTGATACCAGCCTTGCCTACATGGTGAAACCCTGTCTTTACTAAAAATACAAAAATTAGCTGGGTGTGGTGGCATGTGCCAGTAATCCCAGCTTCTTGGGAACCTGAGGCAGGAGAATTGCTTGAACCCAGGAGACAGAGGTTGAAATCATCAGAAGGACACAGGAAACATAAAAAGGCAGGCAAATATACCATCAAAAGAACAGAACAATTGTCATCAATAGATACCAATAAAAAAAATTCCTTGAAATGCCGGATAAATAATTCAAAATATTGATTTTAAATAAGTTCAATGAGATGCAAGAGAAATCTGAAAACCAATGCAAAGAAATCAGAAAATCAATCTAGGACATGAATGAGAAATTTACCAAGGAGATGAAGATCTTAAAAAAAAAGAAAAAACCCAAACAAGTGGAAACTCTGAAACTAAAAAATTCACTCAAGGAAATAAAAAAATACATTCTAAAGCTACAATAATGGACTAGACCAAGCAGAGGAAAGAATCTCAGACCTTGAAGACAGGACTTTTGAAATAATCCAGTCAGACAAAAATAATATAAAAAGGATTAGAAGAATGAACAAAGCCTTTGAGACATCTGAGACTATATAAAGCACCCAAACTTATGAATTAGTGGTGTTCTCAAGGGAAAGAGTGATTAGAAAACATATTTAAAGAAACAATCGATGAAAACTTCCCAAGTCTATCAAGAGAGACATTCAGATTCAGGAGGCCCAGTGATCCCCAAGGAAAGACATTGAAAAAAGACCCCACCACAACATATATTCAGAATGTCTAAAGTCAAAGTGAAAGAAAGAATTCTAAAATCAGTAGGAGAAAAGTGCCTAGTTACCTATAAGGGAAACCCCACCAGACTAACTGTGGACTTTTCAGCAGAAATCTTAGAGGCCAGAAGAAAATGGCATTTTTCAAGTGCTGAGAAAAACAATGTATCAACCAAGAATTTTGTATCCTGCCAGAAGAAATTTCATAAATAAAGGAGAAACAAAGTCTTTCTGAGATGAGCAAATGCTGAGGGAAATTGTCACTGCTAGACTGGGACTATAAGAAATACTCTAAATGATCTTAAACATGAAAACAAAAGTTTAGTATTCACCACCATGAAAACACATGGACATATAAAACTCACAGTTTGTATAAACCCATCACACAAAGGAGAAAGAGAAAGGAATCAAACAGCAACATGACAAAATTTCATCAAAACACAAAGGCAAAAAGAGAAAAAGAAAGAAAGAATTTATAAAACAACTTGAAAACAGTCAACAGTAAGGCAGGAAAAAAGTTTCACATATTAATATTACCCTTGAATATAAGTGGATTAAATACTGCACTTAAGAGACAGATTGGCAGAATGGATCAAGAAACATCATTTAACTATATGATGCCTACAAGAAATTCACCTTACCCATAAATACATATATACTGAAAGTAAAGAGGTGGAAAAAGAGATTCCACACAAATAGAAACCAAAAGCAAGCAAGAATAGCTATATCTATATCAAATAAAACAGATTTAAAATAAAGTATAAAAAGACAAAGAAGTTCATTATATAATAATAAATATATATGTACTCAACATCAGAGGACCCAAATTTACCAAACAAATATTACTAGATCTAAAGAAAGAGATAGATAGCAATACAACAACAGTAGGGGACTTTAACGCACCTCGCTCACAACACTAGACAGATCACTGAGACGGAAAATTAACAAAGGAACATTGGTTTTAAATTGGACTTTAGAATAAAATTTTTAAAAAAATCCAATTTGCCTCATGAGATAGAACAAATAAACTTGACAGACATTTACAGAACATTCTGCCCAACTATAGAATATACATTATTTTCAGCAGCACATGGAACATTCTCCAAGATAGAGCATATATTAGGCCACAATACAAGTCTCAACAGACATAAAAAAATCTAAATTATATCAAGTAACTTCTCATACCACAGTGGAATAAAGCTAGAAATAAATACTAAGAGGAACTTCTGAAACTATACAAATATAAGGAAATTAAATAACATGCCCCAGAATAATTGCTAGGTCAATGAAGACATTAAGATGGAAATTGAAAAATTTTTTGAAGTGAATAAAAATGAAAACATAATACTCCACAAAAGCTGTGGAATACAGCAAAAGCTGTAAGAGGGAAATTTATAGCATTAAATGCCTACATCAAAAAAGTAAAATGATCATGAATTAACTAACATTGCACCTTAAGGAACAGGGAAAAGAGAACAAACTAAACCCAAATTTATCAGAAGAAAAGAAATAAGGATCAGAGTAGAAGTAAATGAAATATAGACTCCCCCCACAAATCACAAAGCATCAATAAAATGAAAAGTTGGTTCTTCAAAAACCTAAGCAAAATTGATATGCCACTACTAGCTAGACTAACCAAGAAGAGAGAAGATCTAAATAAACATAATCAGAGATGAAAACGGAGACATTATAACTGATAACACAGAAATACAAAAGATCATCAGAGACTGTTTTGAACAACTATTCTTTCACAAACTAGAAAACTTAGAGGAAGTGACTAAATTTCTGGGAACACACAATTTCCTGAGATTGAACTAGGAAGAAATAGGACTCCAGAATGGGCCAATAATGAGTAATAATTTTAAATCAGTAACAAAAAAAACTTCCAAGAAAAAAAAGCCCATGACCAGATGGATTCATAGCTGAATTGTGGATACAAAGAAGAAACATATAAAGAACTAATACCAATCTTCCTGAAACTATTCCAAACATCAAAGAGGTGAGAATTCTTAACTCATTCCATGAGGCCCATATCATTATGATACCGAAACCAGACAAAGACACAACAACAAAAGAGCACTACAGACCAATAACCTGATGAACACAGATGCAAAAATCCTCAACAAAATACTAGCAAATCAAATCCAACAACACAGCAAAAAGATAATAAACCATGATCAGTTGGGATTTATCCCAGGGATGTAAGGATGGTTCAATATATGCAAGTCAATAAACGTGATATATTACTATTACATAAACAGAATTAAGTACAAAAACCCTATGATCATCTCGTTAGATGTAGAAAGAACCTTCAGTGAAATTCAGCAACTTTCATGATAAAACTCCTCAATAAACTAGGCATAGAAGCAACCTACTTCAACATAATAAAGGCCATCTATGAAAATCCCACAGCCAACATCATACTTAATGGGGAAAAGTTGAAAGCATTCCATCTAAGAACTGGAACATGACAAGAATGCCCAGTTTTACCACTCTTATAGTACTGAAAGTCCTTACCAGAGCAATCAGGCAAAAGAAATAAAAATAAAAGGCATCCAAATTGGAAAAGAAGTCAAATTATCCCTATTTGCTGATAATATGATCTTATATCTAGAAAACCCTGAAGACTTCACTAACAACCCTTAGATTTTAAAAATGAATTTAGTAAAGTTCCAGAAAACAAAATTTTCATACAGAAATCAGTAATGTTTCTGTTCACGAATAACAATCTAGCTGAGAACCAAGTCAAGAAGCAATCTCATTTACAATAGCCACACACAAAAAATAAACCGTATTTAACCAAGGAGGTGAAAGATCTCTAAAAGAAGAATTACAGGGAAAGGCCTACTGGCCTGGGCTGCTAGCGAGGCCATTGCAGCTCTGCCTTCATTCTTGGGCACTGCAGCTCTGCAGTTCCCCGGGGTGGAGCTCCCAGAGGGAGAGGCAGGCTGTCATTTCTGCTGCTCTGCAGCCATCACTCCAATTGCTCTCAGGCTCAGGAGGATGCGCAGTGACTAGGAACTATCTCGGACTCCAAGCACGGTGCAGCTGCCTTTCAGAAAAGTGGCCAGACTGTTTTTCACGTGGGTCATCACTTCTACTACTGCTCTCTGGATAAGGGGACCTGATAGAGGAAGGACTCCACCCACCCCCTGCCTGAGCTCTTGAGCTCTGCACTTCCCTGGGATGGAGCTCCCAGAAGAAGCAGGGAGGCTGCTATTTTTGCTGCCCACAGCTGTTGCTCCTCTATGCTTGGAAGGTAGCATCGCAGTTGCGGACAAATGCGAACCCCCATCACAGTGAAGGTGCTTTATGAAAAAGTGGCCAGACTGTTTTCCATATGGGTCCCCACCTCTGCTACTCTTCACTAGGCAGTCCCTCTCCACCTGGGACCTCAACACAATCACCCTACTCCCTGCTGAACACTTCAGTCAATGACCGCTCTGCATTTCTCTGAGGAGGAAATCACAGAGGCATCCCACAACCCCTTTGCAATTGTAGCTGTAGTACTTTTATTACTGCTCTGGGGCTGGCGAAGGAACAGAGAGCCTTGTCACTATGCTGGAACCTCCAGCACACCACATCCATTACATGGAGAGGAGCCCAGTGTCTCTTCCCTGTAAGCCTCCATCCCTGACTCTTCACCAAGCAGGACCCCCAGCTTAGGACTGCAGAGTAGCCACCCCAACCCTGGCTGACCATTCCCACTGTTAGTGGTTCTGTGTTTCCCTGGGGAGGGGCTCTGCGAGGCAACCAAAAACTCCTCTTCCACTGCCATGGCAGTGGTTCTGCCCCTGTTGCCTAAGGATTGGAGAAGAAACAAAGAGACTGAGGCCTTTACTCTCATTGCCAGCACAGCACAGTTGCCATACATAGAGGAGCCCTGTCTCTCCTCCCTGTGAGTCCTTACCTACCCACTCTTCACCAAGAGGGACCCACAGCTTGAGCCAGCAGGGCAGCAAACCCATTATCTGGCTGAACATCCTCAGTAGCAGCAGCTCTGTGTTTCTCTGAGGTGGAGCTCCCAGAAGCAACTGAAAGCCCCTCTGCCATTGCCACTGCAGTGGTACTACCCTTGGACTGGGAAAGGAGCAAAGACCCTAGTACTTTAGCCACACTTTCGGCAAGCCATGACCACCCAAAGGATAAGAGGTCAGTTTGTCTCCCTGATAAGCCCCTTGCCATCCTTGCTCATTACCAGGCAGGGCCACCTGACTGGGGCCTGCAATACAGCTGCCCCACCCTGGGCCAAATGCACTGACTGGCTGGAGCTCTGCATTTCTCTGGGGTGAATCTCAAAAGACAAGTGAAAGGCCCTCAGCCACAGTGACTGTCAAGGTCACATTCCTTGCTGCTCCAAGATGGGGAGGGAACATAAAGCCTGAGTTTGCACCATGGCTGTGGTGTGCAGCCCGGGAGTGCCAACCTGAGACCCACAGCCAGCACTCCAGTGGGAGAGGAGCCCACACTTTCAGAGCACTAAGAGGGAACATGGTTGCAATTGAGAAGAAATACAGAGGAGTCACGTGGCTGAGCAAGAGTCTACCTACTGGCCATTATGCTTAAACACCATCTGCTGGATCATGGCCCAAACATCAACACCAAAAATACTTTGCTAATATACATCCCCTGTGACACCAAGGACAAGAACTCAGCTACAAATAAAGATCTTGCACAAAGCCTCAGCCCTCTGAAAACATCCAGAAAAGAAGTCAGCTGACTGTACTCAAATTATACTACAGTGAAGGAACATCAGCTTACACAGATGAGAAAGAACCAGCACAAGAACTCTGGCAACTCAAAAAGACAGAGTGTTTTCTTTCCTCCAAATGACTGTACTAGTTCCTCAGCAAGGGTTCTTAACCAGGCTGAAATGGCAGAAATGACAGAAATAGAATTCAGAATATGGATAGGAATGAAGATTATTGAGATTCACGAGAAAGTTGAAACCCAATTCAAGGAATCCAAGGATTACAATAAAATAAATCAGGAGCTGATAGATGAATTGGCCATTATAAGAAAGGACCAAATTGATCTGACAGAGTTGACAAGGATACTACAAGAATTTTATAATGCAGTTGCAACTATTAACAGCAGAATAGACCAAGGTAAGGAAAGAATTTTGGAGCTTGGAGACTGGTTCTCTGAACTAACTCAGCCAGAGAAAAATAAAGAGAAAAGAATAAAAAAGAATGAACAAAACTTCTGAGAATTATGCAATTTTGAAAGGAGACCAAATCAACAAATCATTGGTATCCCTGGAAGAGATGGGTAGAGAGAAAGCCACTTGGAAAACATATTTCAGGATATCATCATGAAGACTTTCCCAGCCTCACTAGAGAGGCCAACATTCAAATTCAGGAAATGCTGAGAACCCCTGCAAGATACTACACAAAATGCCATCCCCAAGACACATAATTATCAGATTCCCCAAAGTCAAATGAAAGAAAAAATTGTTAAAGGCAGCTAGATAGAAGGAACAGGTCACCTACAAAGGGAACCCCATCAGGCTAACAGCAGATCTTTCAGCAGAAACCCAACAAGCCAGAAGATAATGGGGGCCTATATTCAGCATTCCTAACAAAAGGAATATTCAACCAAGAATTTCATGTGCAGTCAAACTAAGATTCATAAGTGAAGGAAATATAAGGTCCTTTTCAGACAAACAAATGCTGAGGGAATTCATTACATCATCATACCTCGCTTACAAGAAGTCCTGAAAGGAGTGGTAAATATGGAAAGGAAAGACTGTTACCAGCCCCTAAAAAAACAAAAACAAAAACAAAAACAAAAAACAAAAAAGAAAACACCTTAAGTAAACAGACCATTGACACTGTAAAGCAACCACATAAACAAGTCTCCATGATAACTAGCTAACAACCCAATGACAGGATCAAATCCACACATATCAATATTTACTTTGAATGCAATCGGGCTAAATGCTCCCATTAAAAGGCACAGAGTGGCAAGCTGGATAAAAAGCAAGAACCAATGGTATGCTGTCTCTACAAGACCCATCTCACATACAATGACCTTTATAGGCTCAAAGTAAAGGGATGGAGAAAAAAACTAGAAAGCAAAGGGGAAACAGAAAAAAGCAGGGGTTGCTATTCTAATTTCAAATAAAACAGACTTTAAATCAACAAAGATTAAAAAAAGACAAGAAGGGCATTCCATAATGGTAAAAGGTGTAATTCAACAAAAAAACGAACTATCCTAAATATATATGCACCCTACTTAGGAACACCCAGATTTATAAAGCAAATTCTTAGGACCTATGAAGAGACTTAAATTTCCACATAATAGTGGGAGACTTAAACATGCCACTGACAGTATTAGACAGATCATCGAGGCAGAAAATTGAGGCAGAAGATATTCAAGACCTGAACTCAACACTTGTACTAATAGATATCTACATTACTTTCCATCCCCCAAACAACAGAATATACATTCTTCTCATCACCATATGGCACATATTCTAAAATCAACCACAAAATTGGACACAAAACAATCCTCAGCAAATTAAAAAAACAAAAAAACTGAAATCATATCAACCAAACTCCCTGACCACAGGGCAATACAAATAGCAATCAATATTAATTAAATCACTCAAAACTATACAATTACATGAAAATTAAACAACCTGCTCTTACATGAGTAAACAATGAGTTTACTTTGTTATCAATGAAATTAGGCAGAAATCAAGAAATTCTTCAAAACTAATGAGAACGAAGATACAACATACAAGAACTCTGGGATACAGCTAAAGCAGTGTTTAGAGGGAAGTTTATAGTGCCAAATGCCCACATCAAAAAGTCAGATAGATCTCAAATTAATAACCTAACATTACACGTAGAAGAACTAAAGAAACAAGGGCAAACCAACCTCAAGGCTAGCAGAAGACAAGAAATAATCACAATCAAAGCTGAACTGAAGGGAACTGAGAAATCAAAAGCCATGCAAAAGATCATCAAATCCAGGAGTAGATTCTTTGAAAGAATAAATAAAATAGACCACCAGCTAGACTAATTTTGAGAAAAGAAGATCCAAATAAACACAATCAGAAATGACAAAAAGGACATTACCAGAGATCCCACAGAAATACAAAAAAACCTCAGAGACTACTATGAATACCTCTATGTGCACAAGCTAGAAAATCTAGAAAAAATGAATTAATTTCTGGAAACATATGACTTCTCAATATTGAGTAGAAAAAAAATCAAATCCTTGAACAGACTAATAATGAGCTCTGAAATTGAATCAGTAATAAATAGCCTACCAATCAAAAAAAGCCAAGGACCAGATAGATTCACAGCTGAATTCTGCCAGATGTACAAAGAAGAGCGGTACAATTCTTGTTGAAACTATTCCAAAAAATTAAGAAGGAGAGACTGCTCCCTAACTCACTCTATGAGGCCAGGATCATTCTGATACCAAAATCTGGCAGAGACACAACAAAGAAAGAACACTTCAAACCAATATCCTTAATGAACATAGATGTAAAAATATCCTTGATGAACATAGATGCAAAAATTATCAGCAAAATACTAGCAAACCAAATCCAGCAGCACATCAAAAAGTTAATTCACTACAATCTAGTAGGCTTGGTCCTTGGGATGCAAGGTTGGTTCAACATATGCAAATCAAAAAATGTGATTCTCCACATAAACAGAACTGAAATCAGAAACCACATGATCATCTCAATAAATGCAAAAAATACTTTGATAAAATTCAACACCCCTTCATGTTAAAAACCCTTAACAAAATAAGCACTGAACGAACAGACCTCAAAATAATGAGTTGTCTATGAGAAACCCATAGCCAACATCATACTGAATGGGCAAAAGCTGGAAGCATTCCCCTTGAAAACCAGACTAAGACAATGATGCCCACTCTTACCAGTTTGATTAAACATAGTATTAGCAGTCCTAGCCAGAGCAATCAGGCAAGTGAAAGAAAGAAAAGTCATTCAAATAGGAAGCGAAGATGTCAAATTATTTCCATTTGCAGACAATATGGTTCCATACCTAGAAAATCCTGTAGTCTCTGCCCAAAAGCTCCTAGATCTGATAAACAACTTCAACAAAGTTAAACAATACAAAATCAATGTATGAAAATCACTAGCATGTCTGTACACCAACAATGCCCAAGCTGAGATCCAAATCAAGAATGCAATCCCATTCACAATAGCCAGAAAAAGAATAAAAACCTAGGCACACAGCTAACCAGGGAAGTGAAAGATCTCTACAATAAGAATTACAAAACACTGCTCAAAGAAATCAGAGATAACAAACAAATGGAACAACATTCCATGAGCAGGGATAGGAAGAATCAATAGTGCTAAAATGGCCATAGTGCCCAAAGAAATTTACAGATTGAATGCCATTCGTATGAAACTACCAATGGTATTTCTTGCAGAATTAAAAAAATTATTTTAAAATTCTTATGGAATGAAAAACAAGAGCTCAAACAGCTAAGGCAAGCCTAAGCAAAAACAACAACAACAACAACAACAAAAACAAAACAAAGCAAGAAACAAAGCTGGAAATATCACATTACCTGACTTCAAACTATACTACAAGGCTACAGTAACCAAAACAGAATGGTACTGCAAAAACAGACATATAGACCAATGGAATAGAACAGAGTGAAAATAGCTGCACATCTACAAACATCTGATCTTAAAGCCAACAAAAACAAGCCAAAGGTAAAAGACTTACCATTCAATAAATGTAGATGAGATAACTGGCTAGCTATATTTAGAAGACTGAAGCAGGACCCCTTCCTCACATCACATACAAAAACAAATTCAAGATGGATTAAAGACTTAAATGTAAAATCTAAAACTGTAAAAGCCCTGGAAGATAACTTAGGGAATGCCATTCTGGACAGAGGCCCTGGCAAATATTTCATGATTAAGATGCCAAAAGTAATAGGAACAAAAACAAAAATTGGCAAGTATGACCTAATTAAACTAAAGAGCTTCTGCACAGCAATAGAAACTATCAACAAAGTAAACAGACAACCTACAGAATTGGAGAAAATTATTGCAAACAATGCATCTGACAAAAGGTCTAATATCTAGAATCTATAAGGAACTTAAATTAACAAGCAAAATACAAACAACCCCATTAAAAACTGGGCAAAGAACGTGAACAGACACTTCTCAAAAGAAGACATATGGAAAAAAGCTCAACACCACTGATCATCAGAGAAATGAAATCAAAACCATAATGAGACACCATCTCATACCAGTCAGAATGGGTATTACTAAAAGGTCAAAAAATAATAGATGCTAGTGAGGTTGGGTAGAAAAGGAAATATTTATACACTGCTGGTGGGGGTGTAAATTAGTTCTGCCATTGTGGAAAGCAGTGTTGTGATTCTTCAAAGAATTTAAAATGGAAGTACCATTCAACCCAGCAATCTCATTATTGGGTATATAACAAATATATATATTTCTACCATAAGGACTCATGCATGTGTATGTTCATCACAGTGCTATTCACAATAGCAAAGACATAGAATCAACCTAAATACCTGTCAATGGTGGATTGAATAAGGAAAATGTGGTACAAACACACCATGGAATACTATGCAGCCATAAAAAATAATAAGTTCATGTCCTTTACAGCAACATGGATGAAGCTGGAGGCCATTTTCCTAAGTAAACTAATGCAGGAACAGAAAACCAAATACTGCATATTCTCACATATAGGTAGGAGCTAAACATTGAGTACACATGGACACAAAGAAGGGAACAACAAACACTGGGCTCCTTTGAGGGCAGAGGGTGGAAGGAGGCAAAGGATCAAAAAACTACCTATCGGGTACTATGCTTATTACCTGGGTAATGAAATAATCTATACACCAAACCCCCAGGACATGCAATTTACCTATATAACAAACCTACGCTTGTATCCCTGAACCTACAATAAAAGTTTTTAAAAAATTAAGAAAAAGGAACCTAAGTTCTCTGTGCAATGTCTGTATCTCCAGTGATTGTGACACTAATTATTCAGTGGTAGTTGTTACATACTGGTGGTTGTTTTAAAAATTCTCATTTTTTTGGCTGGGCGTGGTGGCTCACACCTCTAATCCCAACTCTTTGGGAGGCCGAGGTGGGCGGAACACGAGGTCAGGAGTTCGAGACCACCCTGCCAATACGGTGAAACCCCGTCTCTACTAAAATTACAAAAATTAGCCAGGTGTGGTAGTGCACGCCTGTAGTCCCAGCTACTTGGGAGGCTGAGGCAGAAGAATCCCTTGATCCTGGGAGGTGGAGTTTGCAGTGAGCCGAGATCGCGCCACTGCACTCCAGCCTGGGCAACAGAGTGAGACTCCATCTCAAAAAAAAAAAAAAAAAAAATCTCATTTTTCAATATGGGGCCATTTTCAAGGAAGCAAGATTTTATACCATATGTAGAACACAAATAAAAGTTGCCATTTTTATAAGCAGGACAGGTATGACTTTTAGTTTGTAGACACTTTATTTTTTATATTAATTTGATTTTAAAATTAAAATATTAGGTTTTCTATTTAAAATGTGGATCACATGAAATCTTTGCCATCTTGAAGTAAACCATATATTTTCTTACTCAAATAACTATATTCCAGATTAGAATTTTTCACCCATTGATTTCTAAAGTACCAAAGCAGTACTTATTCTTAATATATATGTGCAAAGCAGAATTTCCCTGACCTATTGGCTTATGGCACACATGAGGTCAGATTAACACTGTTGCTCAAATTATGGTGGCTTTGAGCATGCATTCAAAGAGACTAAAGAACATAGAGTCTTATACTGAGAACACCTTAAAAGTCAGCTTTTCTGAAGATGACTTATCTCTTTCAAAAAGTTTGATGAATACAAATAACTTACTAGTTAAGAGCATGGAATCTGGAGCAGATTGTTTGGATTTGAATTCCAGCTCTATTGTTCACTTGCTATTCACCTTTAGCAAATTACTCATATGCTGTATGCCTCAGTTTTCTTATCTGTAAAATAGGGATAAGAACTGTAACTATCATATAGTGTTGTTGTGAGAGACAAATGAATTGATGTATGTAAAGCACTTACGCCAGTGCGTGGCACATAGAGGTGCTCTGTGTTAGCTGCCGTTGCTGTTATTATTCTTTTCCACCAGAATTCATGTGACTGCCTGAGTGTGCCTACTAGTTTTATAAATAACACATCTTGTATTGTTTTCAGCTGTCTGTTTCCACACTGCAGATAAACTTTCTGAGTCTAGTCTCCTTCCACTCATAATGCTTTCTCTGGTCTCAGATGGCTGACCTCCCTCAGCCTGCTAAGGGTTCTTCCATACTTTCTATTTGATCCCATGCATGGGCATAGATGCTTCCCTTAGTTTTCTACAATCTACCAGAGATCTAGCCCTTAGTTTTATGAAACTATTCTGAAGTCTCCTGGATAATACAAGATAAGAAAACAGAAATAATAACTTGAAATTAGAACTAGAGGAATTCTGAATTATAATAGAGACAACAAGAACAACGATACAACTCTCCACAGCCTTCAAAAAAACTAGAAGACCAAGAAAAATCCACAAACTGAATAAAATATAAGTTAGGGGAAGAACATTTGAAACAAGAAGAATAGCAGGGGGTTGACAAACAGTGTTGGATGATGGCAGGTGTTGTAGGAAAGAACTGGGAGTGAGATTTTCTAGCAGAGGCAGAGCACAAACAATGCCAGCAAATTTTCACCCCACCAAAGGAAGGGGCCCTCTGTAAGAACTGCTGTGGGTAGAACCAAGAACAAGGAGGGGAGAGCATTAGTGCTCAGAGAAGCAATGTGAACAATTGTAGACAGTGTAGAGAATAGGGTGGTAGTGAGAGATGATATTAAAGAAAATACTGGTTACAGAGCAATACAGTAGGAGATATATATTTCGTCTTTGTCCTAGTTCTTAGCACCTAGCTCCTAAAACCTCTGTAATCCCAAAAGTGATAAGAGTGTCTTTGTTTGCTAATGAGATGATTGGTAGCTGGGGACCCCTAGATATCATTATGGAGGGTAGTAACCAGAAAGACCAAGGCATGATTAGAGGGTCAGAACTTTCAGCCTCAACTCCTGACCTCTGGGGAGGAGAGAGAAGATGGAGGTTGAGCTAAGTATCAATGGCCAATGATTTGATCAATATGGCTACATAATGAAATCACCATAACCACCCCCCTTCCCCAGTGACAGGGTTTGGAGAGCTTCTGGGTTAGCGAACACACTGAAGTGCTGGGATAATGGATAATCCAGAGAGGGCAAGGAAAGTCTATGGACTCCCCAACCCATGCATACTTTGTCCTATGCATCCTTTCCAATTGGCTGTTTCTGAGCCTTATCCTTTATAATAAACTTGTAAAGTGTTTTTCTGAGTTCTGTGAGCCATTCTAGCAAGCTATTGAACCTGAGGGAGGGGTCATGGATACCCTGAATTTATAGTTATTTGGTCATATGTACAGGTGGCAAACCAGAACTTGTGACTGGCATCTGAAGTGAGGGTAGTCTTATGGGACTGAGCCCTTCACCTGCGTGGTCTGTGCTAACTCGTGGTAGTGTCACAATTAAATTGAATTATAGGACACCTAGTTGGTGTCCAGAGAGTGAGAGAATTGTTTGGTGTGAGAAAAAAATCCCCACACATTTGGTGTCAGAAATGTTTGAGTAAAAACAGCTCAGCTATCTAAGGCAGATTTCTTGAGCTAAGAAACTGAGAAAGCAACCTGTTATGGTTTGAATATTTTTGTCCTCTTGAAAATTTGTGTGAAACTTAATCCCCAATGCAACAGTATTGGGAAGTGTGGCCTTTGCAAGGTGAGTGAATCATGAGGATTTTATCCTCATGAATGGGATTAGGTGCCCTTTTAAAAGGGCTTGATGGAGAGAGTTTGTCCCCTTTTAACCTTCTGTTTTCTGCCATGTGAAAACACATCCTTCCTTCTCTTTGGAGGATGCAGCATTGAGGCACCATTCTGGAAGCAGGAAGTAGCCCTCGCCAGACAACCAAACCTTTTAGCACCTTGATTGTGGACTTGGAAGTGTCAAAACTGAGGAAGAAATTTTTATTCTTTACGAATTTCCAAGTTTCAAGTATTCTATAATAGTAGCACAAGTGAACTAAAACACAACCCTTACCTCTTTTCTCCCCTTTACCAGGTTCTTTTGATAATAGGTGAGCCAGGAAAAACTCATTCAGCTATGAACGAAAAAGTAAAAATGCTGAATTCAAATGAAGATGTTGTAAAATCATGAGAAAAATCAGAGCTCAGCAACAGGAGAAAACTCCCCAGAAAAACACTGCTAAGATTAGAAGAAAATCACAAACATTTTTATATTATAAAGGAAAGCTATATATATATATATATATATATATATATATATATATATATATATATTCACAGTTATAAAAATCATGGACTAGAAATAAAGGAACTCAAAAGAAGAGATGGCCAGAGAGTAGAAACATGAAACTGTGAATTGACAGAATTCAGGAAAGAAATGAAAGGAAAAGATAAAATTATTTCAGAAATGCAGATTAAATTACAAAAGGCACAAGTGACACCAGATATAAAAACACAATAATGACATGAGAAAGAAAATGGGAAAAAAGTAAAAAATAAAAAAATAAGAGACGGAAAAATGGACAAAGGAGATCCAGAAACATATAATTTAAGTTCTTAAGGAAGAAAAACAAAATAAAGTTACAGAACAAATATTTTAAACTACAATTCAAAGGAACATCCCTAAAATCACATAAGATTTGAATCTCTTGAAAAGGCATATCATATACCTAAGAAAACCAATCCAGAATCAATATTAAGATATAAACAAATAAAAGTATTGGACTTTAGAGAATAAAAAAAATTCTCTGGATAACTCCACAAGAACTCCAAGTTATGAGGAACAAAAACTAAGCTGCATCATACTTTTCGAAAGCAGTATTTAATGCCTACGGAACATTGTAGAGCCCTGTACTCAAGAAAAGAAGTCTGAGCCAAGCATTAGATACCCAGCCAGACACTCCTTTATGTGTACAGGTTTCAGATAATCTATGTACAACATGGAAGATCTTGAAGTTGCACTTTTTCCAACCAAAAGATGATTAAGGAAAGAAACGGCAAAAGAACCAATAATAAGCAACAGATAGACTTAAATATGTTATCAGTAGTAAGACAAAAGTAATAAGACAAAAGGATAAAAGTGACATAATTGTGTATAATTGTTAGATGCCTTGACAGTGTAAAAACTGAGGACTTGAGAAAAAAATGAAAGGAGAAGGAGAGATGGTAGAAAGTAGAATGAACTTGACTGGGCGCGGTGGCTCATGCTTGTAATCCCAGCACTTTGGGAAGATGAGGTGGGTGGATCACAGGAGGTCAGGAGTTCAAGACCAGCCTGACCACATGGTGAAACCCTGTCTCTACTAAAAATACAAAAATTAGCCAGGGATGGTGGTGGGTGCCTGTAATCCAAACTACTCGGGAGGCTGAGGCAGGAGAATTGCTTGAACCCAGGAGGCGGAGGTTGCAATCAGTGAGCTGAGATCGCACCATTGCCATCGCACTCCAGCCTGAGCAACATAGCAACTCCATCTAAAAAAAAAAAAAAGAAAAAAGTAGACTGAACTTAATAGTTGTCTCATAAGTAATAAGTGGAAGTAAAATAGGTAACAAATCAAGTAGCATAAGTGTAAGCATATGTAAGATTCCAAAAATAAACACTGTGAAAATAATTATTGATTAAAATTGGATAATGGAGAACATGAGGTGTAGGAAGGGAAGGAGAGGTTAGAATAAATAGAAAAATGGATCAAAGTGCCATCCTTTAAAATATCACCATGGCCAGATGTTTTCTAGATAATATTTCTATAAAATCATTAAAAGGCAGGTATTCTCAGTGCTTTTTAAGCTGTTCCAGTTAAAGAAAACACAGGACAAGGTACAGATTTATTTTATGAAGTGAGTATAACACTGATACCAAAACAAATTTTGTTGTTGTTTGTTTTGAGACGAGTTTCACTCTTGTTGCCCAGGCTGGAGTGCAGCGGCGCGATCTCGGCTCACTGCAACCTCCGCCTCTTGGGTTCAAGTGATTCACCTGCCTCAGCCTCCTGAGTAGCTGGGATTACAGACGCCTGCCACCACGCCTGGCTAATTTTTGTACTCATTTAATAGATACAGGATCTCGCCATGTTGGCCAGGCTGGTCTCGAACTCCTGACCTCAGGTGATCCGCCAGCTTCAGCCTCCCAATGCTAGGATTACAGGCTGAGCCACCGTTCCTGGCCTAATACCAAAACTATTAAAGCTCCATGAGATAAAAACTACAGATTGATCTCACTTCTAAATATTTATGCAATTATATTAAATAAAATATAAGCAAACAATATTCTACAGTTTATTAAAAAATAACACATCATAACCAAATGGGGGTTTATTCCAGCAAAGGAAGAATTGTTTTATATTAGTAAATTAATAGATTTAAGAGTAAAATTATATAATTATGTCTACGGATGCTGAAAAGACATTTGACATAATTCAATCTCCATTTTTAATTTATTAAAATTATAAATGAAAACTGATAGATTAACTATATATGTGTGTGTGTAGAAACATATATATAGCATATATACAAATACTTACACATGTACACAGATATGTGCATATTTGTGTCTCATTATCTCCAAAACAGCATACTACAAAATCAATAAGCACTGAAGGAATTCTCAATCAAGTCAGGAATAAGACAGTAACACTCATTTTCAGCATTACTATTTAAAATTATACTGGCAATGTTAGATAGCACAATTAGATAAGAGAAAAAAATTAAAATTATAAAAACAGAAAATGAAAAGGCAACCTATGAATAAATAACTAAAAAATCCCAAGAGAATCTATTAAAAACTATTACAAAGCTCAGAAAGGTCACAGGATTTGAAATTAACATACAGAAATAAATACCTAATAGACACAAAGTCAATAAGTTGGAAGATATCATTGAAGACAAGACCCTTTTCACAATAGAAAAAAAAGATTAAATACAGTACCTAGGTGAAACTTAAGAAATAGGAAAAGCTTATAAGCTTTTCTGTATATTTAAAGTAAATTCAAGTTGTTTCTTGTTACTAAAGAAAAATAAACAAGCAAGAAGTGTCCAAAACCCCAGCACTTTTTGTCTTGTTTCAGAAAAAAAAAAAAAAAAACCCTGTTGGCATTTTTATTCAAATTGCATGAAATTTATAAACCAATTTAGGGGCAGTATAATAATTAAGATTTTTGGTTTTTTTTTTTTTTTTTTTTCAGATGGAGTCTCACGCTGTCGCCCAGGCTGGAGTGCAGTGGCTCACTGCAAGCTCCGCCTCCCAGGTTCACACCATTCTCCTGCCTCAGCCTCCCGAGTAGCTGGGACTACAGGCGCCCGCCACTACGCCTGGCTAATTTTTTGTATTTTTAGTAGAGACGGGGTTTCACGTATTAGCCAGTATGGTCTCGATCTCCTGACCTCTTGATCTGCCTGCCTCAGCCTCCCAAAGTGCTGGGATTACAGGCGTGAGCCACTGCACCCGGCCTGTTTGTTTTTTTAGAGACAGATTCTTGCTCTGTTGCCCAGGCAGGAGTGAAGTGGCATAATCATCACTCACTGCAGCCTTCAACTCCTGGGCTCAAGCGATCCTCTTGCCTTAGCCTCCAAAGTTGCTGAGATTAGAGGTGCAAGCCACTGTATCTGGCCTGTGATGGTTAATTTTATGTGTCAACTTGACTGGGCTAAGGGATGCCCAGATAGCTGATAAAACATTATTTCTGGGTGTGTCTGTTATGATGTTACCAAAAGAGATTAGTATTTGAATTCGTAGACTGATCACAGAAGATGTCCCCTCACCAGTGTGGATGGACATCATCCAATCCACTGAGAGCCTCAATAGAACAAAAAGGCAGAAGGAGGGTGCATGCTCTCTTCTTGAGCAGGGATATCCATCTTCTGCCCTGGAATATCAAAGCTCCTGGTTTTCTAGACTTCAGACTCCAGGACTTATACAAGTGACTACCCCAGTTCTCAGGCCTTCAGCCTTCCACTGGGACTTCCACAGCTTCCCCAGTTCTCAGGCCTTTAGACTTGAATTGAATTACATCACTGGCCTTCTCCTTGTTATCTAGCTTGCATACAGCAGATTGTGGGCCTTCTTGGCCTCCATAATCTCATGAGCCGATTCTCATAATAATTTTATTATATCTATATCTTTATCTATCTATATATCCTACATATATAAATTCTCTATCTATCTATCTATCTATCATCTATCTAGCCTACATATATATGCGGAATTTATATATATAGGAATTTATATATATATAGGGAATTTATATATGTAGGATAGATAGATAAGTAAAGATATAGATATTCCCTATATATGATATAGATATTCCATACATTATATATATACACACACACATATATAAGGGGGATTTGGTTGCTCTGGAGAACTTTAATAGAAGGAGTGTACAAATCGTGAAAATTGAGAAGAAGTCAAGTAGTTTCCTCCCAAAAAATAAGCAAAGGGCATGAACAGACACAACCCAGAAACAGAAATACATGTGGTCTCAAATACACATGAGAAGATGCTCAACCTCACTCACAGCAAGTGAAAGGCAAGTTAAAATCACACCAAGGTGTCATTTTTCATCTATCAGGTTTGTAAAAACCCCAAATTTGATAATATATAATGTTGATAAGTCTATGAGAATGTTTCACACTGCTATGGGAGTGTAAAATGGTAGAATTTTATGGAGGAAATACGCAATATGCAATAACATAACAGGCAAGTTTTCATTCTTACCCAACAATTAGAGTCTTATAGATAAATCTGTACAAATCATTAGAATCTTTTTGTAGCTGTGAGAGAAAGTTCACTGTGTCAGCATATTCAGTCATGAGATTTGTCATTATATGGCACACAAATTAAGTTTTGTGAATCCTGTACACTAACGTGAAGCTGAAAACAGCAGTAGCCATTGTTGTTTCAACATCTTTGCCTCCACTAGGGCCTAGAGCACATGCAAACATTTAGGTTTCATCTTGAGCTGCTAATGGAGAAAGTGTTGAATGCCAAAAGGTGCCAGATACACCCTTTCTGCTTCATTTGTTTTTGCTGAGGGAAAATTAAACTTTGAGCAGGTGGATCTTGTAGTATCTTAAATGGAATGTTCTTTGCACTGCAGTTCAGAACTAAATTTAGTGAACTCACACACACACACACACGCAAATGAGAAATAGAAGGATAACTCGATAACTTTGTGCACACTTCATGCACATTTAGCCTACTTCCCAAGTGTGGGTGAAGCTGTCAGTGCCCTATCCACTTTCCCTTAGCACTCATCATTCTTGTGCACAAAGAATAATGGCCCCCGGCCTGCTGCCATAAATGTAGTTCAGCTTTTCGCACAGCCAGGAGCTCCTTTCAGTATGTCTTGATGCTCCAAGTTGCTGTGCTTGAAATACAAGGCCCAGTGTGTGCAGAGAAATTTTCACCATTCCAGTCATATGTGCTGTCTCAACCTGCCTCTCTCGTCCCTGTGGCTTCCCACTTCCACTTCTTTCTAGGGAAACTCCAGTCTTAGAACATTCCTGGTGTGTCCTTGCCCCAAATAATCACATCAGAACATAATAGCCCAACATTAGATTATTTTCAAAGTCTGGTTTATTGAATCTTAAATTATACCACGAGGGAGTTTCCTACAATACGCTGTAGTAAAAGGATTTTCAAACCTGGCTCTGCTTCAGAAGCACGCGTGGAGCTTTCTAAAAATATAGATGTAAGCCTCCATTCCCAGAGAGTCTGACTCCAGTTTGCTTTTATATCCTTCAAACCAGTATAATATCAGATATCTTTTCTGTAGTTCTAAGTCTTAGTTCCTAGTATTACATGAGCAATAATAATTAGACTTATCACACATCCTCGTCCATAAGGAAAGCAACAGTCAGCAAGTATGCTACCATGAAAACGCAAAGCTAAAAAAGGATATTTCTTAAAAGGAGAAAGTCCGCAGAGGTTGAACTCAGCCTTCTACATGATTTCAGTGAGCATTTTAGCTCTTTGGAGCCATAGGTTCCCAAACATGACTACTTAATATTTTATAACAAAATGACTCATTTTGCTATTTTTCCAAGGACAAAGGAAGAAGTGGTGTGTGATTTTCACATCTCAAAAGGCGTAAAGTGGCTTACAGTTTTGCAATGACAAATTTACAGATTTTCCTGTTACAAATATCCAAAGAACTTAGAGTCCGTGTAGCTCAAAGTACCCATACACCTTTTCTCCTAGCCATCCCAGGACAAAGAAAATGTCATGGTGCGATAACAGGGGTAGAGTTAAGCCAAGATGAAGAAAACCCTTCCCCATTACACAATCAACATCTTACCAACTTTGCCAAAAGTGACTCAAAACAAAAATAGGAATCAAATTTTTTAACGCTTGCAATCTTTAATAGGAGGAAGGAAAAGCAAGTAATATTGTCATTCACATTTGCTGCTGGCAGAATACTGCAAATTAAAAACAATCAAATGACTTTCTTAATGTTGAGGGCAAAGATTAAAAAAAGGAATACACATGATGAGAAATCTTACAAAATAAACTACTTCTGAAAAATTGAGAATATTTAAAAAGCCTTTTGGATTATCCTATAACCTGAAATTGAAGAAACGTTAATGACAAAAAGACTTGTTTTGTTATCTTTACCTCCACAATATCATGGTAAGCATTATAGACCAGTTAATCTCTACATAGTCTACTTATACCATAATTGATTTATTATGTGGTTATATTAGCTCAATTTCTTTTTATTTAGAAATTGATTAATCTCAATTTTTTTGTTTTTTAAAGTGTGTTTTATATTTTAAGTCTTTTATGTTAGAATCATTTTTTATTAAGATAATATTTTTTAAATAATTGAATATTTTAAATAATTTTTTATAATTTAAATTAGGCTTTCTAAAGTGTTACAAGTAGGCCACCGGCCACTGTGTCTTCTTTTGAGGCAGGGTCTCGGTCTATTGCCCAGGCTGGAGTGCAGTGGCGTGGTCTCAGCTCACTGTGACCTCTGCCTCCTGGGCTGAAGTGATCCTCCTGCCTCAGCCTCCCAAGTAGCTGGGACAACAGGTGTGTGCCACTGCAGCTGGCCAATTTTGGTATTTTTTTGTAGAGACAGAGTTTCACCATGTTGCCCAGGCTGGTCTTGAACTCTTGGACTCAAGTGATTCTCCTGCCTTGACCTCCCAAAATGCTGGGATTACAGGTGTGAGCCACCATGCCCGGCCGACCAGTGTATCTTAACTGGCTTGTTATGTTTCTGTGTTAGTCCACGGGCTAGACTTCAAAGAGTTTATCTCTCTCAGTTGAAAATTAAAAATCTATTTGGAAAAAGTTAGTCAAGTCTATCCCAGAACTTGTGTAAAAACTTGGGTAGTGGTGTCTCACATCATTGATGTACCTCTTTCATAATACCTTTGTGCTCTTCCATTTAGTTAATTTCCTTTCCTACTGGAAGCCAGTAAGAAAAGCATTTATGTCCAACAGAGACAGTACAAGACGAATTTATTCAATAGACAATTTTCTCCCTCCTCCCTCCCTCTCCTTCCCTTCTTTCATCTTTTACTTATTCATTTGTTCATTTATTTGTTCACCATACATAGTATCATAACTAAGGAAGAATACTTTGCTACTAGCCTATTCGTATTTGCCAGAAAGTTAGCAAATATTGACAGAAAGAGAAGGCATTTAAAAACAAATACGCATGCAACTTTGGATAACATTAATAAGGTATGTGTTTAAATGAAGCTTGTCTTCTCCAGAATATCTTATGATTTACTACCTCAGAGATAAACCTCATGTCACTAAGAAAACATCCAGATTCCACTGGGACTGAGTAACCATACTAGATTTCTGTTTCTTGCTTTGACTATTCTTAGAAATTTCATTAATGTTTAAGCTTTTAAAAATTTTACATTTCATAACAGTTAAAATCCAAATTCCAAGGTCATACCTGTAGAGAATTAATTGTTATCCTTTTTCTTGGGTGAAGAAATAAACTGGGACAAAGTGCACTGAAATATGGAATGTAATCTCTGGGTGGCAGCATGTATTCACCAGCAAAAAGTCCTTACTAACTAATGTTATTTCCATTTCTTTATGAATTGCTAAATTGGTGGGTCAGCATTATTCCATGGTGTAGAGTGTCTTGGTTATTTGACAACCCTCTTCACATACTTTTTGAACGGGTAATAAAATGTGAAATTGGTGATAACACAAATAACTGGAAATGCATATGACTGTACAACAAAATGCAAAGAAAATTGGTTGATTAATGCACCAATGTTAGTTTCTGAGACTTTCTCTAATGAAATTTTCTAACTTTAGTTACTCAAACATTCTTTTTTATGGTTTTGGAAATAGGCTCCAAGGTTATAAAAATTAACAATAATATTAACTTTAGGTATAATGGGTATGCCTCAATTCTGATTGAAAATTAAAACTCTTTGGAAAGAGGTACTAAAAACAATTAGTTAACATTTTCAGATATTAACGTAAAGTCCTATGATTATTAAAGTAATATAAAATGTCAAAAAATGTGATACTGAAAAGACCCTAGCATTATGGTTAATCCTAAAACCACTCTGAGATTTGAAAAAATGTGTTGTAACTGTTAAGGTGTGCAATTTTAGGCTGTGTTAGTTGAAGCATGGTGTTAGCCACGCTTATACACTTTAATAGGGACATTATCATATGAGAGTGTCAAAGAGAAACTGGGAAGGTATAGCGTCTGGAAAGTATGTTATAAGAAAACAACTGAAAAATCTTTGGTTTGGAACCAAAAACCTGGGTACGTGGAAGGAGTGTTTGAATATTTGAAAACCTATCATGTTGGGGGAAAAATAGACTTTTCTTTTTTTGGCTTCGGAATATTCGGTAGACAGCATGGGGCTGCTAACTGTTGAAACAGGGAAAAATTCTGATAACAATTAGATCCATTCAACAAGGAATGACTATTACTGTAACTCCTTATCACTGACTAAGGGCACTCAACGATAATCCAGATTGAATGATCATCTGTCAAGTGTTGTAGAAGAAATTCTATTACTAAAAGCCTCCTAGAGCCCTCTATTTCTTAAGTTTCTATATCTACTTTCAGATATTTAGTGACAGGCAAAATAATCAAGATGAGTGATTGCACTTTTACTTTTGCATTTGATTTTTTTTTTTTTTTTTTTTGCAGAGGAAGTCACTGTTTGGCACACTCAAATTGTTAAACAGGCTCTTTCATAATGTTTTAAAGTTGCAACTACTGATAGCCATCTGGTTATGAAACTAAATGTGTTAGACAAATGAAATAATAAATATCTATGATACCCTGTAGTCTGGATTTTAGGAAGGATCACTGACTTAATACTAAAAATCATGTACAGAAATGAATCATATTATAATAATAATTTGTTGCAACATGCTTCTGGCTTGTTTTTCACCAGAGTTTTTCATGCATCTGATACCTCACAAACACTTGGTTGAAATGACACTCAGATTATTAAGTCATGTTTATGCTTCTGCCAGTTATTTGGAGAGACTCCAATCTTCCCAAGTGTGTTTTCCCTAATTTGAAAAAGTGACTTCATTTTCAAATGAAGGATTTTTATGTGAATCACACTGTGGAATTATTTATCACTATAAGACAATATGTCTACATTACATTGATTTACTTTTATAATTAACATCTACAAATTAAATAGCAAATATAATGGGAGCTTATCATTTATGTTCATTGTTTTTTGTGTGTAATATTGGCTTATTTTTCATTTAGTCAACATTAAAAAGCAGTGGCCATTTTATTTAATTTTTTTCTTTTTTAGCAAGAGGGATAAAATGAAGGCAACAATAGTACTTGAATTTTTTTAGTTTTGTGTTGTTTTGTGTTATCATTGAGAAAGAAGGGTCCATATTGTCTTGAGAGAGAACCTAATATAGCTTTTATGTCCCCGACTACTATAGGTGCTTATTTTCAAAACAATTGAGAAATGATAGAAAAATACAGATACAACAAAAGGTTTTAGGGATTAGGTTAAAACTTTAAACAGAGGCCTTTAGGCATTCATTCTTGGACTGGATTGTATTCTCAGCAATTTATTTTAACCAGGGGCAATGGGCAGAGTTGCCCTTTATGCCACACTTTTATTCTCTATAGTAATAGGGCCTTTGGGTGAGGCCATCTACACATTCCATAATATAACTATTATTGACATAAATGGAGTGGAGCATACAAACTATCATTCATTGTTGAAGATCTTATGATGTTTGTCACTCACCCAGACTTCTTGTTTACAGTCTCTGTGGACACAGTTGGGGTTTTAGCATTAGTCTGACTGTATGTATTTTTCTTCCTCTAAATTGTAGTCATTCCCTTGTGAATTCAGTTCTACCCCTGAGGTTACATCTCTCATTTTACATTAGCAACACACCATTTCAAATATTTATATATTCAGGTTTTCAGCTGTCTAGGGAAAAATAGTGTATTATACACTTACCTCCTTTTTACCTGCTCTATTTTTTTATTTGAGTCCATAAATGCAGGCAGGATTGCTTTCCTTTTGCAATAAATGGAAGTAGGCATTAAAAAATATCATCCAAAAGATGAAACTTGGCCTGTTTAATTCATCGTAAATTTTGAGAAAGGCTTAAAAAGGACTGAATTAAAAACATTTTTTAACAGTCACATGATTCAAAATGAAAAACTATGAAACACTACACCATAAAAATCAGTCCTTCAGTTCTTATCTTGTACCTGCTCAGTTCCCAATCCCACAACGTAGCCACCATGAGGTTTTAAAATATGCCCTTACAGACTTTTTTCATGCATATATTTGCTATATAGATATTTTTCTTTACTATAAAACTGTCATTATATTATATATACTCTTGTATTTTTTAAAACTTAACAATATACTACTCAGATATTTTCATGATTATGTAGAGAAGCTTTTCATCCTTTTTTATAGCTACATAATATTTCATGTTTTGATGTGCTTATGACAACTGGTCTTCTGTTGATGAATATTTGTATTGTTTCCAGTTTTTCATTAATTCAGTGCACAATAAGTCACTTTATTTTTACATTTGTTCCACACTTGAATGATGATATCTATAGAAAAAATTCCATAGGAATTTTTAGGATTTTAAAAGCTTTGATTTTTTAAAAAAATCAAAATTAAAAAAAAATTTAGAATTTTAAAAGCTTTGATTTTCTTTTAAAGAATCAGGTTACTATTACTTCTTAAAGATTCTAAAAGATAGACACCATTCCCTTTTCCCTTTTTTAAACTTAGGCATGTGGAATCAAAAAGTTTTTTGTTCTTTTTCTAAATGCCTGCCCTAATCTGACACTTTTTTTTTTTTTCCTGTATCTGCATTAGGCACTGTGGGCCTCCCAAAGCAAAATCTAGCTGGGTCCAATTGAGTTTCTACGTTTTGAAAGTATCTTACTTGTCCAGAAAAGTACTTTTACAAACTGGCTCTCTGCTGCTACATGTCTCCTTGAATTACCATTTCATTGTTTAAGAACAGGTCCCTTCTAAGCATGAGAAAAGGAGTTCTTTATTCTTTTGCTAAATTGGTCAGCCAAAGAACAGCTTTTGGTGAATAAAAGATATTCTCATTTTAGCAAATGAAGGGGAAGTTCTATTCCCTTCAGTCCAATGCAAAATGTTGTTATTCCTTAAAAATGTTCTAAGTGCTCAAAGTGCTGGAAACTGTTCAGAACATACCACAGAACCCAGTTCCTCCCTACATTCAGAATGTTTACATTCTAAAAATGACAAGAGAGGGAAGGTTGGGAAGGTAGCTAGATCCGGAACAGATGGGCACATATGCCCTCTCTCCCTACCAAATGCAGTCCTATGGATGGCTCAACAGTTAATGTAGATTTCTCTTTACTAAGTTTTATAAGTAACTCTGCCGTGCACAGCCAAATGACTTGAAATGTGAAGATGTAATGCCTCTTTGCTGTGCCCTGCTGTTCAAATGTTCTCAGCTTTGACAATTTATCTTGCTGGAAAATGTCTTCAGAATGTCAGTCACTTCAGTTTTCATGCTTGCCATTTGCATGTTGCACACCTGCTGGTATCTTTGGTTGTGATCTATTGTTATTTTTCTGTGGGGGTGGGGAAGGTACAATATTGCTTTTGCAGACTTGGAGTTCAGTTTGAGTGCAGTTTGGAAATGATTCTTGTAAGCCTGGCTATTCTTATCACCATTAATATTATCTACAAATAAGGGTTTACTCAGTGCATGGTGAAATTTTAGTGCTACATTAGCCACTGGGGGGAGATAATTAGAAGTGAATGAAAAGACAGATTCCTTGTCTGTCCCAGAAGGATCAGGTCCCACAAATGATGATACACATAGATACATAGGCACACAGACTCACAAAGCAGTCCTCATAAACAATGTCATCTAGGCAAACATAGATGCAGATATTCCAATAACATTTAAATCAAAATATGTTAAGGGTGGTTGCCTCTGTTAAGGAGAGGGAGATGGGCCACATGAAGGGGAATAATAATCTGTGTTCTATATTCTTTTTTGTTTTTTTTTCAATGAGCGTATAATAACTTGCTTCAATGAACGTGTAATTACTTGGTTAATTAAAAATAAATAATTTAAAAACAGCAACAAAATAACTTTATATATAACATTTTATCAATTAAGATAATTGTGGCTGCAAGTAACAGAAAACTCATTTTAAAATTAGATGAAATAATAAAGCATTTTTTACTTGACATAGTAAAATCACAGAGTAAAATGATTTAAGGGCTGGATAATCCACTAGCTCATGATGTCATCAAGGTCTGTTTTTTTTTTCTCTTTCTGTGCTCTGCCATAAGAAGAGTTGTCCCCTCATGGTTACAATAATATTCAGAAGTTGGAAATGGGAAGAGAGTGCATCATTTCTCATGTTACAGTTTTCCCATATGTCTAAAATCTCAATTTCAGAAAATTTCAATCATACACCCTTCACCCAGCTTCAACAATTACAGATATTTGCCAATCTGTTTCATTTATTCCTTTTCTACACTTTTAAACATGATTATCTTAAAGTAAGTATTATATATTTTATCTACAAATATTTCAGCATGCATTTTAAGCACCTAAGGACTTTTAATTTAAATGTGATGCTGTTATCACATGTAATGAAAATAATAATTTCTTAAACTTATTTACACACTAATCTGTGTTCAATTTTTTTTCTAAAGAAAAAAATCCAAATAAGGTTCATACACTGCATTTGGTTGTTATGCTTCTCTAAACATCTTTTAATCTACAAGAGTCCTTCTCTCCTCATATTCTTGAAGAAACTAGTTTGTCCTGTAGTTTATCCTGTGTTCTGGATTTGGCTGGTTGCTTCCTTGCGATGATTTTAACCTAATTATCTCTCCTCATATTTCCAAACTAGAGATTTAAATATAGAGACTTGAATAGATTAAGATTCACTTTTGTTTTGTAAGAATATTTTACAAGTGATACTTTATACAGCCCCAAACTTCAAATTGGAGGACAGATACAGCCTTGTTGTTCTACTTTTAGTATACTAAAATTCATCTGTGGATTCAGAAGTTGTCAATAAGATCCATCCACTATAAAATTCCATCCACTATAAAGTTCCACATCAACTTTTGCATAATATTTTGACATCTATTGATGGTTGTTGCCTAGATTCACTGTTCTTTTAAGGGTTGCATTTTTTTAGTTGGTGTTCTTGAATAAAGAATAACTCTCAAAAACTATTTGGTTACTCAAAATACAGGAAAAAGAATAAATGCTTGATTCTTTCTCTTACCATTTTCTTCTTGCCTTTTTAAAAAATGACAAACCTTGCTCATCTATCCATCCACAGAGGTCTCCCCTTACTTCTTACAGGTGAGTCTTTTATTACATGCCCATTCCTAAAATAAGGAAAATGGAATTACCATAATTGGCTTGGACCAAACAAACCTAACTTCTTGGGGTTGGGTAGAAGGTGTCTTTTGGAAAGAACATGGCCAACTTAGATTTGAATGAATTTGAGTGCTTTAGTAATTAAGAGACAGAGAAATTGCTACTGAGTAGACAATGAAAATGCATGGTAGAACATTATTTTATCCAGATGTTACTGTTATCTCCTTGTCTTTTGATCATTACCAAATTAACTGAATTCATTCAAATAAACCTTACCTTTTACCTGCATGCTGAGTACTGTTTTTTTCTTTCTGTTTATTTTTATTTATTTTATCATTATTATTATTTTTTGAGATGGAATCTCCCTCTGTTGCCCAGTCTGGAGTGCAGTGGCGCCATCTTGGCTCACTGCTACCTCCAGCTCCTGGGTTCAAGCAATTCTCCTGCCTCAGCCTCCCGAGTAGCTGGGATTACAGGCGCCTGCCACCATGCCTGACTAATTTTTGTATTTTTAGTGGAGATAGAGTTTCACTATATTGGCTGGGCTGGTCTCGAACTCCTGACCTCAGGTGATCCACCTACCTCAGCCTCCCAAAGTGTTGGGATTACAGGCGTGAGGCACTGCGCCCAACCTCTTTCATTTTTTTGAGGCTTTATTTTTACATCTTAGCCAAATCCATTGCAACTCTTAATGGTACAGCTACCAACATGTGTTACTTGCTTCTGCTTCAATGGCTTGCTATTGCTCTATGAGCTCCTGGCCTGGCTCCTTCCTTGGGACAAATTTGAGTGCTGTATGCCACTGAGCTCTTGCTACCCAAGACACCTTGTTAGTATTTGAAATTTCTTTGTGACCTTTAAGCATAGAGGGACACTAGAAAGAAAATTTTTAGCATAGATGAGTCAAATTCCCAGATTATGGAATTTTGTCCCAAGTTAGCTATATTCTAGCCTCAAAGGGCTGGTGGCTTCACTACCAACTTAATGCCTTGCTAATTGCTTTGATTTTCTTTTCTACACAATATGAGAGTTATGTCTTGAATACCTAGGGTCAGATTCCTCATTGGTTTGCTCACATATCTGAAGTCATAAAAGATCAGACTAAGAACTGACTGTGAGGGCAATGGGTGACCAAGAAGAAAACTGGGTCGAACCAAAAGAAGTGCTCTATGTTGGTTTTCTGATAGATGAAACCATAGAATATAGTTTGGAGGAAAGCTAAGGTTATGGTCCAGAGAAACGGACATACATGTATACAAACTAAAAGGGTGAAAGGTGATTGTATAACCATAATTATGGAATCAATAATAGTTGCATACGAGGAGAGTTAGGAGAAAAATATCTAGCTAATTTTTATTGAGTATTTATGAAGTCCCAAGGCACATTCAAAACACTGTACATGCACTAACTTATGTAATAATATGCAACCCTGTGGGACAGGAATATTATTCCCATTTTTTCCAGATAAGAAAACTGAGAGACATAGAGAATAAATTACTTGCCCAGGGTCTCATAAAACTAGAAAGTAAATGGTGGAGCCAAGATTGTAATCTGAGCTTAAACCACTTGTGATATTTTAGCTGTACCCACAAAATATGGGGTAGAAACTGGCAACCAGGTCACTCAGGAAGCCAAGTCTCGACATTGTCTTGTGGTAGCATGAAACTTATATGTGCACCTGGAGGTGTGGAATCTTAATAAAAGACACTTTGCTTGGCTGAACGCCATCTGTTTAGGATGTGCTTTTCCTGATCTGGTTTCAGGTCTGCAGTGTATACTTCCTGTATATCTGACTGGCAGAACTATGATAATTGATGCATGAATATCCTCATCCTTCCTGGCTAGGGTTATGGGCTTATTTTTTTTTTTCTATAGAAGCATCTGACTTATTTCCAGCTAAGAAGAACCCCTCCTCTTCACACCCATAAGCAATAAGAAGCCCTGTGCTTTGAAGACTCATATTCTTATAATACTTTAGCTAAACAATTGTAAAAATCGTCTCATAAGCAGCTATGAGAATGTTCTCTTACAGGGTTCAGTAACAGAAACAATTAAAGTGTAACTTGTGAAAATAAGTGTGATTTTTTTTCCAGGTTACTCATCTCAGAAGAGTATCTTTTGCTTGCCCTTTGTCACTGGACACAGACACATGCTCTGGTAGACCTCTCTTCTTCCTTCCTCCAGCTTTGGGAAGTAAAATTTTACTTCTGGGGGGCAAAAAAGTAAAATTTTGTCTGCCCTGTTGGAACAGTCAGTCCACATGCTTTAACGCCAGATCCCGTGTCATGTAATTCCAAGGAACATCTTTCACACTGGTTCAGTCACAGACTAAATAGGAATTTGGCCCCTAGAGTTGTACAACATGGGGATTCTGTGTGGAGCCTTGGCCTAAAGTAGGCCAGCTAGACTCTACCTGAACTTTGAATCATGAAAGGAAAACCCATGAAAAAAATAGAACTTCATCATTTCTGGGGACCTTCCTAAGGTTTCTGAACATTAATTCTTGCTCTTGAGGTCTATGGTTGCCCTACTTCAATGTTTCCCAAGAATTGATTGTTCAGATTTTTAAAAAATCCTATGAACTATCCTGGCCGTGTGTGGTGGCTCACGCCTGTAATCCCAGCACTTTGGGAGGCCGAGGCGGGCGGATGATGAGGTCAGGAGATCAAGACCATCCTGGCTAACATGGTGAAACCCTGTCTTTACTAAAAATACAAAAAAATTAGCCGGGCTTGGTGGCGGGCGCCTGTAGTCCCAGCTACTCGGGAGGCTGAGGCAGGAGAATGGCGTGAACCCGGGAGGCGGAGCTTGCAGTGAGCCAAGATCGTGCCACTGCACTTCAGCCTGGATGACAGAGCAAGACTCCGTCTCAAAAAAGAAAAGAAAATCCTATGAACTATCCTATGCCTTCCAATAAATTACTTTTTATGCTTAAATTGGCCAGAGTTGGCTTCTCTTGCTTTCAACTGAAGAAACTTAACTGTATAACCTTTTGTATGAGTTTTATGGCTCACTTTTGAAATTTCTCCACATGTTGAACATGGCTTTGCAATGTTACTAAAGTAAATGTATCTTCACTTTTCATAAGCTCAGAACAATAAAACATTAGAAGGTATTTATAATGTTTGTAGATAGACATACTGTTATAAACATATATCATATACATAAACTTTTCCCTACAAAATGGCCATTTCATACAATTCAACTTATTATTATTATTATTTTTGAGACAGGGTCTTGCTCTGTCACCCAGGCTGGAGTGCAGTGGTGCGATCTCAGCTCACTGACCTCTCTGCAACCTCCACCTCCCAGGTTCAAGCGATTCTCCTGTCTCAGCCTCCTGAGTAGCTGGGATTATAGGCATGAGCCACCATGCCAGACTAATTTTGGTGTGTTGAATAGAGGCAGGGTTTCACCATGTTGGCGAGGCTGGTCTGGAACTCCCGACCTCAGGTGATCCACCCACCTCGGCCTCCCAAAGTGCTGGGATTACAGGTGTGAGCCACCTCGCCCAGCTGATTCAACTTATTAAACACACACACAAAAATTCATATTTTTCTTCTTTGCGTTTTTTCTTTCTGTACTCTCAGGGGCAATATGTGCTTGCCATAGAATAGATGAAAGTGAAGGCATGAAAATAATATCAAGAGGAGGAAAGTGTGAAGATAGAAGTTGGATTGGAAGACACTGAATGCTCAAAGAAGTAGCCAAACAAAGGGAAAGGGTGGCCTGGGCAACAAGGTGAAACCCCGTCTCTACAAAAAATATAAAAAATTAGCCAGGCATGGTGGCGTGTGCCTGTAGTCCCAGTTACTTGGGAGGCTGAGGTGAGATTGCCAAAATTTCAAGGCCTATTATTGATAATAACATGTGAGATTTGCTCTATTTACTGAGTGTCAATAATGAGCCAGGAACTAATTTAATCCTCCCAACAATCCTGTATGGTAGGTTTTATTATTCTGATTTTACAGATACGTGTGTAATCTGTAATTCAAAGAGTTTAAATAACTTTCCTAAATCCTTCTGCTAGTTAGCAGCTAAATATAACTGGAATCCAGGTCTTTGTTTTCACCCCTACCTCTCTCACCAGCAGCTCCCTGAACAGCTTTTCTTTTCATTCTCTTTCAATTTTCTCCGTACATGGCTCCTGAATGCCTCGTGTGTACAAGCTCTTTGCTTTTTTCTACTTGTCCCACACCCTCGTGATCTGCAGACAGTTAATCTTAACTTTTTCATTGCAAGGGAGAGAGATGCCTAGGAAGCAATGCTAGAATTTTTGGAACAAGGCAAAGAAACTAGAAGTTAATACATGAATGTTTGTTCGTATTGTATTTGCTTATGGATTAATCATCATCTATTACTGTTTGTTCCTATTGTGTTTACCTATGGATTTTTTCCCAATTCTAATTTTTACTGTTTTAAACTAATGAATGAGTTAAACATTTACCACTGCATAATTTGTACCTCAGTGTCTGTGTTTTCTATATATTTTGATGACTATTTTTGTTTATTCACTTTGAAGTGGTGAATAAATTAATGTTTCCATTCTGCATTTAACAACTTTTTTATAACCTCACGAAGTCTTTTGGTAACAGGCCATCCTACATCAAACCAAAGTGTCAAGTATTTATTAAGTGCAAATAAAAACGTGCTCACTCCTATAATAATTGTTACGAGGAAACAGAAGTCATAGAAGACTTGTTTCCTACTCTCATGAAGCTTGCAAGCCAGCTAGGATAATTAGTTAAGGGGAAAAAATAGTAAACAGTATGGGCCAATATACACTGAAGTATGAGATGGTTACTAGAAAAACTGTAAAAGTTTATAGAAGTGGGAGAATGATGGGGTTTGGGGTTGCCATGGGGAAGTGGGATTTCAGTTGGGTCCTTAAGGACATTATCACTTGGATGAACAGAGAAGAGATGAAACATTCCAGACCAGGGGAGCATGAGGAGAGGCAAAGAAACAGAAATGCATAATACCAGGGAATAATATAGATATACTAGATAGAAACCTTTCTATTTCTGTGCTTGTTGATTTAAGATTTGTTGCATGCCAACAATTGCCTTTCTATGCCATGTACATTTTGGTATCTGTCAATCACAGTTCTGTTGCATTTCATATGATATTTCTTATTTTAACTTGTTTTATTGTTGTATATGCTACTTACTTTAGACTTTATTATTTTACTTCATGGTAATGAAATAATACATAATTTTTTGTTCATAAATTGTTTCATGTGTATATCCCAGCACTTAGCTCAATACGGAACATATAATTGGTACACAGTTAATGCTATTGGTTGTATATGGGTATAGGAGTGTTAGTCTTAATCATTTAAAAAATTATTCTCTGAAGTCACCTCTTTTATATAATCCAAGCAGTATGAGAAAACAGGCTCAGGTGTATGGCACCATCCTAGAGATTGTAAGAGCAGATTGAAATATTTTTTCTCCTGTGTCTGCGAAGAAGAGGAAAGGTGAGAGCGAGAAAACATTCCATTACTTTAGAGAAAATGCCAGTGAGGATCTAAGTGTGAGAAGCTTTCCAAGTGATAGGAGGGCTCATGGCTTTGCTTCCCATTTGGTAACACTGCAGTGTTGTGACAAGATCCTAGATACTGTGGCAGACCTGTGGGTGGCCTCACTTGCAAGCATCTCAGAGACGTGCTCTCCTTGTACTAGGCCATGAAGTTAAATTTTGTTTGGAAACTGACTGGTTTATACGTCTCTTGGAAAGTAAGCATATTGCAGGTATTTATTTCCAGCACAACAGCGTCATTGGCTGTAACTAATAAATCCTTTACACTGAGACCAACTTTACTAAGTACTGGCATGGGTAGGAAATGCTCCTGGAGTGAAGACATTTCAAAGACATTTTAATACAGTGGCACCATGCAGAGGGCATTAATCTTTCTTGTGATTTCCTCTTATTGTAACAATGGAAAAGGCTTCTAATGTGCAAACCTCGTTAAATCAATCATCTTGGGAATTTACATGCACAGTGTGATAAGAGCAACAACTTTCTCTACCTTTAGGCAATTTTCCGTATGTTTTGAAGTTGGGATTTGGGGAAAATAAGCTCTTTGATGGATTTATGATTCAGCTTCAAATGTAATATTTGAATTCCACTTTATTAGCCAGAAGAAATAGAAAGCCCTAAACAGCTAATAAAGTATGTTTCATTTTTAGATAATATTTATTGTTTACACACTACTTTGGACACTCCCTTTATATCTTTAAGCTATAACTACACTGACGGAATATAATAGGAAATGTTTTCATTTGGAGCAAGGAGCTGTTTGTTCATTTCTTTATTTCTTTATAATTTTCTGCTATTTTTATTTAAGAATTTGACTGCTGTAAAAATTTGACTGCTGTTATTTGACAAAACAGTTTTATAAAGATGATTAGAAATGGTGAGGAAAATGTTTAAGACAAAGTGTCCTTAGAGTTACAGATTTTTGCCTCGATTTAACTTTTTCCTGTTTGTATATAGAAAAGTACATTGGAAAGGAACACTAACTTCCAGAATATTTTAAATTTGGACCTAAATGCACATAGGTTATGCCTACACAACTACAACATTAGCAGTGGCAGGTGGGAGTGACAAAGTTGTAGGAGGCACTGTTTTAATGCTAGATTAGGATCGGCCAGAGGAAATGCATAATTAAAACATTTGCTTTAAATCACTCTCTGCTGCTATATTAGGGAAAGAAATTGATTCAAAATGTTAACTTTGACTTGCTTTTATTAAATGCCATCCATTTTTACTTGGTGGCTGGAGTATGTCTGGGCATTTCACAGCTTGATGGATAGTATGGGAAGGTCTAAGAGTACACAGGAGTGCACTGGTACCATTGTTTACGAACAAGTATCTAAAGTATCTTAGAGTTAATTTGGTTAGTGTTTATATTGCTAGATCTCCAGTGAGCTCTGCCTGAACTATGTATTCCAGGAATATCTAGATTGGATCTATAGACTAAGTGGGGAACTCTTGCTCTGAACTCAAGAATTCCACAAATCAATATCATATTGAACCAATTTTTTCACTGCTTTCCTCTGTCCCTGGCTTAGTATTTTGGAAGTAATATTAACTCTTTCAGAGACATTGATGCTATATCTATAGCAAACAAGTGCTTTCTTTTTGTTTTTCGGTTTCTTTTCAGACCTAGAGCCAACAAGACAAGTGCTTTCTAATTGTGTTATACTGCCTTATGTTGCTCTATTGCAGTATGAATTGCACTCATAATGTAGCATTAAGATGTTGAAAACAGGAAGAAAAGAATTTACTGAAACAAAAGGACTGTATTATATTATAAAGGATTATATTCAAAATAAAATCCAGTTTAGTGTCAGAAAACTTTAAACATCAAGCCATCATATTTCAAAAGATATATTGTATATATGTTTGTATGTATATAAGCAAATGCATATATACGCACTGAAAACATTTTGCAAAAACTGAGATTATATTCTGTATTCTCAGAAAGGGGAGTGTAGAGTCATTTAAAATGTCATAATTGTGAGATTTCACATCTTAAAGGATCATGTATTCTGTAATCATCAAACATTTGTCAGACTCTTGTTTTCCCCAAAAACCATGGTTTGACTAAACCCTGTAGCCTTGAAAAAGAAGTATAACATTGTATTTCTGTGTGGCTAAAAGCTTACATGACGTCTAAGTAATCTTACATTATCTATTAGTTGACAACTTAGATCTCCCTGGCTCTGAGGAAAGTGACAACTGTGGGAGTGAAGTAAGCCATTGAGATAAGAGGTTATCTAAGATCTAACTGAAGAGTGGGCCTTTTTCAGATGTACTTTATTTGTAAAGGTGGTTTACATGTAGGTGGTATCATATGCATTTTTAAAAAAGAATACCATTTTCTTCTTCCTTCTCTTCCTCTTTTACACCTTTCTGTCCCTTATCATCTTGTCTCCCTTCCATAGGGTTTTGACCTAATACTTCCTGTAGGCTATTCTATGGCTTTCCTTGGCATCAAACCTTAATGAAAATTTCCTTGGTGACTGTCTACCTATGAACTTGAGTTACTCACAATGCAGCCTATCTTTCTTTGATATTCTTCTCTGGGGGAACTGAATGAGAAGGTCTCTATTCTCTAGTTCCTTGGCCTCTGTATAATTTTGAGATTTGAAAATTTGAACTGATGTTTACCTGATCACATTCAGGAAGCTGCACTAAGAGCTCTGGTTCTTTTAAGAAAGCTTCCAGAGATTATTAGATAAATGAGCAGAATATGTCCCTGAACACTGATGCTCTTATAATAATGTGACTAAAAAAGCAAAAAGCAGCAGTCCCCTCAGTGGCGAAAGGGCTGGTTTCTTTTCTCACCTGTGCAAAGAGCAACTACAAAGCAAGACCCCTACTGGGCGGAGGGGAAAGTACTCCAATGTAAAGTACTCTTATGTACAATTCAATTACAGATGAAGAGGAACGTGAACAACGTCAAACCTAGCAAGGAGTCGAGGGAAGAAGGCAAGGATTTAGTAAAGGCTTGGAGACAAATGTGTTACAGTATTTTTTATTATATTATATTATGTTATACTATATATTATACAGTCTTCATTATTATATTATTATCAATAAAATATTATATATCACATACAATCATTTTATACAATTAAATAAGTATTTTGCCAAAAAGTATTATGATAAAACTTTATATAAATAAATGGTGGCATTATTATTGTATTATTATTCCTTCCCTCATCACCAAGTGTGCTCCTCGTACAGGAAACTTTCAAATGTAATATAGAACATACTTGCTCCAAGCATATAATTCTGATTTAAAATAGAACCAGAACTAATTGTGTAAGAGTGTGTCAATGTACAACAATGGAATTTTAGATTTATTTTAAAAGTGGAGCACAATCTGTTAATAATGTGGTCTTATTTCCATTCTTCCCCTCTTCTGTGAGAGCAAAGGCCTTGGCACTCCATTCTTGGCTTACTCATTCCCACCCATTCTACTCCTGTCATCACACCGCATTGTTCTCACCACATCTCAGCTCCATATAAGGAAAGGCATGCCTTCACTCCCACCCTACTCTGTTTGCCTTGTCACCCTGGAATATGTGTTCTGCTCCCTGTTGCTTGTCTATTCTGGTGCTTTCCCTAGTGATTGATGCTGGCTTTCTGTATTAGTCTATTTGCATGCTGCTGATAAAGACATATCCAAGACTGGGAAGAAAAAGAAGTTTGAGGCTGGGTGCGGTGACTCACGCCTGTAATCCCAGCACTTTGGGAGGCTGAAGCGGGTGTATCACAAGGTCGGGAGTTCAAGACCAGCCTGGCCAACATGGTGAAACCCTGTCTCTACTAAAAATACAAAAATTAGCCCAGCATGGTGGCAGGCGCCTGTAATCCCAGCTACTCGGGAGGTGGAGGCAGAGAATTGCTTGAATTCGGGAGGTGGAGGTTGCAGTGAGACGAGATCACGCACTCCAGCCTAGGCGACACAGCAAGACTCAGTCTCAAAAAAAAAAAAAAAAGGGAAAAAGTTTTAATTGGACTTACAGTTCCACGTGGCAGGGGAGGCCTCAGAATCATGGCAGGAGGCAAAAGGCACTTCTTACATGGCAGCATCAAGAGAAAATGAGGAAGATGCAAAAGCAGAAACCCCTGATAAAACCATCAGATCTCGTGAGACTTATTCACTACCACCAGAACACTATGGGAGAAACTGCCCCCATAATTCAAATTATCTCCCACCAGGTCCCTCCCACAACACATGGGGATTATGGGAATACAATTCAAGATGAGATTTGGGTGGGGACACAGAGTCAAACCATATCACTTTCACACATTTGATCAGTATATACAATATTTTCCAGCATTCTCATGAACTCAATTTGGTATCCGTAAACTTCCTCCCTCCTTTGTGCCTTTAATCTTTCATACCATTTCCTTCATTAGGTTTTCCCATTTAGTTTTCAAATAAAACCAATTTAACTAGCAGATCTCCAGACAAATGGCTTAGGCTTGGAGTCCACCTTGTGTCTGCACCATGCTTGTCAGAATCTTGTGAGTGGCATTTCCAAACTCAGCTCTTGAGAAATTGATAATTGCCCTTGAATTGTTAAGAAGTTAAGCATCTTAATATTGTTGAATGACTTTGGACTGATTGATAAAGTTGGGTGTATGCTGCAAATGAGGGGTGGGAGTGCTTGGCAGTTCTCCAGAGAATGTTAGATATTGGGAAGAACACAGAAGGAAACTTGATACAATTCAGGAATTTGTAGAAGGGTTATGGAACAGTGTTGGGTCCTGAATATGGTTGAATGATGTTCAAAGTTGCTCCCTACCTGGAAGGAGCCAAGAAGAAGAAGAACTTGGTTAGGTGACGGGGACAGGATATCTTTTAGTGGCTGCTATTATATCTTTGAGTGAGGGAATCAAAGGTGACTAAGACCTATCCTTAAATAGCGAATATTGTTGTATTTTTCAAAGAACGAGTGCCATCAAAGAAGCAAAGCCAAATATAAACAACTACAGTTCAAAGCACAGTTTAAGTCCAAGTGGCTAAGCAAGAGAAGGAATCTTCACAAGGAGCCAAGATTATTAACAAGCATAAACCACAGTGAAGATGGCAGGAGGGGAGGGGTTAAAAAGGGATGAGATAGGAATGACTCCAGAGCTCACAATTGGATAGCTATTACTGTTTATTCATTTACTGTAAACTTGGAAGTTAAAAGCAATTGGAGAAAACTCAGGAAGTAGAAGTTTGTAGAAGCCAATCAACATGGTTATCTGACTTTTTTCAGAAGTCAGACTGTTAAACACTTCTGTTCAACAGGGCAGAGGAAATAGAAGAGAATAATTAGAAGTTTTAGGCTTTGGAATTGGCCTGGCAGATAGAGAGTTAAAAGGGTTGAAGTGGGGTAATTAAAGAGATTAGTGAACTAAAAAGACCATGCTTAAAAAATGAATTTCTGATTTGCTGGGAAGACTAGTTACTAGGAAACAATTGCCATGATGGAGCTAAATGAAGTAGGCTGCAGTAGTATAAATTCCTACCAAAGTTCTGATGAGATATTACTTCCTCTTATTTGGAATCAACTGTCCAAAAATCACATTCAAAATAACTTGCCCCTTTTCTTTGTTTATATTTTAAAATTTTATTTCTTCTTTTATGCTGTAAAGGAAGTTTGAAGCATTAACTTTTAATTTATCTATACAATGGAATATAGCTCTGTAAGAGGTTTGAAGATATGATACATGTGAGAAATGTACCTTCTACATTATTCATGTAACAAGCTGAGCTAGAAGAAATCTTACATTCTTGATCACTGTAGGACTAGAGCAAAAATGACTGGTTAGTCCAATTTGATGCTTGCCCGGTGACATCTCTGGGGGAGGTACATGAGTGAAAACCTGGAGCCATAAATGTATCACCACGTGGCTTTAAGGTGAACTACAGCAAATCAAACTTGCGGTTTCATGTTCAATTCAACCACAGCCTGTAGACCTGGATTATTTCAAATATAAATAAAGAAAATATGTGGTAAATTTCTAATCTGTGGGCTCATTGTAACTAGCTAATCTATATGATTCGGAAATAAAGTTTGGAGCTGAACTTTCTAGAAGCTAGTCTGTGTCAACTGAATATTTTCTGGATCCTGTCTCTACAATTTCTTACAATTTAAGCCTCCAGTCTACACAAGCAGCATAATTATATTTGGACCAGAAAGCATGGTATTCTTTTCTTGCAACAAACTTTCACACGTGAATTTTAGAGCTATGAAACTGTCTTCTTGTTGTTCTCAAAATGAGTATGAGCCATAAACAAATGGACAAACTACATGTCTAAAATGCCATTTCATGGACAAGTTTTAAAATTTACCATCTGCAGCCTACGTCTGAAGGGCAAATATTGCTTATGAAAATAATGATCTTTAGAGGTCTGTTTGGTCTCTACACATAGTGGAGTAATAGCCCTTAGGCTAGAAAGTGGTAAAGATGTTAACAGTTTAAGGTGGCCTTAAGTGGCAATGGACAAATTTGGACTAATATCTATTTGTGACTATTAAGAAATCCATGACTTTTATCCATCACACACACACAAGCACACAATCAGTGTCACCCAATTAAGAACGACTCCTCTTGTGTAACTAACTAAATTCCTTTGGCTACCAAGTCTATATTTTCTGCTTGATGCAGATATCTGGTCATTCCTTCCCAGGTGCCCGCTCTTTGTGTTTTCTACAGACTTTTCATCCTCAGTGGCCACCTGGTTTATATGCCTTTTGTTTGATTCTAGCTCCCATCTCCCTCGGTTCTGAATAGTTTTGCAGAGATCAGCATATTCTATTTCTTGCTGAATGCCTCTCTTTCTCTGAGTTACATTTTTTTTTGTACTCTCATTTAATCTTTTTCTTGCCTCTCTTCTAATTAACTCCATCGTTGCCTCCTTCATTATGCTTGTAATGAGGTCACCGAGGTGTTCCGAAATTTCTGCTTTTCCCATCTGCTTCAGGGTTCCAATTAGTTTCCTTTGGAAATCTGAAGTTTTGCTTAGTAGAAGCTTCCAATAAAGCTAACTCTAGGATGGCCTCTTTTCCTTCATCAGTTCAAATGAAAACTTTCAAGATTATACAGGCTCTCAATGGTGTAAAAGGCATCATTTTCTCTAGCATAGAAATGGAGTTAGAGACAACAACAGTTGAGCTACACAGAAAATTTAAATATCTTTTGAAAGAGTGTGAAGTCTGTTCTTCCAGATTGCAAGTAGATGCAGGTGAGAAATTTCAGAAAGACACTTTTATCCACACTTGGACGTGAAGGGTATGTAGCTAACACAACAAAATGAATTTTAAAGAAAATTTGCAAATAATATATTTTAAGGAAAAAGTTTTTAAACTTTAATATCGTGCTCCTAGAGCATCATTTTCATATAGAATTTTGCAACAGACCATTTTTTTTTAGCCACTGCTATGGACTGAATTGTGTCCTCCTCTAAATTCACATGTTGAAGCCCTAACCCCTAATGTGACTGTGTTTGGAGACAGGGACTGTAAACAGGTAATAAACGTTAAGTGAGGTCATAAAGGTGGGGCTCTAATCTGAGAGAATTTTTGTCTTTATAAGAAGAGGAAGATCGACCAGAGCTCTCTCTCTCTTCTCTAGGCATGTGCTCTGAGAAAAGGTCATCTGAGGACAAAGTACCCGTCTGCAAGCCAGGAAGAGAGCCCTTGCCAGAAACTAAACCCCGCTGGAAACTTGATTTTGCGCTTTCCAGCCTCTAGAACTGTAAGAAAATACATTTCTGTTGTTTACATCACCTAAACTGTGGCATTTTGTTATGGCAGCCTGAACAGACTAATACAGCCATTACAAGTAATTCTTTTATAAGAGAGAAGCACTTGTGTAGTTTGTAAAGCAGAACCTAAGTCTGCTTTATACAGTAAAATCTTACCTATATACAATAAGAACTTCCCTAAGTTAAGAAATATAGGAGAAAATGAAACCTTCATTTGTTGCTGGTGGGAAGATAAATTGGTATAGCCACTTTGAAAACAGTTTGGTATTTGCTCAAAATGTTAAACACAGAGTTACCGTATTACCCAGCAATTTTACTACTTGGCAGATAAGCAAAAGAAATGAAGGCATACAACCACACAAAACCTTGTATATGAATGTTTATAGCAGCATTATTCCTGATAGCCAAATAGTGGAAACAACCCAAATGTCTATCAAGTGATGAATGGATAAATAAAATATGGTATACCTACACAATGAAATATTATTTGGCTATAAAAATAAATAAAGTACTGGCATGCTACAACATGGATGATCCTTGAAAACATTATGCTAAGTGAAGGAAGCAAATCACAAAACTATATGTTGTATAATTCCATTTATATAAAATGCCTAGAATAGTCAAATCCATAGAGACAGAAAGTAGATTAGTGGTTGCCTGGAGCAAGGGAGTGCAATGTTGGGGGTGATTGCTAATTAAATGGTATGTAGAATCTCTTTCTGGGAAGATGAAAATGTTCTAGAATTTAGATTGTGGTGATTGTTGTACCATCCCGTGAACATACAAAAAACACTTTAAATGGGTGAACTGTATGATGTATGAATTATATTCCAATAAAGCAATTGAAGAACTGTACATATCCTTACATATACACATACACAGAAACATACAGCAAGAAAACATAAAATATCAATAAATGTTTCATATGTGTTTTCAGCTGAGTTTCTACTCACTTCTTTCGACATATATATATATATATATATATATATATATATAATTTTGTATACTGAATATAGTTTTCAATAACCAGAAAATAAATAAATATTATAAACAAAGTAAATGTTCTAAACTCTCCTGCCCTGGGCAAGGTTGTTCTCAGAGATTTCCCAACTAATAACAATGACAAGAACAACTCCTATCCACTCAAACTCTCTTCATCTATTGTTTACTATGTGCTGCTACCTGCTGGAAAGACAAGCTAAATAAAGTATATAAGCTCCTTGAGGATAGGGACTTTATTTTTATTCACTACTGTGAATAAAGAAAACTCTCAATTTGGTGAATGAATTAAAACCACAATGAGATACCATCTCACACCAGTCAGAATGGCTATTATTAAAAAATCAAAAAATAACAGATGCTGCTGAGACTGTGGAGAAAAGGGAATGTTCATACACTATTGATGGGAATTTAAATCAGTTCAGCCACTGTGAAAGGCAGTTTGGAGATTTCTCAAAGAATTTAAAATACAACTACCATTCGACCCAGCCATCCCATTACTGGGTATATACTCAAAGGAAAATCAATTGTTCTACAAAAAAGACATACACACTTGTATGTTCATCCCAGTGCTATTCACAATAGCACCTAAGTGCCCAATGATGGTGGATTGCATAAACAAAATGCCATACATACACCCCATGGAATATTACATAGTCATAAAAAGATAAAATTACGTCCTTTGCAGCAATATGGATCCAGGCTGGAGGCCATTATTCTAAGCAAAAATCACAGGGACAGCATGTTCTTATTTAGTGGGAGCTAAACATTGAGCACACATGGACATAAAGATGGAAACAACAGATACTGGGGACTACTGGGGTTGAGGGAGAGTGTGTGAAGGGTATGGGGTAAAAAACTACCTGTAGGGTACTATGTTCACTACTGGGTGACAAGATCATCTGTACTCCAAACCTTAGTGTCATGTAATATACCCATGTAACAAGTCTGCACTTGTATCCCATGAATTTAAAATGAAAGTTGAAATTATTTAAAACAAAAAAGAAAAAAGAGATGAATGAAGACATCACTGTATTTTCTTTCAGGCAGGTCACAATCTAGTGTGGTTGTGTGGAGTGCAAAAACAGGCAGTGGTTTACTAAGCATAGATACAGGGTGCTGTGGGAACATTTAGGAGAGACACAAAACCCAGGATAGGGTATTTAGGACAGGCATCTTTCGGAAGATAATTTTTTTTTTTTTTGAGACAGAGTTTCGCTCTTGTTGCCCAAGCTAGAGTGCAATGGCACAATCTAGGCTCACTGCAACCTCTGCCTCCTGGCTTCAAGTGATTCTCCTGCCTCAGCCTCCCGAGTAGCTGTGATTACAGGCATGCGCCACCATGCCCGGCTAATTTTGTATTTTTAGTAGAGACGGGGTTTCTCCATGTTGGTCAGACTGTCATTGAAATCCCGACCCCAGTTGATCCGCCCACCTTGGTCTCCCAAAGTGCTGGGATTACAGGCATGAGCCACTGTGCCCGGCCATGGAAGATAATTTCTCAGCTGAGTCCTGAAGAATGAATTGGTAGCAGGGAGGGAAGAAATTCTAGGCAGATAGAGTAGCCTATATCCTAAGACCCAAAGATGAGCTGGTGCATAGTCCACTCAAGGGATTTCAAAAGCTGTGGTTAAGTTTGGAGTGTTGAGTGAGTGTGGGTTGTAATGAGAGATGAGGTTGGAGGAATTTCAGAGGGTATAGATAATAAATCATAAAAAGCTCTACATGGAGTGATTTTATCTTAAGGCAATGTGAATCATTAGAAGGGTTTTATTTAGAAGGTGACTCTATTATGTTTGTACTTCTCTTGGTTTTGCAGACTATGCCATTTAAGTTCCTTTATTATGGTAGGTATTTACCTACAGGCTAGCCAGGACTAAGTTCAAAATAAAAAGAGAAGACTTTTTGGGTCTTTAATTAAAAATTCTTTTTTTTTTTTTTTGAGACAGAATCTCGATCTGTCACCCAGGCTGGAGTGCAGTGGCATGATCTTGGCTCACTGCAACCTCCACCTCCCCGGTTCAAGCTCTTCTCCCGCCTCACTCTCTTGAGTAGCTGGAATTATAGGTGTGTGCCACCACACCTGGCTAATTTTGGTATTTTTAATAGAAAGGGGGTTTCACCATATTGGCCAGGCTGGTCTTGAACTCCTAATCTCAAGTGATCCGCCCACCTCGGCCTCCCAAAGTGATTAGATGACAGGCGTAAGCCACCGTGCCCCGCTGTTAATTAGAAATTCTATTGCTTATGTGGCTCTCCCAGCTTCACTTCTTACACTGTTGATGAGGAAGTTGGGGTCCTAGTTGGGCCGGTGCTCTAGACTTGGTTGGCGGGAGCAGAGAGCTATGACTGTCAACGGAACTTCACTCTGGAGAGGTTTTACTGAAGGCTGTACTTTAAAGTGATCAGAGGCTCCAGCTGGTATTTCTAGCTCTCCCTAGATCTTCCACTGAGCAGATGCAGCCTCACCTTCCCCACTCAATATAGTTTTTGGTATTTTGGAGATCCTACCTGACAGGTGACTCCTTAGTTAAAGTTATAATTACTCTGGATGATATTTTAATTTTACCTGGCATTTTAAGCGCATAATATTTAAGCCATCTCTATCACTATCTTGGGTGGTAATGACGGTATTTTCTATGTATTTTGACTGGTATAAATAATGTCTGGCTTTTAACCTTATAAGCATTGTACACAATGAACCATATTCAAAGCCAAAATTATACACAACTAACCAGAGGTGGAATCATTAAATGCTTTCATGTGGGAAGGGAAGAATTCAGTGTAGAGAATGAGTTTGAAAGCAAGCTATTGGAGTGATCCATGTGAGGAACAATAGTGGCCTGACCTGACTTGGTAAGATGGCAGAAAAGTTGAAATGGCTAATGTATGAGCAAGTAGACATGGTAATGAATATGATGATAATAAGAATAGGGAACACTTACAAATAGCTTTGGTTTGTGCCAGGCAGTGTACTATGTTCCTTACCAAGGTTATCTTATTTTCTTTCTTTAATCCTCACAGCTGACTTTGTGAGTTACAGCTCTATCACTGATTTAGACACATCCCAACGTTGACTTGCATGGTGCTCTGACTCACCTTCTGAGCAATTTTAGCCATTGTCATACTGGTTTTCTATCAGTTCTGTCAACAGGCCTTGTTGTTTCTGACTTAGGGCCTTTGTGGATGCTGTGCTCTCTGTCTGGAATGCTCTGTACTCCCAGTCCCTCCAAACCCCAACTCATAGACATTTACCTAGTTAACATCTACTTTTAGATCTCAGATCAAATACTCCTTTCTCAGAGAGGCCTTCCTTGAGCCCCAAGTTCAGGTGAAGTCCAATTTTTTCATGATTTTATAATACTACACACATTTCTTTCCAATGATAATACCAGTCGTAAACTGATGTGTACTTAAGTGTTTAGTGGAATCATTGTTATTTCCTATACTAGGTTATAAAGTCCATGGGAATAGGAACTATGCTCAGATTTCAGTTTTATTTATTTATTTATTTAGAGACAGAGTCTCAGTCTGTTACCCCAGCTAGAGTGCAGTGCTGCAATTATAGCTCACTGAAACCTCAAACTCCTAAGTTCAAATGATCCTCCCACCTCAGCCTTCTGAGTAGCTGGGACTATTCGTATGCACCACCACACCTGGCTAATTTAAAATTTTTTTTCGAGACAGGGTCTCGTCATGTTGCCCAGGATGGTCTCGAACTCCTGGCCTCAAGCAATCCCCTCGCCTTGGTCTACCAAAGCTCTGGGAATTACAGGCATGATCTACCCTGCCTGGCTTATTTATTTTTAATCATCATGATATTTCCAGAATTTATCACATTGCATGGCATGCAGTAAGCATTCAATTAATGTTACTTGGATAGATTGTAAACTTGGAGACTTTCACTTTCCCTTATTTACTTTTCAAAATCTATTAGTTTACAATAGTTTCCTTATTGTACCTATGTCATCCCTTCACAACACTCAGAGTGGCCACAAGCACTCCAACAACTTATGCACTTTAGGCTGTCTCCAGAATGATGATACTCATCATATTTCTGTGACTTCCAACTTCTATCTGCCTCCTGGATTCACTCCTTTTCCTGTTACCAGCATTGCTCCAATGAGAACAAAGACTTTTAATTTTGCAGATTCATGATCAAACATGGAGATGTGTGCTTTTGAGTTGACCATTATTCAAGTCAAAACCTGGAGCAGTTATTTTTGAGCAAAAGGATGAGGAATGATCAAAGGCTTGGAATTTTTAGTGCAAATAAGGGTTGGTTCATGCATTTTAAAGGCATGACATTCATAATATCAGAGTGCAAGATGAAATTGCTAATGTAGAGAGCAGTACAAGAAGGTAGTAAGACTTTCGGCTTCAAAGGCAGGAGAAACCAGCAACTTGATCACTTTGTCTGCTTGAGAAAAAAAAAAGAGAGAGAGACAGAAAAGGAGACATTTTGAATTGGGTTTTCAAAAAGGCAAGAAATTACAAAATTGAACCCATTTTAAGATTTTCATTATGTAAAAAAATTGTATGTATATGTGAAAGGGAAATGACAAGGTGAAATAGTTTTTTCTTTGAAGGAAACAAGATTATAGGGTGAACTATTTCTTTATTTTGTTTTGATTTACATTTATATTGTCATACGACACATATATTTTTCAAGGAACTCCAAATCTTCTTTAAAGTTTCAAGGTATAATTTACAGAGTAGATCTACTATATGTGATGTTCCATGTTACATCATTTTAGTTAATCCCAACAATGACCCTGAGAGGAAGATGTTGAGCCGGAGGCAGGAGGAATTCTTGAGTCCAGGAGTTTGAGACAAGCCTGGGCAACATTGTGAGATCTCGTCTCTACAAAAAATAAAAAGTTAGCTGGGTGCAGTAGCACACACCTATAGTCTCAGCTACTTAGGGGGCTGAGGTGGGACAATTACTTGAGTCTGGGAGGCCAAGGCTGCAGTGAGCAGTGATCATGCCACCCACTCCAGCCTGGGTGACAGAGGAAGACCTTGTTCCAAAAACAAAACAAATGAAAAAAAAATGAAAGATAAAAAATTGCTTTAGAAGTTGAACAAGTTAAAAAAAAGAGATACTTTTTGTGTGTTGTAAGAGGTAGACCTAGGAGTTGAACCCTGCTTGATCTGATTCCAAGCTTAGTTTTAATCCATTGTCCTACTCTGCCTCTTTTCAGGGTAACGGGACACAGTCTTCTTAAAGAAGACTTTCCAAATTCCCTGAAACTGCTGAAAATATTTCTTCCTCTGCTGCTTTATTTAAATTAATGAGTTATTTCAATAAATAATTTATTTATTAATTATTGTTAAATATTAATATTTATTAAACATTTGGTGCACATATGCCAGTGATTGTTGTACTTTCTGCCTTTTTTTTTGTTGTTGTTGTTGTTGTTGAGATGGAATCTCACTCTTGTTGCTGTGCAGTGGCGTGATCTTAGTTCACTGCAACCTCCACCTCCCGGGTTCAAGCAATTCTCCTGCCTCAGCCTTGCAAGTAGCTAGGATTACAGGTGCCTGCCACCACGCCCAGCTAATTTTTATATTTTTGGTAGAGATGGGGTCTCACCATGTTGGTCAGGCTGGTCTCAAACTCCTGACCTCAGGTGATCTGCTCGGCTCGGCCTTTCAAAGTTCAGGGATTACAGGCGTGAACCACCGTGCCAGGCCATGTTGTAGTTTCTGAGTGAACAAGAGTGAATACAATGAATGAGGTCCTTACTCTTAGACTATTCTAGTAGAAGAAAGATAATAGATCTCAAATTAGCAAATAAGAAAGTTATGAGATCACAGTAAGTGATACTTAGAGAATGAATGTTGACTATCTGATTGTGATGACTTATTGGAGCCCAGAAGCTGCTTATTAAATAACATAATGGGAAGACCTCTCTGAGGAGCAAACGTTGAAGTTGGGATCCCAATGACAAGAATGATCCCAGCAGAAGAGCAAGTTTTTACCAAGGCCCTGTGGTAGAAACCAGAATATGTTCAAGTAATGGCAAGAGAAGACCAGTGTCACCAGCTCGTAAAAGATGCTAGAGAGAGACGCAGTTGGAAAAGTAGGATGTAGCCAGCTCATGAAGGGATTTGTAAGCCAGAGCAAGAAAAATGGATTTTAGTTTAATGGACATAGGAAGTCATTGGAGGATTTTAAGTGAAAAAATGTTATTCTTGCTGCTGTGTGGAAAATGGATTGTTGGGGAGCAAAAGAGTCGGGTCAGGGACATGAGTCAGAAGGCTATTGTGATATTCCCAGTGGGAGAAATGGCAGTGGTTTTGATGGGAGCAGTGGTTCTTAAATGAAAGTGTTCATGGGAATCACCAGAAGGGAGGGCTGAACAAGCTGATAGACCTGCTTCTTCCCCCTGGGGTCTGATTCAATACAAGTGGGATGGCGCCCATGTTCGCAGGTTGTGCTGATGCTGATTCTACAAAGGACAAAGGTGTTAGTAATGGAGATAAAAGGGGAAAGATTCAGGATGTATTTTAAAGTTGAGACTATAGAACTTGCCAATGGATTGAATTTAGGGAGTAAGAAAAGAAAAGAATCAACATTTAGAATTCTGGGGAAGTGCTAGAGGTGCTTTTTACTGAAATGAGGAGGTCTCAGGAAGGAACAGGTTTTGGTTGGAGAGGAGTAAGGGAAGAATCAAGATTTAATTGAATTAAGGGGAAATTATGAAGATGTTACATTTTATACATTTATACTGGATTGTATTAAGTAATTTTAGATGATTTATTAAGGTGATCTAATCTTTTCACTGAGGCAGTGGGGCTGGTACAGAGAACACAGCTAGCTTGAGCAGGTCCCAGTGAAGTGATGGAGGCCAGAATGGGGGCTGGAGCTAAAGAGGGCACATGGAGTCAGGAGTGGTAATAGGCACTTTCAGTCCCAGCTACCCTGGAGGCTGAGGTGGGAGAATTGTTTGAACCAAGGAGTTCAAAACCAGCCTGGGCAACATTAGTGAGACGCTGTCTATAAAAAAGTAATAATAAATAAAAATAAATAAATAAAATGAAGAAGGCACATGGGGGTGGTTGGAAGCTGTCTGCATGATTCAAGTCAGGTGGAGGAGTGAAGAGGAGTGACTGAATTAGAATGATGTCAGGAATAAATATGTAGGATTCTATACAATGGCATTATCTGATGTTTTTGTCTGGGACTTATGGGCTGCAATGTGGTTTGATGAACCAGGGCAGTTTACAGGATGAGTGGCAAGACATGAGCCTGGTTATTAATAATTACACATAATACTACTAACAACAACTAACCTTTATTGAGCGCATACACTTTTCTGGGCATTGCTGAGTGCTTTTCATAGGTTATCTAATTTAACTCTTACAATACCCCATGAGATAGGTGCCATTATTATTCCATTTTTATAATTCGGGAAACTGAGTCTGAGAGGATAACTTGCCTGAGGTCACATAGCTAGAAAAATTATAGAGCTGGGATTCATACTTTGTGCTGTTCAATATTTTAGAAAGTTTTTATCTGTACAAGTCTAAAACAGACATTTTGGGGGTACTAAAGAGCTCTTTTCTGCTTTGCTTACAAAATGTTTAATGTTAGGCTTTAGGCAAGAACATGCACCTCTGCCCCCCCGCCCCACTGCCCCTTTATAACATTAAAAAATCAAGATCCAGTAATTTTATCTGATAGCTCATGTTCCAGAATGTAATCTTTTATAAGCTTGAGGACTTTGCATGGTCTGTGTCTGAAAACAGTAACTTTTGCACATGATTAGCCTGAGTTTTTATTGCTATGTTTTATTTTAAGTGATAATAAATTAATTATATTCATGAAGGTGTTAAATTTGCTTGAGAGGATTTTTTTTTTTTTTTGCTTCCCAGAAAAGGGAAAATCCCCACCTTCTGGGATGTCAGTTTTTTTATCTGCTTCTCCTCCTTTCCCTTGCCTGACATCTTTAATCTCTTCTCCTATTTCTCAGACCTTCATCTTCCAAAATGATGTTTACTGGGAACATAGAGAACAAAAGATAGCCCAAACATACATCTCTAATGATAGGTGTGCCTTTATCTTCTGTACTCACTCTGACACTTCCCTGTGCTTATTCCACATCACTCTCCTGAACCTTGGCTGCTGGCATGATCCCTACACAGACAAGTGGGAGAATTAGACAGGCTCGCTTGGGGTACTAGAGAGATAAGAAAGATATTTTCTTAACACATTACATTTCATGGGATTTTTTTTTTTTCTGCCCAGAGAAGCGTTCTAGGGCTGTTCGCTCACTATTTTCCCCAAGTCTCTGAAAAAGTTATTCAATTGAAAACTTCAGAACCCGAACAAGGATGATAATACTGAGGACCCATCAACATATTATAGGCACTCTGAGGACAAGGAGATAGCTTTTATTAAAGAAATACATTTTCTATAGTACTATATTGTGCTATGTTGTCTTTTAGTAAGTATTATTCAACTTTTAAAATTTTGTAGAAACTGCTATTCTCACTGTGCAGCAAAGATCTACAATGTTTTATCCCTAGCTGGCTGGCCTTCATTTCTGCAGAAAGGTTTTTCAAAATACGCACTTTCATGCTTGTAATTTAAAAAATACTTTCCAAAAATCAGACTTTATTACATAAGCTTTGTGCTTTGAAGCAGTGTCATGGAAATATATACATAAATCATAATGTGTTTTGATTAGGCATTGATTTGAATTAAATGGAAAAGCAAGAAAATCCTGAGCTGACCTAGTAAATAAAAATATGATGTAATTGGGGTGCTTGGCAGAAATTCCTGTTCCTAAATGTTTCTTTAATAGTACTGATAGGTTACGACTATATTGGCATTAGCTGTTAGGAGTTGCTAATTTAAATGTAATCATGCCAGCAGTCAAGGTTCAGGAGAGTGACGTGAAATAAGCACAGGGAAGCGTCAGAGTGAGTACGGAGGATAAAGGCATGTGTATCATTAGAGATGCATGTTTGGGCTATCTTTTGTTCTCTTTCTATGTTCCCAATAAACATTTTGGAAGATGAAGGTCTGAGAAACAGGAGAAGAGATTAATCTCCTAATTTCCTGGAAGTAGCATCATGTTGTCACTAGTTAACAATTTATGTTGGAAATATTTGATATCTAGTTAAAAGTAATTGTTAATGAGAATGAGATCCAGGGAAGGTTGAAGCCAGAATTGGAATGGAATGGAAGGGCAGTTTTACGGAACTACTTTTTCATGGAGATGGACTGAAATGCGTGAGAGGAAAATACGAAGGCCTAACTGCCCCAGCTAGGCATGCCGAATCTCGCATTCTGAACCCTAACTCCACCAACGGATTTATTTGTTCAGTAAAACAAAGTAGGAAATTTGGCAGGAACTTCTGGTTAAGTATTTTGTCTGGGTCCTACACTTCTCTTGGTGCTACTGAGGCCCTCTCAGTTTTGAAGTTTATCTTGCTTAAAACCTCTGATGATAGGGAGGTGATAGGGATTTTAACTGTATTACATAACCGGCCTTTCTTCTTTGGCCAAAACAGTTTAACTTGGTTGGGGGGATGGAAAAGGGATGATTAATCTGAAACAAGGGCAGAAATGCGATGAGTTGGACCAATCAGATTCTCCTTTACTTATCTGAACTAAATGGAAAGAAGTAGGAGCTGAAGCTGAGAGGATGCTATGGTGTAAAGCTGGCACCATGGTGAGCCATAGGAAACCAAAGTGTTGAGGAAGCATACATTTTGAATAAGCAAAGGAGAGCAGTAATTATGACCACCTACCCCGGGAGAGGCTGATGTAGCCATTAAGTGGTTCTTTAAGCCTGTGGGTAATTTCACAGTAAACTTCCCTTCTCTTAAGAAGGCTCGTGTGAGCCTCTGTTGTAATCAAAGTAGCCCAACTAAAGTATTGCCTGAGTAATTTTTGCCTGGGATGACTTTGATGGTCAAATCCTGAAGTATGCCACCATTATGCCACCAAATTTCTAGAAGTAAGCAATTTCTAGATGTAGGATATAAGAAGCAGACAGCGCTATTTAAGAGGAATGAGGAATGTATTAAATTTGATGTGTTCAATGGCAATCTATTTTGAAAACCTCTCAGCCCATTTCAGTCTTCTCAGCCCACTTACTTCTCTGATCTAATCTTGTATGAAGATAAATTTTGAGACTATGCGTAGGTTTTTTTTTTTTTTTTTTAAGATGACTGCTTTTTACCTAGAGGGATGTTCATAAGTATAGGGAGATAACTATGGAATTATCTATAGGACTTGATCCCAGAAAGTAGATGTGAGTGAAATTTCACCCAGATTTACTTCACACACTACCATTCAATAACACCAGGGGCTACTCAAATTAAGTTTAAAACTTTTTTTTGGATTATTTTTAAAAGTATGTCCCATAGAAAAGTCTGCTATGGCAACATTTGACATGCCATCTATTCCTAACATTTTGGTTCCCACAAATGATTAGCTCTACCATAGAGTATGAAGAATAAATAAGAGCAAAAGATTATAAAATGAGACCATGTGTCCAAACATGCTATGTATGCCTTGGCAAACAGAATGCACATATTAAGACAAATCCCATCTAGCTTGCCAGATAACTGGGTCAAAGCTGGCACAAATAAGATTCCTGTTGGATAGAAAAGATAGGGAAGCTTTACAGTGGTCCCCTCGAAGTAGGGAGACTGTATAATTGATCATCCAGACTGAGACAGTTGAGAGTGGTAGGCACACTATTAATAATTACAGTAAGGTAATAGATGTAAAGTAAAAGTCTTCCAGGAAACTGATTAGATGGATACCCTAGAAGGAAGTCATTGATTATTTTCGCTTTAAAATTTCTTTTGTCTAATGGCCAAAGAGCTAAAAGTAGGTCCTGAACTTGGAAAGAATATTCTAAAATCCAGATTTCTTGAAAATGCCTACTGTTTAACACATTGGAGTTTTTATCTTTGGGACCATAACTGCCAAATTTTAAAAGAGTAAACTTGAGCATCGAGGCATTGCTGCAGAAATTTTACCCAACTTAAAGACAGTGCACCTTGTAGGACTGATGCAAGGAGTCTTACCTGCCAGGGTCGTTAGTTCTCTTGGCCAGGCACATCAACCCTGAAGGCTCTGGGCCAGGTCGTGTGTGCTAGAATTAGGTTTTTTTTTGGACTTGGGGTAAAATTTACATATAAAATTCACCATTTTAACCATTATAAAGCATACAATTCAGTGGCTTTTAGTACATGCACAATGCTGTGCAACCATCAGTACCGATGTTGGTACAGAACTTTTTTTTTTTTTTTTGAGACACGGTCGCACTCTGTCACCCAGGCTGCAATGCAATGGCACAGTCATGGTTTACTACAGTCTTGACCTCCTGGGCTCAAACAATCCTCTCTCCTCACTTCCGAAGTAGCTGGGACTACAGGTGCATGCCTCCACACCTGGCTATTTTTTTATTTTTATTTTTGTGGAATGGGGTCTTGCTATATTGCCCAGGCTGGCCTTGAACTCCTGGGTCCAAAAGTCCTCCCACCTCAGCCTCTCAAAGTGCTGGGATTATGGGCATGAACCACCACACCTGGCCTGCTTAATTGTTTTCTTTAAGTCAATTAAAACTTTTACCTAAGTAAATTTATTTTAAAACAAGTATTTTTCACTTCCAAAATTACAAATTTGACATGATAGATAAAAAAAATTAATGTTTGCTGTTTACCACTTAAAGTGGTTTCATGTACCACCAGTTGACCACATACCACATTTTGGTGCCACCAGGCCTGGTTACATTTTAAAATTTTTGTAGGTTGGTCTCAAACTTCTGGGCTCAAGCAATCCTCCCACTTTGGCCTCCTAAAGTGCTGGGATTATATAGGCATGAGCCATGGTGCCCAGCCCAGAAAATTTTTATTAACTTAAAAGGAAACCTCATATCCATTAAGCAATCACTCCCTAGTTCCTTCCTCTCCTTAGCCCCTGGCAACCACTGAACTGTTTGCTGTCTCTGTGGATTTGCCTATTCTGTGTATAACATATGAAAGAAATCATTCAATATGTGGCCTTTGTGTCTGACTTCTTCCCTTAGCATAATGCTTTCAGAGTTCATCCATGTTGTTTATCAATATTTCATTACTTTCTACAGGTGAATAATTGTATGGATATACCACATTTTGTTTATCCATTCATCTGTTGATGGGTATTTGGGTTGTTTCCACCTTTTGACACTTTTGAATAGTGCTGTTATGAACATTCATGTAAAAATTTTTGTTTCAAATCCTGTCTTCAATTCTTTGGGACATATCCCTAGGACTGCAATTGCTGGGTCATATGTTAAACTTTTTGAGGAACCATGGAATTAGTTTTATGAGCAGGATACCTTTAAGGGTATTCTCAAGGAGGTCGTGAAAGAGAGGCAGTTGTGGGTGTTTTATCGATGCTGAGAACCATTTCCTTAAAAGGTTGAGGCTCAGAGATTTTCTAACACTTGTTTGCCTACTCCTAAACTAGGCAGACTAAAGGAGGAAGCATTAACATCCAGCTCCTTACTCCACCAATGGATTTGTTTATTCAGTAAAACTAAGAAGGAAAATGGGCAGGAAGTTTTGTTAAGATTTTTCTCTGGGTCCTATATTTCTCTTAGTGCTACTGAGTCTCTCTCATTTCTGAAGTTTATCTTGAGTTTACTAATCTTCAACATTTACAAAAGCAGACATTACAGTATTTTTTATTTTGTATTTGCCAAATACTACTATTCCTCAGAAGCTGATTTTTCCATATCTTATGAATGTGTTATTTTCCTGTTTTTGATATGAAATTGCTAATTTAAAAAGAAACTACTTTAAAACATATGATATAAACACACTGCTTTTTTCTTTGTCTCCTACTATGCAATATTCCTATCTTTACGAAATTGTGTTTATTTTTTCCCACGAAATAGCTTATTTACTAGAAATAAATCCCTTCTTTGCATAGGAACAGAAGAACCACATGTCATTGGAAAGCTAGCAGATAGGAGTCTGTGATTCTGACTATTTTACCAATATTATTTCAGAAGTTTAAACAGAGGGTTGACTAGCTTCCAAATTAAATTGGAAATACTGTAATTTGCTTTGGTTTCTTTTGGATGAAGGGTCCAAGAAACAAGATGTATCCTGGGTGTTTTTTTTTTTTGCTTTTCAACTAATGAGTGGGCATGGAATACCTGGGGGAGTTATCCGTGCAATTGCCACCCATTATGTTAAATGGTGGTTTTTAATTGTTTCCTAGTTTCACAAAAATTTTCTGCCTTTTGGAATGTTCATTCAACAGATTTATTACTTATCAACAGAAAACATTCTATACATGTGTATACTTTTTAGCTCGTATATGATAAATTTCTTTGCTTAATTTAAATAGCTTTTTTGGGGGATGCATATATACAAAATATTGGAGCACATTAAAAAACACAATTTATAATCATGATTATACCAGGGCCAATTGATTATATTTCCATGCTCATTTATTACAGGACATCAGAGGAAAATATTCTTTACTTTATCCTCTATTCAGAGAATTTTATTTAAAATTTTTGTCTTTCCATTATTGTGACATTTATTTTGTGAAACAAATTAACTTCCCATTTATGCTCCCAAGTGATACACCTTTATTGATTAAATTAAAGAAATTCCAATTTTTCTTTATTTAATTTCAAACATTTCCTGTGTTATAAAACTGGCATGATCTATAAATATTAAAGTCAAGATCATAATTAATAAAATAATTAGAGGCAATGACAATGAGAGGAATGAACTAATGAGCAAGACTAGTGCAGGCAATGTTTCATGTAAAAGAAAATGTGCAACATGCACTAGAAACCTCACAGAAAGGTTATAGGTTGGCACTTTGATCAGATAATTAATCTTGATTATTTTAGAGACCCAGTGTGGTCTGATTGTATGTGTGTGTTTACTCTCCTATGTATATTTATATATACATTTTAAAATTCTACAGAATCAACAATAGAATGCAAATTGTAATTTGTTCAAGTTTTTTTCCCACCAGTTTTATTCAAACACTATCATTGTAAACCTTGAGGTCTGAACATAATACTTTGGTGTTAAATGTTGGAAAAAGGATGGTTAGCAAAGGAAAATCATCCTGACGTACCAGCCTCTTTGACTGGGAAAGAAATAAAAATAACCAAGAAGAGAGAACAGCAGCAGAGGGACAGCATCTGTTTTTAAGAGCTGCATCTCATGGACTCATTCATTAAAATCCCAGTGTGCCTAAGCTTGACTTCCATGAAGCTTTATTTTAACTGTGTTAGATTTGGAGTGGAGAGAAGAAAAGAGAGGGAGAGGTTGAGGGAGAGTGTCCCCATTATAAGTATTTCATCTGCTACTACATCAGATAATATCTACCATGGGAATTGTAAACTTTCAGGCATAGTGATATATTTTTGAACATCTGAGATACTACACACTGAAAACACCATGAAATAAAAATAATCTCTTCACACTTCCCAACTGGCTGTTTATCAACTTTTTCCTTTCCCACATTTGTGCATGAAGTGTCCCTTCGCAGCCAGAAACCCTGTGGTGTTTTTGGCTCTGATTTGGATAGTAACTTGCTTATTTTCAAAGTTAACGGCAGAAAGCAAAGAAAAATGTAGTCCATTAGTGTGTTACATTATGTAAAGAAAACAAGATTGCTAAATACTGCCATCCAGTATACTTTCCAAGCATTTATTTAAACCTTTTCATTTCAAATCAAACATCAAATCGAACAGCCCCCAAATATTAGAGTTAAAAAATGTGAAGTCTCTGGAGGTCTTAGAGGAACTCATCATTTATTTAAACTTTTTGTAAACCCATCCTCTATCCAGCAACCTCCAAGGGGAAACATATATATATATATATATATATATAAACATATACATATATATATACTTAACCACAGCAAATATTGAATATTGACTTTCCTGTTTTTCTTTCCTTTCCTCTCTCAAGGGAAGAAGTGTAGGGTTTAATTTTCTCTATGTGTGTATGAATATATGTGTGTGTGTTGCAAATTTAATAAGCAATGACAATAAAAGATGAGTAAAGTGGGTTGCTGGACAAAAATGGTATGTGATTCCACAACTTGCCTTGAGGTTCATCAGGTACAAGTTTTATAACAAAATCTGAGCAGAACATTTCAGTTTTGCGGAAGAGAGTGAAGCTAAATATATGCTGTCTGTCACTGGGCTATGAGGGATATGAAAGGGCTATTAAAGCAGATTTTTCCTCCTTAGGTAGAAGAGGCTCCTGCTAATATGCTATTTCAGAAGCAAAATTCAGTGCTAGTTTCTAGGCCAATAATTGCAAAAAATGTTTCATTTTTCTCAGTATAATTAATTTATGTACTCTTAGAATTAAAAGATATCTTCTCTCTGTTCATGTAAACCAAACAAATAATACCATATTTTCATGTACTAATTGTATATATAAAGGCAACTATGCACTTATTCTATGTATCTTTGTAAGTATATAGGAAATAGTTTAGACGAATACACCAGTAACTGGTAACAGTGCTTACCCTTGGGAACTGATTTGGATTTTCATTAGGGTGACCAACTGATAATTTAGAGTTCTTTGTAATGTTTGCTGTTTAATGCAAGTACATAAATGTGTCATTTGAGAAATCAAAAACTGGAATAATTTTAAAAGGAGTTTTTTTTTCCTAGGCTCTTGGCCTTAAATGGAATATCCAAGCTATTCAAGATAGCCTGTTATTTTTCACTCCAAGTTTTTGTTGATGGAGAGCTTCATTCCTAGTTACTCCTGTTTTCTAAACCCCAGGCTTGAATTTTTAAAAAATCTGTGAGTTAAATTAAGACAACCTATATATCTCTAAGCATTTCCCTTAATTCTGTTTTCTTTGTAAAAGATGAATATAAGTGAACAACGCAGGACATTGAGAAACATATCATGAAACGATAGGACGTTTCTGAAAATTTCTAAATAATAGCAACATTAAGGACAATTTCACCATCAGCATTCCTAATATCATGGATTTGTTTATGAAATAAAGTGTACGATCAAGAGTATCAACAATACTAGGGTTTTTTTTTGTATAAAGCATTTAGTTGTAAATATCATAATCCAAATGACTAGGTGTGCAGGTAAAAATGTAAAATGGATTGAGAGCTGTACAATGGGGTTTTCATTGTACATTTTATTGTACATTTCATCTGCACAGGTAGCAGTTACCTTCAGTAGTGGTATTTTTAAAACAGAAGAGACAACAACACAACAAAGTATTTATGTAATTGGGATAAAGCAGTCCCCAGGCTCTGCATGCAAGGACAGTCACACAGTTTTTCCTTTGCTAGGTTAAAGTAGGATTGGCTTAAGCCTCCACATGCCATGCTGGCCAGAAGTATAGTATTGCATACTTAGGGGGCCAGTCTGTTTCCAAGATTGTCTAAGAATTTAAGGGATTTTACAAACCCAGAGGAAGCCCTTCTCCAACAGTACTTCCAAGCACAGATGAGCCTTGTGTCAGCTTTGTGACTGGACTGCCATCAGTTAGTTTGCTTTTCACTGATGTGTTCTGCTGTTATTGAGCTCTGGCCTTCCTCCATCTGTTAGTCTATGCAGCAGAAAACTTTCCTGGGGCTCACTCAAGTGGTCCTTCAAAACAGGATGACTTCAATCCCTCAAAGGCAGGCATAGCTCTGGATATTCCTCAGTGCCTCCCCCTGCCCTCTCAATCACACACACACACACACAGTTCTTTTCCTTGGAGACTTGATTGCTGGGTACAATGCTCTTTCAGTGCACACTTATTGATAATCTCACAATTACCTGTCCATCTTTCCCTCCCATTAAATGAGAATATTTAATTTTTGCCTCAAGAGTTTAGTTGCTAGACCAGGCTTCATTTTTTTTTTTTAAAGAAATAAAAGAAATTAGGTCTTACTCTGCCATCCAGGCTGGAATACAGTGGCATGATCATATAGCTCACTGCAGCCCTGAAACTCATGGGCTCAAGTGATCTCATCTCAACCTCCCTATTAGCTAGGACTATAGGTGTGCAACACCATGCCTGGCTAATTAAATTTTTTTTTGTAGAGACAGGGTCTTGCTATGTTGCCCAGGCTGGTCTTGAACTCATGGCTTCAAGTGATCCTCCTGCCTCAGTCTCCAAAGCATTGGGATTACAGGCATGAACCACTGTGCCTAACATGATCCATTTTTTAAGAAAGGCCATTTCTGTTCTCTTGACTTATTCCCTAGCCTTCACTTATGTTTATGGGACAACTCTCAGTGCACCCCTAATTTCTATTTACTTGCTTGCCTGCTTTACTTACCATCCAGGCTCGCTGAATACCACTACCCTTGGTTGGTATGGCACAAAATGATATTTCTAATCTTTCTACTGTATTAGTAAACTGTTTAACATGATAAACTTCTTGAATTTCTAGTAATTGAGAATTTTAGGGTTTGGGTTCCATGAAACAAGTAATCACAAAGAAGACTATGTATTATTTAAATTTCATAACAAAATTTATGAAGAGTTTACTTATGTTGAAAAGGGTTATGTACAAAGGTAAAATTGAAAACCTTTCATCTTTTTGGGTATTAAATTTCTGATCATATTAGTAGAAAAAGAATCTCATTTATTGCAAACTTAATTTGTGCCACAAGGATCATTAGCTGTGATATCAGTGTGGCCACATCATAGTATGAGCAAATCATCACTTCCTTCTTTAGAAAAAAGTACAACAGTATAAAAATATGTTGGAAAAACAAAGGCTGTAGTTTTGGTTTACATATTCTAACAAGTTAAACCTGAAATATCGATATAATCTTAGAAACTCTAGTATGATAACCTCACAATAATTAAACATATTAAGGAGCAACAACTTTATATATATTTTGTAAATAACTTCTCCCAAGTTATATCAACACAGATTTATCAAAAGGATATTAGCATCAACTTAAACTTGATAATATTGCCCCTTTGCTGGTAGCTCTGTTTAGCTGACTGGGGTTTGTCTGGATAGCAATTAAGGCTCTCAGTTTAGAAAGCCTGATAAGGTTACCATCATTTCTAATAGCTATATTGTTTGGGCCATTGTTTTTGCCTATAGATAGTAATCCTCTTGCAAGGCTTAAACATTAATCTAATCTTCCCTTTATGCAGCCTCTAGGTCATCTTAGGTTGAATCTGTACTCATAATACTTTATTTGTGTCACAATATCCTATGACCCAAATCTTTCTTGAAAAGCTGCAAAATCCAAGAAATGGGGAAAATGGCAATATTATTAGTTGGCAATGGCACACATTTTCCTTTACAGAACTTTGAATTATGCCTTTTTAGCAGATTTATGATCACGCAGGGCACTGAGTCTTGCACAGCTGTGGTTTAACCTCAAGTACTTTTGTCACATTTTGTTTTTTTTTATAAAATGTGTTTCAATTCTGACATTTAGAAGATTGCAGCTTTGAAGAATTTGTGTGGACCTTCTGCAAGCATTTTATTTTGCTAATGAACTAAAATTGATCTCTGTAATTGAAAGATAATGATACTATTTGAGTGTAATGACTAAATACCAAGTGAAATTTTGCACAGATGAAATTCTACACAACCCTGGATATAATATGACTGCTTTATGTTAATTGTGAAATCACATTGTATAGCTTCTCTAAATTGTTTAATTACTAAAGTATAATAATAGATGAAATGAGCAGTGGGAAGGATGATAGACTGGACGCCTGCAGACTTGAGTTCCAATCTGGACATGTGAAACCTTGAGCAAGTCCCTTAATTTCCTTGGGACTCAGTTTTTACCTATAGACTTGGTAGAACAAGGTTATTTAAGGTCTCTTGCAGCTCTTCCATCTTTATGAATCTGAATCCCACCAAATTGATTTTTCATAGTCAGTAAAAAATCTGAACAAAGCTGAACTGTGAAATTTTTGACAAGCATTAACAGGATTGAACATGTTTTAGACGCTCAGTGTTCTGTAGGAGAAAAGAACAGTTAAGAACTACCCCCATCCCTAACCCACCCTATACATAACTGGTGTTTCTTTAAATTTGAAACTGCAATTTCCAGTTACTCTAAACTGGTTTTGTACTTCTTGTGGTAAGGACAGATAGAGAATGCTCCAACCTATCATTTCACAGGGCATGTTGCACTTTATAAACAGTAACGAACAGTGGGTTGGGTGGGAGATCTGGATCAGTTTGGGTGGTGTATAGTCCAGACTACACTAGATTTATCTTCGATACAGGCTCACAAATCTTACTGAGATTTTTTTCCCCCTGGGGAGTAAGAAAATAAGAGATGCAGAAAAACCCAACTGCTGGCAATACCAGGGAACCTGCTTTATTAAATTTTCCCCAGGGAGGTTCATTATTAAGCTCTGAAATATAAAATCTTACTATAAATGGCAGATGGGGACTTGTACTCTCTTTATTTGTAATATGCATATTTTACTAATTTCCTACTAAAATCAAACTTACCGATTCTCTCCCTCTCTCTCTCTCTCTCTCACACACACACACACACACACACACACACACACACACTTCTCTGTAGAATTTTGTGGGTGGACACGGAATATTAAATTGTACAGAGAATGTTCACATTCTCCTTGAAACAAAGATTAATGGAGGTTCTTACGTACCATTTGTATTGCCTTTGCATTTCTAGAGTCTATGTAAGATACCCGTGATGAAAACATCAGAGAGAAGATTTTAGAAACAGGTAAAACAGAGTTGCTGTTTTACCTGTTTACCAGAAAATATCTAGCTTTATTTTTACTGAGGGATAAAAATACTTTATGCACATACATTTGAAATGAAAAGGTATAAATAAAAATGCAGTTGTAGAACAGAAAACCTGAAATAATAGATTATAATTTATTTGCTTTAGTATTCACAGGAGGTTAGTTTTTAGCTGTTTACATTAATATTACGTTTTTTTTTGTCAGGTAACCTCTGAGTCACAATATTTGATCACACTTAACACTGTTTTTAAAGGACAGAATTTAGGGTTTTTTTTTTGTTTGTTTTTAATAAATAGTATTCTATTGTCCTGAAAAAAGAATGATGTTATCATAGGCTTTTGTTCTGAACAAACTAATTCCCTGTTTGCCACTCATAATTTTTTAAAAATTATGATTAAAACACTAAATAATTCAGTTTAATTTACACAGAGCGAAATACATTTTTTTTGCTATAATTCAGAAATGTCAAGCCATTAAAGGGTTTTCGTAGGCAGAACCTGAAAAAGAAATGAGAAAGGAAGCGCCTAGAATGGCAAAAGATGTTGGGATTAGGAGGCTATTAATGGAGGGCCTAGAAGAAATAACAGTGAACACAAAATGTTGGTTTAGGCATGAAGTAAGCCCAGGAACACACTGGATGCACCTGCAATCACAGCAAAACCTATGTTAGTTTTTCTGTGATTGGGTTGGCTTTTCTGAAAAACAGGGATAATGGTAGAAAAATAAGTATAAGGCAAAAGCACAGTAAAATCTGCTTGGAAACCATTTATATTTGAAAATTATTTTTAAATGAAAAGATTATTTTCTGTGAAAGTTTAAATAATATATTGAATCAGATTTTAATGTAATAACTTAGCAAAAAAAACCCAAAACAGGGATGTTACTTAGGGGAAGTCACCCTTAATGTTCAGGAAAAATGCCATTTAATTGATAGCATCAATTGAGATCAAGCCATAATATGAAATCAAATTTTTCTAGAAAACTGACAAAAGATAATTTACCTTAAAGTCTTATGTAAAAAGAAGTAATTATACTGTACTTCAATAAAAATGGGAGAAAAAACACAAGAACATCAAGGTTTATGTATATAATTAAAATCTTTTTTCACCATCAGTCATTTTCATTTTCCAAATTGATACTATTTTTAAAAAATTAAATATGTATATATATATTTGTATTTTGACGATCATCTTCATCACGGTCATTCTTTGAACCAGGAAAAAATGAAATTATATTACAACTGTGCGACCAGACTGCTGAACAGGTTTGTTGAATTCTGTGTTGTGGGCTTAAGAACCAGCACGTGCCCTGGCGAAGTTCCTCTTGAACATGCTCCTGTTCTTCTGAGTCGGTGATTCAGGCACGGATGAGTTCAAGTTCGTTTACACAGGGGCTCTTTCTTTCTGGCTCTTAGTATGTAAATTTGTGAATACTATATAGACAATGATGAATGGTACCTTGATTAATTAAGTCTGTGAATGCTATTTTATTTTAGAGACTAAAAGGGTAAACTTCTATGTTGTCTAAATGTTGTTGGCTAGTGGGGGAAGGGACCAGAAAACAAGGCCATCTTTCCTATATTTGGCTTCTAACTACACTCTGTTATGATTTAAAAAAACTGAAGCTCAGACATTATTTTATTTTTAGTGCCCCCAGATGCCTTAATCAGGGTGCCTTTTTGTTATTGTTTTTCTGCAAACTTCCAGACTTTTCATAATGTATTACCCGAACCCTCTATTAGAGAGATGACAACAAAGTAATGTGGCAAGTATTAGCCTGAGTTTGCTTTCTTCATCAAGAGAAAAGCTATTAGAAATAAAATGCCAGCAGTTTTTTCAAAAACTGGTTTAGAGACCGATAGTTCTCAAAGCATGGTCCCTGGACAAGCAAGCATAACATTGCCTAGAACTTGATAAAAATGCAAATCAGTAGGGCCTACTGAAGCCCTACGGAATCAGGAACCCTGGAAATATGCTCAGCAATCTGTGTTTTTACAGGCCCTCTGGGCTTGTGAGCTCAAGTTTGGGAAAGGATGTCTAGAGAGCAGGGTTCTTGTTTCAGTTCTGCCATTTTCTAACCATTAGGTCTTGGTAAATTCACTTAACTTTTCTGAACCTTTGGTTCTCCCATCCATAAAGTGGGAGATGATCAACAATGGCTCTTCCAGTTCTAACATTCTGTAAATCTGGGATTCTAATTACTTGGTGAAAGAAAATTCATTAGGGAAAAACAATGCCTAGACATCTGGCTACAGTGATAAATCTGATATTGCTCAGTTATATACAACTTCCACATGTTTAATGTACAGTACAGTGATCCTTCTCAATCCTCATTAATTCTGTGTCTTCCTTGTAGCTGTTACTGTAAAATAAAATGAGCCTGCTAAATAACTCAAGACCACTTCAATTGCAAATAAGTAGAATAGATAACAGTGATCTTACTTTTAATTGCTGAAGATGATATAAAGCATCAGTGATATTATAAAGTGTAATTCAAAAGTACACAACTTTCATTAGAAGACCTTCCTCCCAAATTCATCATAAGCCGAAATAATGCTCAGAAAGTATGTAATTAAGTCTATAAGCAGTAATAGAGTGATGTGACCCCTTTTTACATTCAGTAACATATTTAAAGTTAAAAAATGATAAACATAAATTTTACTAAAGATCTGCTGAAACACACTTCTAGTACTCTGATGGAGATTAGTTGGCTCAAATGGCCAAAGGGCAAATCTTTTACTGTAAGATTTTCTATTCTCCTAAAAGTAACTTTCGAAGTGCAACATGTTTTTCAATTCATTCAGAGGTATGTTACATGGTTTGGGAAGCTATAGCTTTACTGAAAAATGCTATATGTATGTTTTTGTTAGTATTAGATGTGAACATGAATATTTAGATCATATAAACTGGGATGCAGGTCTGCTCTAAGTGGCTATGAACCCTGGGTACTGAGAAGTGCAGGTGCTGACATCTTGTGTATTTTTGTAATGTTAATACTGCAGACAAATTAACCTTCTTCATCCCATTATTGTACTAATCTGAGTCATTATTTAAATGTAAAAAACATGCCAATTTTTAAAAGACACACCAATGATAAATCTGCTTTGACTAATGTGAAGTAACTGGACAGAAGATTCCTGATGTTAAAGAGAAAAATGCACACACAACACACCACACACATGTGACATGGGTATGATCTGACTTTCCTTGTCTGGGTCTGTTCATAATTTCATTCAATAGAGTTGAATACAATATACACTTGGTTGCTTTGTTTAAAAGCCTCTAGCCGTGTATGTTCTTGCTTTTTTCTTATACAATAGAATGCTAGTAATTGTAAGCTTGTTTATGATATTGTGGAAGCAATATGAATATGATAGTTTTTATTATTTTTGTAGCTTATATTCTTGGTTTATATAAATCAGGCAGCTATTTTAAAAAATATATTTGCAAGTGAGGTCTTGAAGAAGCTTCATATAAAATTATATGATGCATTTCAATTGAGGGTGACTCTTCAGTATTTTGAAGACAGTTATCATGTACTGTCACTTATAATAAATAATTGCAAATTGTTTTCTTTTGGCTTTAGGTGGACACCGAAATTCTTTGCCTGAAAACCTTTTAAAAATATGAAAACAAGACAAAAAATGGCTGGGTTTTCTTTTAGAGTGGCAATGTCATTTGTCCAGAAGGGGGAGCTCTCAGTCCGCATGCAGCGGAGCAAGGCAGACAGTCTGGTATCTTATCTGCTGCTTGGGAAATTGTCTGACAGGAAAATATCAACACAAACCATGCGATTTGCCGCTGGAGCACGCTGGACCTCATCTGCTTAAAAAGATGCACGGATATAGTCATCACAGTTCATAATTTAATAAACTGCTAAAAAAACCACACATTTTCATTTTAGCGACTTTGGTCTCACAACTAAATTCACATTGCTACAAAGACATTTGAATTTTGCACTAATATGTCATGAGCACTGCACCCATTGCAAATTAATGAGTCTCTGAATAGCACTGTGCATTTGTCATTTGAATTTATGCTAATGCAGTGAGGTCTCCTGGTGATGCTGATAGTCCATAGCAGCTGCTTGAACCACAAAATATATCGGCACTTCCCTTCTACTTTATATTGCTACCTCCTTTTTTGGCTTTTCTGGCCTGTCACTTAGGCAGAAATTCTGTAACTGGTTATTGATAGGGCTGCTAATTATCTGTGACTTTACACTATTGGCCTAACCCCCAACACTGAGAAGAAGTAATGGATCAGTGTTGAGAGAATTATGTACATCACATAGAGACAGTCTCAGACCAGGAGGTCAGGAGGAGTTCACTGAGAACCAATGGTATTTATAAAGGATGTTATATGTAAATTGGCAATATTTTTTCAGTGATATCATGTCATTTATATCAATAAATCAATCTAAGAAAGTGACTGTAATTTTTGTAACCGTAATGAACAGCATTTATATGTGTGTGCAAAAATAGAAGGGGGTCCTTTCATTTTTTTCCTTTTCTAGTCACATTGCAATCTGAAAAAATGATCATCAGGGATGCAGAGTCTTCATTATGGTTCTACAAACTGCCTGTTGGTCAAAGAGATGGGGTAACAAAGAATCCAGTGATGGGATTATTGGAGTAAGGGGAGGGAGAAGCGCAAATAACTATTTTTATGGGACAAGTTCATGACAAAGGGGTCCCAGTGTCTGTTGTTGTTTTCTTTCCCAAGTCTTAATTGTGAAATCAAATTTTTTTCTTAGATTAGTGCTTCCATTTGACATGCTTCTAGAAGTAAGAATGAGGTATGTAGAATTTATCCTAATGGATTCAGGAAATCAAATTTGGTGTTTAGAAATAAGGCAAAAATTAAGCAGAAAATTAAAAGCTAAAAACAAAAGTATACATCTGGATTATACATCTTATAGAAAACTGTTCCTGATTTTAAGAAATGCTTTTTCACCTAGGGCCAAATTTTTTTCTTTCAAATAAAAAATTTTAAAAGAGATAAACAAATATACATTCTGGTTAAAATGTAGCATGGTTAGCATTAATTTCCTAGGTTGTAAATGAAGCGGAGAAAAGAAAGAGTCAATTCCTGAAATACTTTGAGGAGAAAAACACATTCCAAGACTGATGTGTATAATTGTTAGTGATGTCAGGAAGTACAGAGTGTAAAAGTCAAAATGACCTGTTTATCTCCAGTAGTGCCCAAGAGCAAAAAGACTCATTTCTGAACAATGAAACTCACAAAAGAAAGAGGATTTTTTATCCTGACTCTACAGCCTAGTAAGCTGCTCAGAGCACAAGCAGAAGATGCAAACATTCCTTTTTATCTCTACCTGTTGGCCTCAACCTAAGGGTTAAAGGGCCACTCTAGAGAAAGAAACTTGACTGGGAAGGCAGCAAATAGATTCTTTACTACAGCTCCTCCGTTTTCCATCAAGGAGAGGAGACGTTTTCACTCTTCTTGGAAAAACTTTGAAATGTAAACTGTTTCGATTGATGGCTCCTTCTGGCCCTGGCAACTCTTTTTGGTAGCTGGTGCTCTTTCTGTAATACTTGTTAAAAACGACTCCGTAGCAAAGATGTTGTTTTTTATATGATTTTTTTTTAAGTCAGCGCATGTGTGCGTACAGACAGGCTCTCATCTTGCACGGCGGAGACTGGCAGGTGAACACCTACTCCTGTTGCCCTTATTCATTTGCAATACTTTATAAGATTAGTCTCTTTGAAAGCTGTTTTCAGTCTAAACTGTCAATCCTCTTCGAATGTGGTCCCTCTCACTGTGAATGACTTCTTAGAACTTGTGAGAACACTGTGGCCTGAAAGTCCCTTCCTAGCCCAGAGAGTCCTCCATGCGTCACTGATAACTTGCCCCTAAACTTTCTACAGTAAGGTTGCCTGGGGACAGCTTTAAAGAACCAGATACGCAGCTAAGGTATCATATGTTTAGAGCAGTCTTTATGTACACAATTTCTGCCACTACCCACATGATTTTAATCATACTATCTTAGGGTAGAAATTTCATTTTCATTCAGTTATCTATGAAATGACCTTGTGTACATAATTTTTAATATTCTTATAGTATTCTTAAGCTACATCCATTTGGAAAGAATTAAGGTGGTGAAATTGATCAATCTGCTTAAACCAATTGATTTAGATTGTGAAATCAGTCAAACTGCATAAACCAGTGTGAAAAATACCCATTTTAGTCTAAATGTTGATTGCTTATATTGATCTGCTAGACTTACTGTGGTTAAATTATTTCTTTGTTCTGTGCTAGTCAGGTTCATGAGTTATGTGTTCTTATTTGTTGCGGACTTATTTTTCTTTGTCTGATCATATTGAATGCATTATGCTACTCTTCTCTGTTTTGCTACTGTTGCTTTCCTGAAGGGGTATATTCCCTTGTATGCACCATGATGAGGAAAGCTCCGTGGTGACCTGTTTCCCAGTGAAGCCACCTTTTCCACTCTTAGTTCTCCCACTTGCCAGCTACTGTATCCACTCACAGCACACTCTGAGATAGTGAGGCTGCAAATCAATAAAGATTTGACTTATTAAGGGTTAAGCCAGGCACTGATTAAGTGTATGATCTTAAGTTCAAGAAGCCACACTGGCTGTAGTCCTCTTCAGCCAAATGGCTGCTCAGGTGCTTAGACGTAACTCTTTCCCTCCATTCCTATACATATACATGCATACATACGTATATATATATATATATATATATACACACACACACACACACACACACACACACACACACACGCACATATATACACATTCTCTCATATATTCTCATATATAAGAGTGTGTATATATATATATGATGGAATGTGTATATATGTATATATGCGCATATATATACATATATACACATTCCCTCATATATATGCACATATATATACATATAATGTGTATATATGTATATACATGTGTATATATACATCTACATACACAAAGTTAGACTGGAATTATACTCTGTTATTTTTAGTTTTTAAAATTACAGATAAATAAGAAACACTTGAGTAAAGTTATCAGAGAAGATTCTCAACACATGTTCAAATTATTTGCTGAAATATAGGTAAAGTTAATCCCCCCAAGTCAATATGAATTATTTAATTTCCCTCTATGGCACTAAAAATTTAAGTAACGATTTTATTTTATCTTAACATACAAGTACATATGTTCTTGGTGCGCTGTGATTCCTGTGAAGTATGTACAAGCCTTCCACCAAGGTCTCTGCCTTCAAGACACTTACAATCAAGTATAAAAACAACATCAGAAATAATATGAGGAATTAATATAACAATACATAAGTATAAAAAGTATAAACTATAAAATTTTTTGTATTAAAATGAAAAGCACTAGATAGTATTTACCTTTCAGAACTATATTCTTGATTTCTTATATACAATTCTTATATTTCTTTTTCAGAATATGTGAAAAACATTTAAATCAGAAAGTAAATGACAGGATGATTTGCAAGGTCAGTGCCTAGGTTCCTTTCCCCCACTCCTTTTTTCTTCTCCCTGGTCCTATCAGGGACTTAAGAGCTATCCTGAGATCCTATTTCCATTTCCAAGGCTAATGTTTGGGCCAAGTAGAAACCGAATGATGAGACCTTTTTGTAGACTCATGTGGAAGTCCTAGAATTACTGGCCTTTTTCAAGAAGTTTTCAGTACATTCCTGCCCTTACAAAACTTTTTTTCTTTATTACAATGAACTTAAGTTCACTGGAGAGAATTATGAAAATTCACTCTCAATAAGGCCTTAATATTAATTTGTAAGGTGAAAATAATTTATAAAAATTCATAAAGAATTAGATAATATCTAAGAATACTTCTAAGTAAAATTTCTCTTTTCTATGCTTCCAAATGATAGCATCATGAAGTTCCAATTTTGACTAATTTGGGGCCCTGGAGCATAATGCACAGATTTAAAAAATTCCTGAAAATGTTTAAATTGAAATATGTTTTGAGTTTGATTACAAAATTGTGGAAAGAAAAAAGTAATTCAACCCAGTAAGTTTTTTTTTTTTTTTTAGACAGAATCTCGCTCTATCACCCAGGCTAGGGTGCAGTGGTGCAATCTTGGCTCACTGCAACCTCTGCCTCCCGAGTTCAAATGATTCTCCTGCCTCAGCCTCCTGAGTAGGTGGGATAACAGGTCCCCGCCACCATGCCTGGCTAATTTTTGTATTTTTAGTAGAGACGGGGTTTCACCATGTTGGCCAGGCTGGTCTTGAGCTCCTGACTTTAAGTGATCCACCTGCCAAGGCCGCCCAAAGTGCTGGGATTACAGGCATGAACCACCATGCCTGGCCCCAGTAAGATTTTTATTTTAGGATGTGAAGACATAGGTAAGGAAGAGGCAATGGGGGTGAGGTGAGAGAGTGTGTGAATGAGAAATAATTTAGGAAGCAGAAGGGCGTAGAAGAAGGAGGGAAGTCGAGTATTTGAATCACTTCTCTTACGAGCCTCAATAAGTCTCTGGTATCATCTTCTAAGTTCTTTAACTGAGTTCTCTTTTACCGAATCACTCACCTTTCTGCTTCTTTCTGTTACAGACACAGGGATGTAAAATTAAAAAGCCTCTCGAGCTCCAAAGGTACAGAATGAGTTTGCACCATTCCAATTATGCATACTGTATGAGAAGAAAAGACATTTTAAAATCGTTGCACTTATGAGTGCACTGACAGAGAAATTATTGAAGTGTGGAAATTTGAGATTATCATCTAGCATTTATTTAAGGTTACTTGAGAGAGCTTTTAAAATCATAAATGAGAAAGGAAAATACTAAAATACTAAGAATATTATTTCAATAATGTCTGCATAATGTAATGATAGAACATTTATAGGGCCTGGTCTAATTCATATGGTGACATTCGAGTAAATTTTGACACTTTTTTTTTTTAAACCTAGAAGTGTTGCATATGAACTAAAACCCTGTAAGAGAATGCAACTGATCTTGGAGATATGGTCCATCACCCTTAATTTTTGGTTAGATGACTAGCAAACTTCAAATTCACAATCCTGGAAAGCCCATGCCACATCTCTCCCCTCCCCATGTTCCCTGTAGGGCCCAAATTAAGGGTATGGTCACAGCAGGGCAGGCACTTAGGAAGTACTTGCCAAGCAATTTCTTTTGCTAAAATATGATAATCGGCTTAGTAGGACTTGGTAGCTTAAAAAATTATAAACAGTATTGAAAAGATGTCTACATTTCTGCATCTTTCAAAAAAAAAGCCTTTAGAAATCTTATCTGGCACTATGAAAATAGACTCCACAGAAGATTCTTCTCCTTCCTCCTCCCACTCCCCAATTTAAATCAACTAATTAAGAAAGACTGTAACTAGAAGGGAATGATTAACTCATTAACTTAATCATTGTCATACTTGTGAATATGGACTTGTACCAGAGTTAAGAGGTTAATTAATTCAAATATATTGTCAAACTGCCTATGGTTTTCAAAGAGGCAAATTTTATATTCTATAGTTTATATGCTTAGAAGGCAGAACTCAGCTGTGATAAAGTTTGACATCAAAATAAGTTAGTGAAATTGTGCAGCAAATGGTAAGTAGAAAATAAAAATTCCTCTTTATTGCTGTTGCCAACATCCCTGCTACCTTCAATGCCACTGCCATCCATACTACTATTATCTTCACGTAGATTTTTATTTTTCATCTGGGTAGCTGGGAATTGACTTGCTTTGGCATAGGCTGTCTACCCAGAGGGAGTTCTCTAGAATTCTGTCTTTGGCCATCTTTTCTTTTTACTATTAATGTTTTCCAGCAATTTTATCTGTCTGTTACTTGCTAAGAACTAAAAATATGTCTTCAGCCCAGCTCTCTCAACCTGTTACCTACGCTGTTATCCATCAAATATAGCAGGCACCATGCTAGATACAGAGGATCCAGTGGTCAACAGAACAGGCGTAGCCCCCATCTTGGTGGCGCTTACAACCTGGGGAGAGGCAGTTAATAAATAACAGAAATAATGCATTGTGATTAGTATTCAGCATAGCACAGGAGACGGTGAGAGATTACCACTTCTCATTATGGGACTTGATTTAGATCAAGAAACTCCTCTGGGGAAGTAGCAATAATGTTAGAACCCAAAGAATGAGCAGGGGTAACCTGATGAAACGTTGGGAGGAAGAGAATTTCAGACAAAGACAATAGCACATGCAAATATTCTGAGACAGGAAAGAGTCTGGCAGCCTAAATAACTGAAAGAAGGCACATGTGCCTGCAGGATAGTGTGAGACAGTGGGTGATAGGAGATGAGGCTGGAGAGGAACACAGAAGAAGACTATGCAGAGACTTTGCTGGCCATAGGATTGAGGATTTTACTTTAAGAGAAATGCATATCCATCGATGGTTTTTAAGAAGGGGTGAAATAACCAGAGGTCTGTTTAAATAATATCATTCTAGCTCACTGTGAGAAATGTACTGGAGATGAGAGCATAATGGACACATGAGAACCCTGGTCTAGGTGAGAGAGGATAGAGCCTCAGAATAGAAGATGGAGATGGAGAGAATGACATAGATTCAAGATAGAATTTGGAGGTAGAATTAAAATTACTAGATCAGAGGCCTGTTGAACAATGTGTAGTAGGAAAGGGTTGGGAAAAAATCTCATTTGTCAGAGAATTCCCACCCCAGTAACTACCCACAAAATTACATAATAATTGGATGGGATAGAATATCTGGAGGGCTTCCACGTAGCGCAACTCCAGGGGGACCATCACAACCTTTCCACGCACTTGGTGTCTCCTGGAGTCATGCAATGCAATGGCATTGGGGATGTGGAATATTGAATTTCCTTTGTTTATAAAGATTATAAAGTAGGGTGTTGTATGGAAGACCCCCATGCATGCTTATGCTGGCTTGACTGGCTGGCTGGAGACTGGAACATATACACTGGCATACAATTATATCAGTCCCTAGGAAGGAGGCACCTTTTGCTAGTTTGTCTACCCCAAGCAGGACATTTAATAACTCACTCTCCAAAGAGTTGCTGTTGTGTAATAGGCATGCCTGAAGGAGAGATTATCTTCTATGTATGTGCTAGCAGTAGCTCTGTTTCCATTAGTCAGATATTTTACATGGGCCAAAAACACCTCATCAAACTACAAGATGATGACAGACAAGGCATTAGCAAAAATGTTTGTAAGTTGGGGATGACAGAAATCACAGGAAAATTATCTGTAGTACAAAGAAGGATCCAATTGTCAAGGTAGTAGATTCAGAGTCCAAAGCTCTGGCTATCTTTGAATATGGCAGTTATACTCACTTGAGTAAGTAGACTCTTTAAACAAGCCCCCAACATTATTACAGACTGCTTTCACCTAGGAATTCTGGATCACATGTCCCTAGTATCCACTCAAGTCTTCACAAGCGCTGATCATTTTTACCACCTGTAAGATACCTCTTCCTCTGCTAGCAGCAAATAAACCCAGAGAGATAAATAAAGAGAGAGAGAGAGAGAGAGAGAGAGAGAGGAAAGAGCAAACTCAGAGTATTTGTCTCTCTGCCTCCCCTTTCCCTTTGTTCTCCAAGTTTAAAAGGGATGAAAGTTTAGACACAAAATGCTGTTGTTTCTACTCTTCTACTCTTTTGATTTCTGAGTTTGGCCTCTGAGTAAAAAGCTAAGGAATCTTGATTAGATCTTTGAAATTCACAGTGATTCAAATCTCCAATTTAGGTCCCGACAATCCAAAGTAGAACAGAACATGTATTTTACCATGTAGTTGCTCCATCGACTGTCTTCATTACTGCAGTAAATGCACTACCATCAACCCAGTTGTCTAGGCCAGAAACCTGGACATTCTTACAGTCCCTCTGTCTGTTTCCCTCTCCTCATCTGACTGATCCCTTACACCTATGTCTTGAGTCCATCTTCTTTCCTCCATATCTATTGCCCAATGAAGACAAGTAAAATGATCTTTCTTAAATATATATATTTGATCACTTAATTCCCCTGCTTAAGATTCTTCAGTGATTTTTATTATCTTTAAATAAATCAAATTTATTGGCAAGTCAAAGTTTGTAATAATGACTGATGCCTCCCACCTACCTGTTTATTTTAATCTCCCATGATTCCCATTTCAGCTACCCTGAAATGCAGATTCTCATATATATTCTTCTCTTGCATGACTCTGGACTTTTCACATTATCTTCAATCTTCTGGATAACTCCAAGTCTTTCCTTGTGATTCAGATCAAACATTACCTTTCCTGATGAGTCTTCAAATAACCTCTGTCTTTGACTCAGTTACCACCTTCCTAGGTAGAGTTAGGGGCTTTTTCTTGCATTCTATGTTTGCCTCTACCAAAGAATTTTACTGTGTTGTCTCTATTGGATCATCTTTTTGTGTAGGTCGGGGATATAGAATAATGGTTAAGAATGGAGCATTGGAGTTGTGCAGATCTATTAATCAAATAGGTGATCAAGGCCAGCTTTGGTTTCTGTGTCTATTATGATAGATTATTGATTACAAAAATATAATGCAAGTAAAATGGATAACTGTGCCTGGTGCATAGTAAGTGTGTAATAAATGTTGTTTGCTGCTTTTCATGGTATTAGTAGAAATAGCTTTCTGTGTCCTTAGAAGATACTTAGTAAATGTTGGCTGGTTGAATAAATAAATCTATATCTAGAAAAGTTGGCTTGTAAAATCTTGAAGATAACTTGAATTTGTTATAAGAAAACTATCTGAAATTCAAAGCAGTTTGGATACCCAACCATTTTCACATTGTATTGCCAAGGACATGCATATGAAATATTCTGGATTTCATAACTTCCACTTGATTTTCAGGGTCAGGAAACAAAAACTGTGTTTATTTCATTTAAATTGTTGGTCTCACCTGACAATACTCTAATCACCATATAATTTTGAATAACATGAAGACTTTTGAAAAACATTTTTTAAGGTGTATGATTTTTCCTCTAGACTGAAGGTTCTATAACATGAATTCTCAAATATACAATTTCTACACAGAGCTTATTATTTATTTTTGTGTGTGAATCAGCTGATATTTGAAGGTTGTCTTTCTTTTCTCCTTAACTCTTCTTAACTCATACCTAATTAGAAAAGATTATATTTAGAAGAAAGTGTTTTCTTATCAATAGTCCGTATATCAATAATTAATGTAACTGTATCTTGTTTATGCACAGCAATACAAATCAATAAAGCAGGTTAGAGGTGTGAACAGCTCCTTAAATGTTTCTATATTGGAATTTTTAATGTGCTTTGATGTTATTCTTTGAATATTAAGTATAAATATTTGGATGTAGAAAAGACTTTGAGCCAAACAATGAAGTTATCCTGTAAACCACAGGACGGACTGCAAGTGTGCAAAGACCCATGCCTTGAGTGATTGAGACTTGGAAAACAGATTCTGAGGGTTGGAAGGGACCTTAGACATTGTTGAGTCCAGCTCTTTACAGAATGGGTGATTGTCTCTGAGAATCATGGGACTCTGTCCCATGGGTCATTGTCTATATCTTTTTGACTATTTCCAGTTTTGGATACCTCTAGCTCATGAGACCTCAGATAGCTCCAGTGAGCAGTTTAACTTCTTTTGAGCAAATCACTACTATCCCATAACTTCCATTTATTTGTCTCAGTTCTTCTCTGTGAATGTATTCAAAGTATTAATTTTACTTGATTATACATTGCTTAAAAAAATACTTTACATCAAAGATGGGTATTTTGTAGAGTAGAATATAACATTTCTACTAGAAATTCTGGAATTTCTAAGATAAAAATTAGGATTTCTTTGATGGGAGAAAATTAGGTAATTCTAAAAGTTTTCATCCCACTTCTTTGGGAGATAATTTTATTTTCTTAGGGAAGCAAACAATTGTTCAATTTGAGTGTGAAAAGATAGGCCCCAGGATGTGGTCTGGAAGGTGAGTCCTCTGCGTGAGGTGTTTTTTCTCAATAGCTTTCTAAGAGGGAGAGAGTAAAGGAGAAGTGATAGGGAAGAAAGAAAGCAGAAGGCAAGAGGTGAAGTGAGATGGCCAGAGGCCAGAGCCTGAAAAGAGAGTATGTACTATGGAAAAGAAATCTCTGTGAAGGTAATGGCAAAAGCGGTTAAGGAGTAGGGATATTGGGACTACATTTTTAGTTTTTTGTTTTTCATGATGCTTCCGTGTATTCCCGTCTACCTTCATACACATTCCACTTAACCTGCAGTTAAAATCTATTCCACACACTGCGTTTTATCTAGTAGTGCTTTTTATGATCAATATTTTGGAGAGAAATGATGAAAAAGAGGGCCACATTTTACAACTGGGTCAAGAGAGTGAGCAAGAGAGCAATAATACTACAGAGATCCTTGAAGATGTTTGGGGTTGGGGTTGACATTGGATTTTCTATTCACTATTTTGTGAGATGAGATCATTTTTAAAAATTTAAATCATTAAATGTAGGGGAGGGAAGCCCAAAAAGGGTGGAAGAGTTGAGGATACTTAGGCTATTAACACAGGGTCATGCTTTAAAAAACTGAAATCGTATGGTTGCAGCCAGCTACCCTTAATATATCTGGTTATGCTGTGGTGTGAAGTGGAGGGTTTATCTACCTGACTTCTCTTTACCGTTAATATTTTCTCTACTCTTCTGGTAGAAGCACTGCTTTTATTCTGTTGACATAACTCTTGAATATTGGTATTGAGAACCGACCTGAACGTAACACTCTAGATTTTTCTTTTTAACAAAACAATGCAGAGTGGGCAATTGTCTTGCTTATTTTTGACCCCTATACTTTAAATAACAAAGAATACAACCTAAATATTGCATTTTTTCTCAGCTCATGGCCTCATCTCTTGCATAGGTGTAAATCATTTGTTCAAATTGTAATCCCCTTGTTGGGTTGTTCTAACTAAAGAAGTCCTGTGGTGTAGGAGGAACACATTAAACTTGGAGTTGGGAGATCCTGCCTTGAATATTAGCTCTGCCAGTCATAACTATATAAATGATTGGGATGTCATATATTCTGAGTCTGAATTTCCTAATCTATAATATTCATATAAAAAATAATTCCCCTACATGCCTTGTGGACTTGTGGTGATTGTAAGATGTTATAATATGAAAATATCTTGTAAACTGTAATACTCCATACAAACATGAAATAATACCATTCTAATTATTTAATGAATATCTTTAAAGAAGTGGTGTGAGGCATAGGGGATAACAAAAGCACATTAGAGATGTTTTTGAAAACATTTATTTAAAATATAACCAGCTGGTCTTGGTATTATCCTCCTGGTGGTCATAACAGTAGTCTCCCTGGTGTGCCGTATTCTCTCAAATGTTTTAAATGTTTGCATGCAGCCATCCGTAGAGTGTCAAATGGTCTCTCTTTGACCAGAATAACAAAAACTCAAAGAAATGCATGACCATGAGGACACTGTGGCCTGTGAATGATTTATTGAGACTGGCAGCTCCCCAAAATGGTAACTGAGAGTAGCACTAAAGCCTTAAGTTTTGGTCACGTTCTCAGGTGAGAATGTGACCAAAAGAGAGGAATTGTTAAACAAAATTATGGGAGGCCATTTTTCTGGATTGAGCTCCTGCACTAGGCCCCAATAGACCAGACCAAACAAAAATGGAGTCTCTCATGCTAAATGCAGTGTAAACAAACTGAAACTTTAAGGAAGCATATAGATCTCAAAATACCATGTAGGTCTTCCTAAAAGCAGGAGACTCCATAATAATATGAAAGTCTCCTCCGTTCTAACACTTACAAGAAAGTAACCTGAAGTTACCAATCAGTTTTTTTCTATTGTTCTGTTTCCTTGTTCCCACCTTGCAAAACTGACAATTCTGTCTATTTCCCAGTGGGATTTGAGACCAAATAAGTCAATTTACAAAGGTGACAAAGTGATGTCAATGCCTAACGTTTTAGTCAATCCTGCAAAATTGAGATGTTGACCAAAACAGGATAATTGTCAAATTAAGTTTAACATAAAACTATCTCTGTACCTATTTTAAGTTCAGCCTAAAGGTTTCTGCATACATAGTAAACTGTAATCTAACTGGATGTGTAAATGACTGTAACTTACTTACTGTTGTACAATCACATAGTCTCAGCCAATCACAGGCAGCCAACTGTTCAAAGCAAGGTCAAATAAAGAAAATGCTGAGTTGTAACCAATCCAGTTGTTTCTGTACTTCACTTCTGTTTTCTGTATATCACTTTCCCATTTCTGTCTATAAATATTATCTGACCATGTGGCAGCCCTGGTGTCACTGTGAACCTATTCCAAATCTGGTGGCTGCTCTATTTGAGAATTGTTCTTTGCTCAATTAAACTCCATTAAATTTAATTTATCCAAAGTTTTTTCATTTTAATGAGCCATTGCCTAACACAAGGTTACAAAGATTTATTTACATGTTTTCATGTAGGGGTTTTATGGTTTTAGCTCAGGTTTGTTAAATAAAATTTATGAGAGGTCATGAGTCTGAACTGAGCTCCTGCATTAGGCCCAACAGAACAAACCAACATAGAGTTTCCAATGCTGAGACTCTATGTTATCAAGTCAAAATTAAGTCATCTATCTGGCCTTCCAAGAAATCAGGAGAAACAATAGCCAAATCCCTGTAACAAGCCAGTTTTAGCAGGCATGATAAGGAAGCCCTCTTTGCTTTAATTTTTAGAAGGAAAGCCACTTCATATTGACCAATTTGCTTTTTATTCTCTATTTCTGCTTTTCTCAGCCCCTTTCTGCCTATAAAGTCAAGCTTTCCTCTCTTCAGCTCATGAGAACACCTCATTCTATAAAATAGAATTCTAGAATCACAAATAAAAGCGAATTGAGACCTTTGAACTGAATTTGTTGCAATATTATCTTATGACATGTTCAAGTCTATGGGGTCTATGGGTATGGCTAATAGACCATGTTGTTCTTGGGAGTGAGGTAGATAGGCAGGCAATAATAGTATAGCTTCACTTACACACAAAATTAAATTAAGCTTGGGTGAACAGAGCTAATATCAATGGAAAATAATAACCCTTCACCCAGTTTCTAGAACGGAGCCATGTCTCATACTGAAGCCCATCAACTGAAGGGGATCCTGGGTCCTGAGAAAAGTATATTTCTTCCTTTGGTATATTCAGTGTAATTTCCTCCAATCCAATCCTAAAATTTGTGAGAGCAACTGTACCCTGAGAAAAGGGTGACCTGCCAGAGCTTTTGAGTGCTGTTAAATACAAGATCTGAGCCAACGCTGACACCAGGGCAGCTCAGACACGGTTATGGCTCTCCTGATAGAGTGGAGGTATACAAATGCTGGGTGATAAATGAAGTCCTGGCCCAAATTGTTTCACACTGGTTGCAGTGGGTCCACAAACCCAGTCTGTGGTCATTTTTCTGACCTACAGTCAAGATGAATATTCTTGGTAACTGACAGAAACCCACATTAGGCTCTAGACGATGAACAAAGAGCCATTATGGTAAGAGAGGACAACTGAAAGTCCTTAAAACTGCCTCAAGCCCAACCAAGATGGTAAATAGGAAGTAGTACCACATCCTAGGCAGAATGGTGAAGAGTGTGTCACTCTCAGAGACTTAAAGGTGATGGTCTCTATCACAGTTTCATTTAATTTACCAGTTAGGTCTTTGCAAAAATCAGATGGATTGTGTCAAATGTTAGTGGTCTAACATCACTTAAGCATGAGGTAATGCTGATCTCAACTGCTGTGGGTGATATGGAATCTTTACTAGAAGAGATCAACTTAGTCTTTGGCAGTTTTATGTAGCTATTATTTGGCAAATGCATTCTTTTCATCCGGAAGAAGGAGCAGAGTATTCCCTTGGCGCAGGCAGCGGTTCACATTCAAGGTCTTACTCAAGGACTAAGTTACCTTTTCTGCTTTGTGTCATGGTCTGAAGAGTCCTTGATCATCCTATTATTGAGCAGAGTATGATGTTGGCCCACTATATTGGTAATATCATGTTCCTTACACCTGGGAAGGAGGAAGTGCAAGTACTATGAATACCCTAGAGAAGGGGTCCAGACTACAACAATAAGGCATAAAAATTATTTTGAGTTGAAGGCATTTGAGTTCTTGAAATCTCTTTATCTGCCTAAAAGTAGAGCTTCCCAAAATACCTCAATTGTCATAAATCCTCACCCCTGGAACAACTGAGGAAGATTGACTCTGATTACCAAAGACAATGTCTCCAAACTACACCCAAGGAGACACAATCACAAAAACTATCATATCTTCCAATCTAGTCTCTATTTCGATTTCATAAGAGTCATTTGTTTTCCCATAATTCCCTTATCCCTCTCCTTCTTCATCTAATAAGATAGTATTTAAGTTCCAATTCTAACTGCTCCTTTGAGTTACATTTTTTTGTGAACTCCCATACGTACGTGTGTGATCAAAATCAGTTTTTTTTCTCTTAAAAAATAACCAGTTAGAAGAAATGGAGATAATATCTTTGACTTGTCAATGAAATCATTTTGCCTCTACAACTTTGTAACTCTCTCTGATTGAGTGAACCATCCAAAAGACTAATTTTCTGTACATTAATTCACATCTTCAATCAACTAACTTCTTCGGATAAATTGCATGTCCTTTTAAAACATTGGTGATTATGTCATACAATTTACTGCTTTAGCAAAGGAACTACTCAGAGTGGTGGGTAACTTTTTTTTTCTATGGGGAACCAATAATCATCAGCCAAGAAAAAAAAAGAGAGAAAGAAAAGACTTAACCCCCCCCCCAAAAAAAACCCCTCAAGCAGCTTAATATATTTTCTGAGAAACATACATATAAATGTCATAAATCATACAAAAATACAATTGTATATCATGTCCAGTGAAGAAATAAGAAACATTGAGACATTGAGGGAAAAGAGATATAGTAAGAAAGAGAGAAGACTTATTGGAGTAAGGGGTAAGAATAGGCCTTGAGAGGGAAGAGACGACAGAAAAAGGAAGGGTGGATGTAAGAACAGATTTTTTCTTCATTGTGTTTTAAATCCTTATGCTTTTTTGTTCTACTGCTTAAGCCTAACTTTCCTTTCCAAAAGCTCAAGAAACCATCTTTCTCCTATCTGACAGCTATCCAAAGCCATGACTGTTGTGTGGCTCCCAATACCTCTTTCTTAGTCACTCTACTGTTGTTAATAATCCATACCTCTTCCTCTCATCCTCTGCCCCGGCTGAAGGCCAAGCTTCTCCCAGTGCCCATACTGGGAACATGAGATACAGCACCTCCTTAAACCATCTCTCTTCTGGGGATGTATGTCTTGTTGCTTTTGCAGAGTTCATATTTCCTTCTTATACCATATATATATATATAATATATATATTTATATAATACATATATTATATATAATATGTATTTATATGTATATAAGGTATAAGAAGGAAATATGAATTTATATAAATGTAAGGGGTATAAATGCAAATTTGCTCCATGAATATATTGTGTAGTGGTGAAGTTTGAGCTTTTTGTGTATCCATCACCCAAATAATGTACATTGTACACATTAAGTAATTTCTCATCACCACATTCTCCTTCCCCCCTCACCCCTCTGAGTCTCCAGTATTTTTCATTCCACACTCTGTGTCCACGTTCACAGCCAGTCTTAGCTGGGCTTGGGACATACCTGCTCCTTTTCTGAGAATCTCAGAATGAAGTGTTGTACATGATGTAGGGACCTCAGCCATACAGTGAGAATTCTATTTAGGACATTTGCAAAAGTGGATAAGCTTATCAGTCAAGAAAGAGATGTTGGGTGGGCAATTACTAAGGAAGTTTGCCAGTGGCTTTAGTAAAATGAGGTTCATGACTGTTCAGTTTATTGTGAACAGTAAATAAATTCAGTTTATTTTCTGTATCCTTACCACCCCCTTGTCTATTTAAAACACAGCTTTGAGAGATAGAGAAAAAAGTGAAGCACCCTGGTTAATTTTAATGCAGGTAAGACCTTAAAGTGATTTCTTACCTTCTGTGGACTTTAAAGTCGACAATAATATGGCATGCACAGAATAACTCCCTAGATAATAAATCATTTTCCCATGAGATTGAAATTTCCAGAAAGCACAGTAAATGGCTTTTCACATCCTGTAGTCTGGAGTGAACTTCAGATGATGCCACCAAATTGGAGGGTTCATGCTACCTTAGTTGGGCCAAAACTCCAGTGAATGTCAATGGAGCCAGCACAGAGTCTACCTAGTCTAATACTTAGTGACTGCGTTTGACTGCCTCAGCAAGGCTGCTGTGTTGAAGCAGATTCCATTTGGAAATAGGCCAGATTCTTTGTGTCTCCTGGGGCTCTCTAGAATTTTATAGTGTATATTTATATTTGTATAATCAGCACATTTTCTAATTAAGTGGGAATTAGTGTGTTTTGCTAAGTATAGTTAAAATTATTGCACTTAAACATTGAACTAAAATATAGTAAAATATAACTTCTAAAATTGTGTGTAATGGTAATAATACATAGTGCTTACTGTGTATGAACACTCTTTTAAGTGCTTAACCTATGTTAGTTCATTTCATGCTCACAACTCTGTGAAGTTAATTTTTTAATTAACCTCAATATACATATTAGTATAATAAGCCAAAAAGAAGGTAAAAACTTTGCCAAATCACACAAAAATTCAAGATTATGCAAAAGCATATTTTTTTTCCTGGAAGCATCTGACACAATAAAATTCAACAGAAATTTATGTGGGCTGATATTTACAGGTGTTTTTGTAGGAAGAGGCAAAAAATCAGGAAATAGGTGAATGATTTAGAGGCTCCTTGAGTTGAGATTTAGTGACCAAGAAAGAAGGTTGGAAGACTCAGGTGGCAGTGTAGAAGGCAGAATAGAAATATAAAAGTGGAAAATTCAAGACAGAAGAAATATATCACTTGGAATTTTAGAGGGATAATCAGCAGCTAAAACAGTGAGTAAAGACGGAAAACATGAGGAAAAACAAGAAAAGTTAATTCAGAGAACTGTGTGGGCAGAGGAGAGTTCTGCTACTGATTCATACTTGAGTTTTTCAAAAAAGACAATTTTGATGTTCTATAGAACAATTGGTTGAAAAAGACTGGACTTTGCTGGTGCCCAAAGAGCACTAGTACAAATGATTCTTGCCTTGGGGAGGGGGGAGAAAAGGGATGAACTATTGAGGAACTTACCCAACCTATAAGACATGCACATGCATTTATATTGGCCATAAACATCACACATTTTAACCCATATCTCAAACCAAATGGAATTGTCTAAGAATGGGTAAGCAATCAATTGGATGCAAAAATAATACCTTTTTTAAAAAATGCCAACACTTTAAAATGCTCATAAGAATTTGATGGCCTATAATGTGTATATATTTTTTCCTTCAGAGCTATGGCTCAATCTTCTCAGAGCCAAAATTTTCTTTTTTTTTTTTCTTTTTTCTTTTTTTTTTGAGACAGAGTCTCGCACTGTCGCCCAGGCTGGAGTGCAGTGGCCCGATCTCAGCTCACTGCAAGCTCTGCCTCCCAGGTTCAAGCCATTTTCCTGCCTCAGCCTCCCTAGTAGCTGGGACTGAAGGCGCCCACCACAATGCCTGGCTAATTTTTTGTATTTTTAGTAGAGACGGGGTTTCACCATGTTAGTAAGGATGGTCTTGATCTCCTGACCTCGTGATCCACCCGCCTTGGCCTCCCAAAGTGCTGGGATTACAGGTGTGAGCCACCGTGCCCGGCCAAAATTTTCTTTTTCCAATATATATTTGCTAACATTACCTCCACTTTCCTGAAATAAACTCCACAGACAACATAAAATCAATAATGCTACCACTGTTATATAAAGGAAAACTAAATGAAAAGATTAATATTAAAATGATATGTATTTCCATATGTGAATGTTCTGGCAAACATTGTTTCACACATAGTGAGACAGTCAGATGCATGTCCCTATTTGAAGAATTCCTATGGATTTGATGGCACAACTGCAAACTGATACAGGTGTTTTATGCTAGAGCTCAAGTACCATACCTGGTGTTGCTGTCAGGGATGTGGTTTTCCAGAATAATGAACAACTTTGGGTAAACTTCCAAACAAAATAGAATACAATTTTCTGTCCTTTTCCACAGTAATTGCATTCCTGGAATATTATGGATATCAAAACTGCATAAAGCATACTTTGTGTTTATATGTAAAAAAGACTTAAATTGTAGTCTCTAGTTCATTATCTAATGAACGTCTAGCATGATATTCTCAAGTCAAGAGGAATACTGAATAATTTGTGGTGGTGCAAGGTGTCTAGCATTTCTGGGTCCCATCCACTAAATGCTCATAATAAATACCCTTCATCATTGTGTCAACAAAATAATTAAGTGCCTGATTCAGTATTGGGTACTCATAGTTTTTAGTCTATGAAAGCATTAAAAAATCAGGCTTTAATACCAGTAGTGTCTCAGGTTGATCGGAGTAGCATTTTCAGCTTATCAGTACTTTGCCTAGGCCATGAGAAAGCTATATAATGAAATATCCCAAAACAGAATGGCTCAAACAAAAATGATATGTTATTTTCCACAATCCAGTGAGTTAGTTGGTGAATTCATTCCTGTGATTGCCAGTTGACCAGAAGGCAGGGTGATAGCCAAAAATACTACCCACATTTTCAAATTTCCACCTGGCTAACTTATACTAATTCTTCAAATCATAGTTGATATATAATTTACCAAGGAAACATTTCCTGATTTCATAGACTAGATTGAATTTCCCTTGTAGGAGATTTTCATAGCATTCATTTCCTAGTGTTCACCATGTTTTTAGATGCTCAGTAGATGTTTTCACTGTCATACTATAAATTCTATGAGAACAGGTCCTGTGTTCTGTTCACCATTGTATTCTGATTGCCCTGTACCAAATAGTTAAAAATTGTTTTTGCGTTAAACTGCAATGAGTTGATTTGAAATTGAGCTTATTAATCAATTGCCAAAAACAGTGACCTAATCGTTTTAGAAAATGTTGGTATATTATTTAAAATGGTATTGTATCAATTTTAAAAAGTTACCCTTGGAAGATTAAGTGAAATGACTATTTCAGTCAACAGAATAATACCCGTATAATGTAAAGTACATTCACCCTTCAAAGAATTGTCACATCATTAAATTCTCCACTATTCTGCTAGATAATATTTAGAATATTCTTTGGATATGCATCCTTACCTTCTGGATTTCTAGTCACTTTCCATCTTATATTTCTTGGATATATTAAAACCCTGAATATTTTTCCCCTGGAGGATTTCTCCTCAGTTTTGAATCATCCTTGGTCTCATTGCAGCGTGCCCATCCCTTAATGGTTGATCCTTGGCCAGACTCTCATAACTCATAGTCACTCATAGTCTATTCGTGATCTTCCCAGATGAGAGTCTCTGTTTTCACCCACGTACCTAAGCCTATGTTTTGTCCTGAGCCCTAGGAGAGTCAGTGGCTTTCACAAAATTGGTAGAAAGAATGAATCTAGAACATGCCTTTCCGTATTTCCACTTTCCCAGTGTGGGCTCCTCAGGCAAGTGATATTGGTTTATTAACATCGATAATCCTTTAAAATGCCTTCTTATCACAAATTTCCGAGCCCTGTTATGGCTCTAGGACCACAATTTTGGATCCATCTGACTCTAGTTAATATAAAGTTTATTTCTTCTTAATTTCCTGTAATTCAGTTGACAGAGGCTTTATTGTACTATGATGTTGGCTTATCCAGTGCAATCTACTTGAATTAATAGTGGAGGTCTCCATCTGAAAAACAGGGGCCGGACTAGATTATTTCTAGAGCCCCTTGCAAATGCAGTATCAGAAATTCTTAAAGCCCTCTCACATTACTTCTTTTTGTACCTCTCATAAAAATTCCCTGAACTGCTGATGTCTTTCTGCCTCTACTTGATGCAGTACCAATTCTTATACAGGAAACTGGAACCTGAGAGAGTAAGGTGGGAGCAATGTAGGTAATTTTTTGATTTGCATGCCTGCATTATACATATGCTCAATCAGCCTCACAGTTTGAATAAGCAGTGGAAGCAATGCTATGTATGTGAGCTATTTTGAGACATTGAAAACATTGCATCTTTTTCAAAATTGGCCACGTCTTTTTTGATTCTCTTCCCACTCTGAACATAAAACAGGTGCACCAGTAATAGTTGGCACAAAGTGAAAAAGTTTTCACATTGAAGACTGATCATTTCTTGTAGTTCACTTTATCTTAGTCATCAGTGTTGATTCAGAGATATTAAGTATGGTAATAACTTGAAGCCAAATTAGTCAAGATTTGGCCAGCACTAACCAGGGTTTGCTTTAGCTGTGGGAGGAACTTGCAAAAGGCAATATTGATTATGTCTGGGATATGCCAATTATAATTTGACATTATGATTTCTGCTTTTTGTTTAACTTAGAAGCAGATTCTGCTTTGCTCTATTTGTGAAAGACAACTGGATGAGTAAAGATTACTACTTGCAAGGAGACTAGCAATTTATCCAAAATTGGAAACAGAGAAAACGGCATCTTCTTTTCACTCATTCTGACTCAAAATGGGTGTAGGTGAGAAATATTACTGAACAAAATTACCTAGGTAAAAAGAGACAGATGAAAAGAGTGAGAAAGCCAAGAGTGATTCTTGAGCTGAATTTTTTTTTTTTTTTAGATGGGGTTTCATTATGTTGGCCAGGCTGGTCTTGAACTCCCTACCTCAAGTGATCCACATGCCTCGCCTTCCAAAAGTGCAGGGGATTACAGGCGTGAGCCACTGCACTTGGCCTGACACTGAACTTTTAATTTTTTATTAATTTTTTTATTATACTTTAAGTTCTAGGGTACATGTGCACAACGTGCAGGTTTGTTACATATGTATACATGTGCCATGATGGTGTGCTGCCCCTATTAACTCGTCATTTACATTAGGTATATCTCCTAATGCTATCCCTCCTCCCTCCTCCCACCCCAAGACAGTCCCCAGTGTATGATGTTCCCTATCCTGTGTCCAAGTGTTCCCATTGTTCAGTTCCCACCTATGAGTGAGAACATGCGGTGTTTGTTTTTCTGTCCTTGGGATAGTTTCCTCAGAATGTAGGGACATATCCATGTCCCTACAAAGGATATGAACTCATCCTTTTTTATGGCTGCATAGTATTCCATGGTGTATATGTGCCACATTTTCTTAATCCAGTCTATCATTGATGGACATTTGGGTTGGTTCCAGGTGTTTGCTATTGTGAATAGTGCTGCAATAAACATACGTGCACACGTGTCTTTATAGCAGCATGATTTATAATCCTTTAGGTATATACCCAGTAATCAGATGGCTGGATCAAATGGTATTTCTAGTTCTAGATCCTTGAGGAGTCACCACACTGTCTTCCACAATGGTTGAACTAGTTTACAGTCCCACCAACAGTGTAAAAGTGTTCCTATTTCTCCACATCCTCACCAGCACCCATTGTTTCCTGACTTTTTAATGATCGCCATTCTAACTGGTGTGAGATGGTATCTCATTGTGGTTTTGATTTGCATTTCTCTGATGGCCAGTGATGATGAGCATTTTTTTCATGTGTCTGTTGGCTGTATAAATGTCTTCTTTTGAGAAGTGTCTGTTCATATCCTTCGCCCACTTTTTGATGGGGTTGTTTTTTTCTTGTAAATTTGTTTAAGTTATTTGTAGATTCTGGATATTAGCCCTTTGTCAGATGGGTAGATTGTAAAAATTTTCTCCCATTCTGTAAGTTGCCTGTTCATTCTGATGGTAGTTTCTTTTGCTGTGCAGAAGCTCTTTAGTTTAATTAGATCCCCTTTGTCAATTTTGGCTTTTGTTGCCATTGCTTTTGGTGTTTTAGTCATGAAGTACTTGCCCATGCCTATGTCCTCAATGGTATTGCCTAGGGTTTCTTCTAGGGATTTTATGGTTTTAGATCTAACATTTAACTCTTTAATCCATCTTGAATTACTTTTTGTATAAGGTGTAAGGAAGGGATCCAGTTTCAGCTTTCTACATAAGGCTAGCCAGTTTTCCCAGCACCATTTATTAAATAGGGAATCCTTCCCCCATTTCTTGTTTTTGCCAGGTTTGTCAAAGATCAGATGGTTGTAGATGTGTGGTAGTATTTCTGAGGGCTCTGTTCTGTTCCATTGGTCTATATCTCTGTTTTGGTACCAGTACCATGATGCTTTGGTTACTGTAGCCTTGTAGTATAGTTTGAAGTCAGGTAGTGTGATGCCTCCAGCTTTGTTCTTTCTGTTTAGGATTGCCTTGGCAATGTGGGCTCTTTTTTGGTTCCATGTGAACTTTAAAGTAGTTTTTTCCAATTCTGTGAAGAAAGTCATTGGTAGCTTGATGGGGATGGCATTGACTTTATAAATTACCTTGGGCGGTATGGCCATTTTCATGATATTGATTCTTCCTATCCAGGAGCATGGAATGTTCTTCCATTTGTTTGTGTGCTCTTTTATTTCATTGAGCAGTGGTTTGTAGTTCTCCTTGAAGAGGTCCTTCACATTCCTTGTAAGTTGTATTCCTAGGTATTTTATTCTCTTTGAAGCATTTGTGAATGGGAGTTCACTCATGATTTGGCTCTCTGTTTGTCTGTTATTGGTGTATAAGAATGCTTGTGATTTTTGAACATTGATTTTGTATCTTGAGACTTTGCTGAAGTTGCTTATCAGCTTAAGGAGATTTTGGGCTGGGACGATGGGGTTTTCTAAATATACAATCATGTCATCTGCAAACAGGGACAATTTGACTTCCTCTTTTGCTAATTGAATACCCTTTATTTCTTTCTCCTGCCTGATTGCCCTGACCAGAACTTCCAACACTATGTTGAATAGGAGTGGTGAGAGAGGGCATCCCTGTCTTATGCCAGTTTTCAAAGGGAATGCTTCCAGCTTTTGCCCGTTCAGTATGATATTGACTGTGGGTTTGTCATAAATAGCTCTTATTATTTTGCGATATGTTCCATCAATACCTAGTTTATGGAGAGTTTTTAGCATGAAGGGCTGTTGAATTTTGTCAAAGGCCTTTTCTGCATGTATTGAGATAATCATGTGGTTTTTGTCTTTAGTTCTGTTTATATGCTGGATTACGTTTATTGATTTGCATATGTTGAACCAGCCTTGCATCCTAGGGATGAAGCCAACTTGTTCATGGTGGATAAGCTTTTTGGTGCGCTGCTGGATTCAGTTTGCCAGTATTTTATTGAGGATTTTTGCATCGACGTTCATCAGGGATATTGGTCTAAAATTCTCTTTTTTTGTTGTGTGTCTGCCAGGAATCATGATGGTGCTGGCCTCATAAAATGAGTTAGGGAGTATTCTCTCTTTTTCTACTGATTGGAATAGTCTCAGAAGGAATCGTACCAACTCCTCTTTGTACCTCTGGTAGAATTTGGCTGTGAATCCGTCTGGTCCTGGACTTTTTTTGGTTGGTAGGCTATTAATTATTGCCTCAATTTCAGAGCCTGTTATTGGTCTATTCAGGGATTCAACTTCTTCCTGGTTTAGTCTTGGGAGGGTGTCTGTGTCCAGGAATTTACCCATTTCTTCTAGATTTTCTAGATTATTTGCGTAGAGTTGTTTATAATATATTCTGATGGCAGTTTATATTTCTGTGGGATCAGTGGTGATATCCCCTTTATCATTTTTTATTGCATCTATTTGATTCTTCTCTCTTTTCTTCTTTATTAGTCTTGCTAGCAGTCTATCAATTTTGTTGATCTTTTCAAAAAACCAGCTCCTGGATTCATTGATTTTTTGTGTCTCTGTCTCCTTCAGTTCTGCTCTGATCTTAGTTATTTCTTGCCTTCTGCTAGCTTTTGAATGTGTTTGCTCTTCCTTCTCTAGTTCTTTTAATTGTGATGTTAGGGTGTCAATTTTAGATATTTCCTGCTTTCTCTTGTGGGCATTTAGTGCTATAAATTTCCCTCTACACACTGCTTTAAATGTGTCCCAGAGATTCTGGTATGTTGTGTCTTTGTTCTCATTGGTTTCAAAGAACATCTTTATTTCTGCCTTCATTTCATTATGCACCCAGTAGTCATTCAGGAGCAGGTTGTTCAGTTTCCATGTAGTTGAGCAGTTTTGAGTGAGTTTCCTAATCCTGAGTGCTAGTTTGATTGCACTGTGGTCGGAGAGACAGTTTGTTATAATTTCTGGTCTTTTACATTTGCTGAGGAGTGCTTTACTTCCAACTATGTGGTCAATTTGGAATAGTGCGATGTGGTGCTGAGAAGAATGTATATTCTGTTGATTTGGGGTGCAGAGTTCTGTAGATGTCTATTAGGTCCACTTGGTGCAGAGCTGAGTTCAATTCCTGGATATCCCTGTTAACTTTGTGTCTCGTTCATCTGTCTAATGTTGACAGTGGGGTGTTAAAGTCTCCCATTATTATTGTGTGGGAGTCTAAGTCTCTTTGTAGGTCTCTAAGGACTTGCTTTATGAATCTGGGTGCTCCTGTATTGGGTGCATATATATTTAGGATAGTTAGCTTTTCTTGTTGAATTGATCCCTTTACCATTGTGTAATGGCATTCTTTGTCTCTTTTGATCTTTGTTGGTTTAAAGTCTGTTTATCAGAGACTAGGATTGCAACCCCTGCCTTTTTTTGTTTTCCATTTGCTTGGTAGATCTTCCTCCATCCCTTTATTTTGAGCCTATGTGTGTCTCTGCACCTGAGATGGGTCTCCTGAATACAGCACATTGATGGGTCTTGACTCTTTATCCAATTTGCCAGTCTGTGTCTTTTAATTGGAGCATTTAGCCCATTTACATTTAAGGTTAGTATTGTTATGTGTGAATTTGATCCCGTCATTATGATGCTAGCTGGTTATTTTGCTCGTTAGTTGATGCAGTTTATTCCTAGCATCGATGGTCTTTACCATTTGGCATGTTTTTGCAGTGGCTGGTACCAGTTGTTCCTTTCCATGTTTAGTGCTTCCTTCAGGAGCTATTGTAAGGCAGGCCTGGTGGTGACAAAATCTCAGCATTTGCTTGTCTGTAAAATATTTTCTTCTCATTCACTTATGAAGCTTAATTTGGCTGGATATGAAATTCTGGGTTGAAAATTCTTTTCTTCAAGAATGTTGAATGTTGGCCCCCACTCTCTTCTGGCTTGTAGAGTTTCTGCCAAGAGATCTGCTGTTAGTCTGATGGGCTTCCCTTTGTAGGTAACATGACCTTTCTCTCTGGCTGCCCTTAACATTTTTTCCTTCATTTTAACTTTGGTGAATCTGACAGTTATGTGTCTTGGAGTTGCTCTTCTCAAGGAGTATCTTTGTGGCATTCTCTGTATTTCCTACATTTGAATGTTGGCCTGATTTGCTAGGTTGGGGAAGTTCTCCTGGATAATATCCTGAAGAGTGTTTTCCAAGTTGGTTGCATTCTCCCCATCACTTTCAGGTATACCAATGAGACGTAGATTTGGTCTTTTCATATAGTCCCATATTTCTTGGAGGCTTTGCTCGTTTCTTTTACTCTTTTTTCTCTAAACTTCTCTTCTGGCTTCATTTCATTCATTTGATCTTCAATCACTGATTGATCGAACCAGCTACTGAAGTTTGTGCATGCATCACGTAGTTCTCGTGCCATGGATTTCAGCTCAGTCAGGCCATTTAAGGTCTTCTCTATGCTGTTTATTCTGGTTAGCCATTCGTCTAATCTTTTTTTAAGGTTTTTAGCTTCTTTGTGATGGGTTAGAACATCCTCCTTTAGCTCGGAGAAGTTTGTTATTACCGATCGTTCTTCTGTCAACTTGTCAAAGTCATTGTCCATCCAGCTGTGTTCCATTGCTGGCGAGGAGCTGCGTTCCTTTGGAGGAGAAGAGGAGCTCTGATTTTTAGAGTTCTCAGCTTTTCTGTTCTGGTTTCTCCCCATCTTTGTGGTTTTATCTACCTTTGGTCTTTGGTGATGGTGACATACAGATGGGGTTTTGTTGTGGAGGTCCTTTCTGTTGGTTAGTTTTCCTTCTAACAGTCAGGACCCTCAGCTGCAGGTCTGTTGGAGTTTGCTGGAGGTCCACTCCAGACCCTGTTTCCCTGGGTATCACTAGTGGAGGCTGCAGAACAGCAAATATTGCAGAACAGCAAATGTTGCTGCCTGATCCTTCCTCTGGAAGCTTTGTCTCCCAGCTGTATGAGGGGCATCCAGTTGTATGAGGTGTCAGTCGGCCCCTACTGGGAGATGTCTCCCAGTTAGGCTACTCGGGGGTCAGAGACCCACTTGAGGAAGCAGTCTGTCCATTCTCAGATCTCAAACTCTGTGCTAGGAGAACCACTACTCTCTTCAAAGCTGTCAGACAGGGATGTTTAAGTCTGCAGAAGTTTCTGCTGCCTTTTGTTCAGCTATCTGAAAGTTTTTTTGAGCTGAAAATTAAAGCAAAATATAAGTATTTGGAAGATTTTTAATAAGATTATAGTGATGAAAAAAGTAAAGAAAGTATGTCACTGAAAAAAAATAACTAGGAACTGAAAAGATGCAGAATGAGCTGATATGTAGGAAATGGATATTTTGGAGAAGGTACCACTTTGTGATCAATACAATGTACAGCCCACAACAGAGATGATATTCTGTCTGGGGTCATTGTGCTTTAATATGTATAACAGGAAGTTAAACAGGACTCTTCTCTCAGTTTTTGCGGAGATTTGAAGACATTCAGGGCTACACTCAAGAATGAATTGTGAGACTAATCTCTCATCTGAGAACCAAAGAGATGACTCTCAAACCCATGTTGAGGACCAAGAAAGTGGGGAGAGAGCCAGCCTTTTTGAGGAGAAATGTTGGAGAGAATGCTGAATGCTGTGGATACCCACCCCTGTGGGAAATATGGGTGTTGTTGGAAAGGTGTCTTCACCTCAAGTTTTGTGATAGGGATTCAGAGATTCAGAAGCTCACAGAGCTTGATGTACATTTCTTATAATCGGAGAACAGAGTGGACTTGTATCTGAGTCACATCTAAGTAAGTTAAAGCAGCCTTTTAGTGAAAAGTACTGCATTTGGAAAGTTTCTCTATGTGCTTCTTTTATGGGGCCGAAGATGCATGAATTGAAGCCATGGGAAAAATTCAGTGGGAATGTTAGCCTGGAGTCATTTAAACATGAGGTCCTGCAGAAGAAGCAGTTCTGTCTTATCTAAGAACCCCAGCGTAAGTGGCTAAGGGGTATAACACAGAGGTCAGGAGCACATAAGCATTAGGGCCAGCCAAGGTACGCACTGCCTTGGTCAAGGGAATTGCAGTTGGAGGTGTACAGCATGAAAATCTCCACCGAACCTACAAAAGCACCTATGAGAAAACAAGCCTCTTTAATTTTCTGCTGGGCCTAAAGATGATGGGACAGTTCATACAAGAAATAACTTTCCCATTTCTTTTATCTCTTCTTTATCTTGCCACATGTTTGGTCCTGGAAGTCTAAGAAATGAGCAGTTAAAGTAAGGGAAAAAGAAAAGTAAAGTGAGAGGAAGAAAGAGAAGAAATAGATCAGGTTTCATTCCTGAAGGCAGGTAGTTCGTTTGCTGCCAGCCTTAGCTGAAAGTAGTAAAACTTCTGTCTCAGCCTGTGATGTCAATTGTGAAGAAAATAAAAACCTTATATAAAAATAATAGAAATATATTGCAAGTCATAACCAGAGTTTTAAAAATTTTTAAATCTTCATAGTCAACATCATCATTATTATTTAACAACAGTCTTGACATAGAATAATTTAATATTCTTACATTTCATTTCTGTTTATAATTTTAGCAATGTGTTACATATGAAGGCAGAAATTTATTCTATATGTTGCTTCTCAAACCTTAAAAATTATTTTTGTTTTTATTAATGAAGAAAATATAGCACATATCTAGTGAATAATAGAGTTGGATTTTGGACAGGTCTAGCTGAATCCTAAATTTCCATTTGTAGAAATAGATAAAAGTGGGATTAAAAACCCCTGAAATGATTTCATGCAGTAGCCCATATTTTAATATTTTAACTTTGGTTGTTCACATTAGGCATACTTCCTCATCAATCTCAAATATATACCATACAATTTATTTTTGAAAGCCTAAATCTAATCACTTATAATGGAGTTATTAGTGATTTGATGATTAATTATAAAAACATAATATATTATTAACATATTAGTAAACAACATTGTTTATTAATAAAGTAAAAAATCTTAATTTTTTAAGACTACACATATTTTCCAATAAATGTAATAGGATTGTATGATCTATAAGAAATTCTATACTTAACTGTAACAATCACTGTTCCTGATTTTTTTCTGAGACTGAAATGTTCCTATTTTCCAAGTTAATGAAAGGAAGTAAAGAACGACTATTCTTTGGTCTTAGTCTCAAGTTGTAGACAAGTAACCAAAAAATGGGTTATTAACCCTTTCCAGACAACCAGCAGCAGTGTTGCTCTGGAACTCATGCTTCTGAAAGTTAACCAGTCGCCAAACTCCACAATGAAAGCCAATACCAATACACTCCTATTTCCAAAAATCAGCCAATCCCTGAACTTTATGCATTCCTTGAACCCAATACGAGATTGGACCTTTGCTTTGTTTGAGAGAGTGCATTTTGCACTATGTGAACCTGCACTAAATTCATCTGTTTCAGATATAGTTAAATGGTGGTTTCTTCCCTCAATACCTCTTTAGTCTTTTGTTAGGTGAGTGATGACTTCCAACTATCTATGACTAGAGGTATTGGTAAGGGACAAATAACCAAGAATTTATCTAAAAACCTGGTGAAAACCTCCATCTCTCTTTGCCTCTTAGTTCTCATCCCTCTCCTAAGGAGACCCAGAAAGACTTGTGGGAAAATAACTGAATAGACTAATTACAACTAAACCACACAAACTACTAAATGTTAAATATTCTTCGCCCATCCCCTTTTTTATCATTTTTCTATTACCCACTGATAATGGGCTGACATTATATAAGATCCAAGAGAATGGAAGTTTCCCCCTAACTTCAAAAAAGAATTTGTTAAAAATATGATTTCTTTTATTACATAAAACACATAAAACTTATGTAAATAAACATTTGGTTATTGATTTAACACTAATTTCATAAAGCCATGCAATTGATCTAAATTGCAATTTATGTTACAGAATATCCTTCTGCTTTGTATAATTACTAATGAGAAATTCTGGAATGTCATTCTAGTACTTTCCACCATCGGAGTAGCCTGGCTCCTGCTTGATGGAGAGTGTCTGGTTCATTAACAGTGGTCTGTAATGAGTACTTCGACATTGTGATTGTTCCTCTAGGGCTGCAAAATTCCTGGACCTGAAGAGCTAGGATGCTGACAGCATTTGGCATTGTATAATACCGCAAAACCATGCCCAAATCAAAACTACTGAGTTAAAATTTTTCTTAAGAATGAGGGAGTGAGATTGTCAATCCTTGTTGATTCCTATGAGGGTCTAGAAATAGAGCAGGCAGCATGAAATAAAGGCGTAAGTCTTGGTTGGGGAGTTTCTTCTTCAAAGAATATCTCCCTATGAACTGTAAGCTCAATACATTTAAGCATTTTTGAGTAGATAATGATTTCTTCTATAAGATCATGCTTCTAGCATATATACAATAGTGACTAGGTAAGATAAACTGAATGCTAATGGACAGTGGTATGCTGATGTCCCCTTTATTAGCTCATCAGAGTACATCGTTACATTTTCGGGACTTTTGCTACCTGGCTCACATCACTTTGGTAGCTTGAACTCTGCCATGATTGGGAATATTTACACCACAAAAATGGGCAAGTACTGAAAATTAATGACCCCCCACCATATCCTTTGTATTTAATTTTAGTTGTCTTTATTGGAAGGTACATTATGACACCAGTTCTTCTTTAGGAGGTATAGCAAAGAGACAGAATTCATATTTCTTTGTGGAATAAGGGTAACAGTGGACAGTTGTGTTTTCTGACTAAGTTGAAGTAGAATTGCTTACAAACTTAAAAGTGAGGTTTAAATGATTTAATACTGATCTGGGCTGTTTTCCTTTTTCTCTTCTTTTTGTGACTGCATAAACTATAGGTTCATTGGTACTAGAAGTGAGGCTTTAATGACTACGTCTTGATGAACTCACTCTTTCCCTGCATACCCTAGAGTCTTGGTTACTGTTACTAAATGTGAAATTCTGGGTCCTTGAGCAAACAAAGGGTTCTAGTACTTCAATTAATATATTTTCAGCAGAGATTGTCTCTCTTTTTTTTGTAGGCTAATCTCCTAGGAATGGATTCTAGGACGGCATCAGCATTGCCATAATAAATACGCATTTTATGATTACATCATTTGTGTCCTGTGTGATTTCTGAAAACTTTGGAGCCAGATTCAGTCCAGCTAGAACAGCAATACCTGAAAGAAAAACATACTTTAGTACTCTGTGGGAGGGGGTTTATGAGATTATGGTGGAGCTGGTGGTGTGGGAAGGCACTGACAGTACTTTGGAAGATTCATCTCCACAGAAACGTGGTCGGTTATTGATCAATGTTAAATAAAGTTAAATGACCATTTGGATGACCAGGGTTACATTTTTAAGGCCCTCTTTTTTTTCCTTTTGATCAATTACTGTATTCTGAGAATTATATTTTCAGAATACTAGGAGTTATATGTTTGGGGTTTTATCTCATTCACCATTTTAGTTTTCCTTGTTAATATAGCACATTGGTGCCCACCTTTAACTGCACATGAGAATCACCTGTGGAACTTAAAAAACAAATCTTGAGGCTTGGCCCTATTCCAGAACAGTGAAATTTGAGATCCCTTGAGAACCAGTGTACTGCAACGTCAACTCTTAATGGGGTCAAGATGTCTTTAGTTTGTTTCGTCATTTAAAGGGTTAATTTTTAGAGTGTTTTTCTAGCTATCACATATTCATATGGTTCTCCTTTCTTGTGTGTATGTGAAATATTTTTTTATCAGATGACACCTACTGGATAAGCTGTTGTTTTGTCCAGGACATCAGTTTTATAAGTTGTAAATCTGATAAGCGGTTGTACGTACCTTGTTTCCCTTGACATAAAAAAGAACCTATTGAGACATCAGCACATCTGGGGAAAACATGCTTTTAATATTTAGGTTGTTATTATTCAATTCGAATAACAAGAGATCAAACTTGATGTGTATCTTTAAAAAATACAGATGAATCCTTGTGGGTAATAATGAATCTGATTTTGAGAAGAAGGCAAACTAGGCAGACAGCCTTAAGGAGTTTTCCTTATTGCCATTTTATCACATGAAAGGAACTTTGAGGATATTAAAGCTTGACTCTTGTCTATTGACCGCATAAGACATAGAGCTCCTGTTAAACACAAACCCGGGTGCTTTGTTTTCATTTTTGTCCTGTTGGTTTATGTAACAGTTTGTTGATTAAAAAAAAAAATCCTCAAGACATGAGGTAAAATGAATGCCATGCTCTGGCAACTGGTATATACCAAATCAGAGGCAAATTCACATGAGAAAAGTGCTCGACAAAAATATTTCATCTAAGATATTTTCCAGCTGAGTTGCCTTCATGTTCTGTTCCCACCACATTCTCTGAATTGCACGGTGGAAAAGCTGAGACATTTAACTTATGCTCTGAAAGTACTGAGAACTTGGGCATAGAAAACCAGGTCATTTTTTTTATTGCTGTCTTTCTGCAAGACTTTATTTTTTTAATACTGTTTATGCAAGGGAAGGACAAATTTAGGAAGAATTTACTTTCTTTAAGCACTGTCAACTACCCTAGTTATATATTCCCACGCTGTATAACTTTGTACCTTGTTGTTATTGACAAGTTACATAGAACAAATGAAAATAACCTTTGTAGCCCTGATTTGGGTTTATGTATTTTGGAAGTGTAACAATAAACTAAGCCTAATATTGTAGGTAAGAAAACATTTATTAATAGCATATGTGCCGAATCAAGAGACAAATGTATTTTATTGAGAACACATTGCCTGAATTTTGGCTGTTATCAATGTTGATTATTTATTTCATGCCAACAATGTGTGCAGGTCTCTACGGTAAACGTAAAGTTTCTTTCTTAAATGCTTTCCATCGAAATTACGTATACAATAATTCAGCAGGACAATCCAGGCATGAAATGAACATGTTCCTGAATTCCTCTGTGTTTATATATTCTGTCTTCCTTTCTAATTTGGATCATGAACCATTTGGCAAGAACCATGCTTAATCTTATCGGCACTTATAGAATAGTAAGTGAAGTACATCTCTGCCAATTTATTGAAGAATTCCATTAGGAGACACAAAGCAATTTTACCAAAGAGATTGTATAGGATTTGAAGAAATCTGGACAGTTTTGGAAAACGACTGACATAGAAGAGTGATTGCTCATTTATGAAATATTTATTGACGACCAGTGATATGTAAGTCATCCTGGTAGACTCTACCAGACTCTGATAGGGGATATATGTGTAGTTTGTACTCCTAAGGAGCTCAGAGTCAAGTAGAGGAAATATACAAATAACAATAAGCAAGACAGCCAGACTAAGGCTAAGATTTACACTTATATTAATTAGTTACGTGACAGTAGGGAGATCATGTAGCCTTTCTGGTACTCAGTTTCCACTTCTTTAAAATGAAGGTATGGACTACTTTGTCTCCAAAACACGGCTTTGTTTCCAGCTCTTAAATAAATATTATTAAAAAGTGGGCACATTTATGTGATATACATTTCAATGCACTGAAAACACAGTTATTCTTTAGTAAGAAGTTAGCATCAAAAGCTGATAAAAATTTAGTGCATCAGTAAGACTGGAAAAGGCTGGCACAAGGATCAGAAGATGTGAGTGTTGGTAGAAAATCTCTACTATGGTTTTCTCTTTTCCTTTTCCTGCTGTGATCTTCTCTCAGATCCTTTCCTGGCTCTCTCCTTATCCCTCAGTTCTCTGCAAACAGCTTGCTTCTTGAGAGAATGCTCCCCTGACCAATCTATTCCCCAAAGTCTCCCTACCCACCTCTCTTTATCCTCACACCTTGCTTAATTTTTCCTCTTAGCTCTTACTATTATTTGCCATTGAAATATGTATTAGTTTATATAGGTAATTACCTGCCTCTCCCATGAGGCTGTAGCTCTGTTATGAGAGAAATTTTATTTATGTGGTTCATTGCTGTTTCACCAGCGTGTAGAACAGTGTCTGGTACATTGGAGTGAGAGCACTTTATAAATACATGCTGACAAAGAAAGTAAACTTCTTTATAATGACTTCAATTTTGAATAATACCCCTTCCACTTTTTCTACGACATCTATTTACTCACAGAAGTACTCCACTAACTAAATAGCTTACTCATTTGTGCTAGGCTTTGTAAATAAGATTTCAGTTTCCTCTCTCCCTCTCTCCGTCTGTCCCTCCCTCTCTCCGTCTGTCCCTCCCTCCCTCCTTCCTTTCCTTCCTTCCTTCCTCCCTTCCTTCTTTCCTTTTCTCCTTTTCTATTTTCCTTGCTTTTGAATTGTGGAAAGGAATTTTGAGTTAAGTAATAAAGAATGTGGAGCCCTTACTTTTCCTTAAATATCAAACTAGAAACCTTACAAGATTGAATTTTCTCATGAGTTTTGTTATTTCCAGCCTTTATCAAAACAGATATAAGGAAGAATTTTTGCAGATTGTTTTCCATTTTATTTTTAGGACAACCTGAACTTAAATGAAGATAAAATATATATCAAATACCAAAATTATATTTTTGGACATTATAAATTATTTGCGTCTGCTCAGGTCAAGCCAACAGATTTTACTTTTATTTTTGATGAATTCAAAATAAAGCATCCGTACAGTGAAAGCTGAACTGTAGCTAAATTTGGTTCACATCATGAATCATTAGAATCCTGAGACAGTCACATTGTCATCTGCTACAAAGTCGATGAGAGCAGTTACATAGGATGAGTTAACTATAAGTAGAATCTCCTTGGAATTCTGTAGGTGAAAAATGGTTTGTCTCTTTTTTGGGAAAAAGCACAGTTAGATTGCTTATAGCAAACTTCCATTTCCTCTAAAAAACACAAAAGAAGTCTAAACCAAATAAGTTAGTAGCTTATTTTAACCTAAATTATAAATTTATTGAAAAACTTAAATTATTTGAATGGAGTTAGAAAAAAAGAGAAGCAATCATAGTCATTTCATAAAGCATGTGTTTCTAGCACAATATAACTGTCATTGATTTATAGCTTATATTTTTGTTATATTGAGTTATATTTGTGTTTTTGCTTTTTATCAATTGTCAGTAGTATACCAAATTTACTACCAACTACAAAGAAATATTTATAGACATAAATTCAGATGTTCACATTTTGATTTTATGAATTAATATAATTATAAAAGAAAATACCTTAAACAGACAGAAATATCAGTTTTCATCTTTGGACGTAGGCATATTCTAACCTGTACTACCCTACACATGTGTTGCTGGTCTCTGCTCAAGACAAAAAAGCCATGGACAAAAACACTTTGTGTAATTTGGTACCATTTGCTACTTGACCCACTATTGTTTTAATGTGGCTCCTGGCAACGCAAGGCTTTGATGGGCTTTGTTCATGCTACAACTGGCTGCTATTAACATGAGAGAAAATAAAGGATTCCTGTTTCAAAAAATATGGGCTTCTTAATATTCACAGGCACAAGAAAGTCAATCAATATATAATATTTGTTTTGATCAGCATTAAACTTAGATATCATCCTTTTCAAAGCTGAGCAAATTAAATATAAATCTAGGTAGGTAGGTTTACACAACCAGAGTAATCATGTTTGTGCCAGGCAGTGATTGCATTTGTGGCTCTGTTCATTTTAAAACCAACGCATGGTTGAATTATCAATGGGACATTGGCCTAGCCTAGAATTTACAAAAGGAAAATTTGGCTCAGTGCCTCCTGGTTGCAGCAAAGGCAGATTTTATCAGTTTTTGGACTATTGGTAAGCACAGTAGAACAAGAATACTAAATAAGCCCTTCATTTTACTAGCTAATCACATTTTGAAAATTTGTACTTATTTGGCTGAGACCAGAGCAGCTCGACTTTGCTGGATATAGGCTGAGCCTAGGTTATCACCTGGCATGGCTACAGATTCCTCTGTACCCATCTGGGATAGATTCATAAACAACCCTTCTCAAGACATCTGCCACACTCACCCTTTGAGTTCCAAAGCATCAGCTTTTTCAAAAGTAAAGTACATAGTAGTAATTTGATACAAATCCAATTTATGTAAATTCATGCTTGGGATCTATAAAGAGTGTATCTGGTTTATTGAGGAATTTCAACCAAGTGTATTATTAACATTTAAAAATCCTTCCTTCAAGCATACTGTTAAGAATCTTTCCATCTGAGTTGCAGAGTCCTTAGACAATCCTAGGCAAATCCCATAACTTTCTGGGCAAATTCAGTTTAGTTCAGTTAAAATTTTCAACTCATTGGCTGATGTGAATTGTATCTCCATCCCTTCTTCCAGAGCAGGGTTGGCCAGAAATAAGGATGAGGGTGGGGTCTGTTTTTCATTCTTCTCACTCCAGAATGTTGGAAAGAATTGTCTCATACCGTGTGTCTTGAATGTCTTCTTTTCCTCTTTTGGCTGGGTCTAGATCCTCTGGCCTTGTGGGAAGGATGAGGGGAAAGGGCAGGTGTCCCTTAACTGGTTTTCAGTAAGTCATCACTGCTTTCTGACTTTCATTTTAGTGTCCTAGCATGGCAGGCATCTGAAGACTGGCAGTGGTTGGATGGCAGGAGCTAACTTGGTAGGGTTCTTTCAGCTGATCCTATCAGTAAGCCTTGAAGGAGCCTGTGTGTGTTCCCAGTGGTTAGTGAGTCACTTTAAAATGTGGAGGTATTGAATACCCCCTTTGCCTTAGCTTTGAGTCCTAGTTGCTCATTTTGGCATTACAGGGAAAACCAACATCTGCTAAAAATATCAATAAAATCTCACTTTATGTTCAAAATTTGAAGTAAAGGCTCCTCTTGAATTAAAACAACAATAACAACAACAAAAAAACTTCTGCCAAAAATTCCACAATTCAAATCTGGTAGGTCAAGTAGACCAAGTATTGAAAACAACTGTATTTTCCTTATTTCCAAATAGAGGTGACATTTGAGCTATAAAGAGTCACACTCCTATCCTTTGTAATTTGTGAATTGTGTGCGTTGAATCAGGCAAGGTTTTCATTAATCCTGTACATAAAATGTGACCACTGTATGTTTCTCAAGCATCATAAAAATTAGGGTGCAACAGAAGCAATATATTCTAGACATTCAATTCCCTGCATCATTTTATATAACTAGATTCCAAAGAGCATTTCAAATACACTAATTCACAAGTGGTGTGGCTGTAATGATTCTCTGACTCTAGCTTCAAAATGAATACTGTTATTGGTATGAATACTGTTATTGGTATAAATGTTAATTATTATCCACATATTTATTTATATAGTAATTTAGAAGAGAATTATTAGTTGTACTTGCTTATGTTTTGCTTTTGCCCATGTCATTTCAGGACTTTGAATAAGAGAGAGAATTTGATAAAAAAAAATAGATAGACTTGAATGAGACTTATAAGAGCAGAATTATATGGGGATTAATACTTACCCATGAGTAGAATATTTAAAGGAAGTGGTAAAATACTGGTGTGTAAGGAGGTTAGGAAACTGGTGTAAGAAGAATAAAGGTGAACTAGTGTGACACATTGGTAGGAAGAAGAGAGGATATGTAAGTCATATATCATATATACGCAAACGTATATGTGCATTTGTATGAGTGTGTTTTTCTGTATTTCATATTTCTGATTGTATTATGATTACACGGAAAGACCAGGACAACAAATATGTGTGGTATAAAAGAGTGTAGATTGTACTCTTTTGCTCCCTCAGTGTGGGAATTTGACTCCTCAGACTCTGTATGTGGGAGAGACGTGGACCTGTAGCCTCCCTCACTTGTTTACCCGTTAACCAAGCACTTAGCTATTCCTGTCACCCAAGCAGTTTTCGTTCTCCATGCTAGGTCTTTACGATGCTAAGATGAAGTTAATTTAGAGGTCAATAAAGTATCACCAGCCAGTTCACTATAATTCCCCTTCTCTTTTGAAAAGGCTATTCTGGCTACAGCTTCAGTTTTTCCTAACCTCACTTCTTCTCTGAGCCTCAGAGATTCCTAGTGACTTTTGTTGCTTTATGCATTTCTAAGAATGGAAAACTGATCATCTCTGACTTTCGCACCCCTGAGACAAGCTCAGAGGCACTGTGGGATCTCTGGAGTGTGGCAGGGAGGGGTGTGGGCAGGACTGAGCTTTCATTGGCCTGGCACCAGGCTGTAGGGCCAACCCAAAGGAGGGCGTGCAGGAATCCAGTCAGTGTGCAAGGGACTGTGTCCACTGGGCTTGATTTGGTTTGGCATCAGTTTCAAAGTGCTCACAATAATCTTTATGGCTGGGTGGGGGCACTCTGCTTCCAAGGAGCCCAGCCAGGACTTGGAAAAGAAAACGCTGCAGTCCAGATTCCAAACCAATAAGACTGAAATGGGCCCAGGAAAGCAAGGATGATCCTAGGGGGCAGGAAAGGAAGGGGAGATATAGTCAGTGTTGGGGGACTGTAGTTCAAAGGCAGCACAAGTGTTTGGGATTTCCCCCAGGAGTTTCTCACACCAAATTCAGTTCACAAGGATTAATATCTCTAAACTCCACTTCCCTGCTGAGGAAGTGATGCCTAAAACACTACCAAGCTTTGCTGGAACAGTCACAGGGCAGAGCTAGGGGTAGCAGAGACCCCTTTGTTTTTGTTCACAGTCAGGCCGGAAGCATTTTTAGAGGGCGTAGTTTAGTTGTGTGTGTGTGTATGTGTGTGTGTGTGTATGTATGGTGTGTATGTAACTTAAAAACAAAGTTTTTAAGGTTTTACATGGGTATTCTAATAACGTATACAATGCTTTATGAAAGAGACTGGGATATGTGGGGAAGTTCCATGGCACTGAATCCAGATAAGAGATTTAACTCCTTAAAGATTGAAACTCAGTGCCTTTACATAGAAAGTGGGAGTGAATTCAGAAGCATTTTCTGGTGGCTTCTTTTTTCCTTTTTAAAGGATGGTTTATTCCTGCCTTACAAATTTTAAAAAGTTGCAGAGGTTTGAATCTGTATTTTATTTATAGTTGATATCTACAGTTTTATTCTGAAATGCTTTGGCTCAGAGCTTGGAAAGGGGAGGATTTACAATTAAAAAATATACAGGAGTGAAAGCTATAAAGAAAACTCATGACAAAGGCACAAGCATTTGCATTTCATGTGTGTAAATGCCTCATAAAGTAATGAAACCCTTTATGGTATTTCCCCATATGAAACAGAAGTTGAAAGTTTCTAATCTGTCTCTAACTCTGCATTCTACAAAAATTTCATAAGGAACTTTTGGGTTTCTCTAAAAAGAGATGGAAGTATCTCTTTGGATCAGTTGTAATAGGAGGGAAAAATTAGTTAATTCTCTCTGTAGTGGTTGAAAACTGGAGGTTGCTGTAAGGACAAATGCATGCGAGTGCCATGCCAGGGCTGCTTGCAGAGAAACTCATATGCTTGGGTTCAGTGTTTGGCCTCAGGCCAAAGGCTGCAACTAACAGGAAAGTGTCAGCATCTCAATATAATTGCATGTCCCGGAGCCTATTATTGCACTAATAAAAATGCTTTTCAATAAATCTGAAAAAGGAAGAGGAAAAAAAAAACCAGGAAGAAAGAAATTGCCTGAAATGTTTTATTATATTTAATAAAATTCTCATTAATGGAAAGAGTAGCTTTCTGCTAAATAAATGTGCTTTAATTTTATTTTCTGATTAATTTGATTTGAAGGAAAATGTTAGTAATACTTTTTTTTCCAGTGTACTTTCTTAAAATTAGAGTAAAAGGCAAGTAGATATCATTGTGGGTGAATGTTTTTTGAAGGAGAAAAGGAGGCAGGAGGACCAGGGAACCAGAAGCCTAAGGTTTGGTTGGTAATTATGTCACTGATGGATTAGTGACTGGGAAAATGATTTAACCTTTCCATCCGCATATGTAAAATGTTAGTTTCATGCCTACAAAAATCTTTGACATACTAAGAATGTCAAAGGTATTTGCCATGTATACTATTATTTAAAATGGATGCAGTAGAGAGTATATTTACTCACTGACAGCTATCTTGATCACACCCAGTAGCACATCTGAGATATTTTTCTCTTATGTGTTTTTCAGATCAATAATGAATATTTGAGACATACTTATTTAAAAAAAAGCCACCTGAGTTTTCTCATAGGAATAAGCCCTAATAATTTCAGTGTATAAATGCAATCTATAAAGATTTTTTCTCTTATGCTTTCTATAAAACAAAGAAACACAAAAAAGAGAAATAATGATAACTAAATTTGTTGTTCATTTACAATAGACAATGTTCACAGTCATAAAAAGAAGGACAGGAGTGGAAATCTTTTTATAGTAAGCTTCTACCACGAACCAGATGGTTATTTACATTACCTTTTTTCTTAATGTTTAGGAAAATTTCTGACACACAGTAGGTACTCAACAAATACTAATATTTATTGGATGAATGAATGCTTCTTGTTTCTTTTCTTATTCTCAAAATAACCTTATAAAGCAAACCTTATCTACATTTTACAGAAGAGAGTGATGTGGAAAAGTCTAAATATTTGATTATGACCAGACAATTAACAAACGGAAGAGCCAGAATTTGGGCACTAATTTGTCTGTCTGTCTGGAAAAAAAAAACAAACAAACCTGACATCATGAGATCACCTGCTCACTTTGGACTCAAAGGATCTGGTTAGTGCCTTCTGTGCAAAAGCTATTCCTGAATGAACGCATGAGATGAAGGGAGGTGTTGAATGCCTCTCCTTGGAGGAGAAGCTAGTTGGCTGGCCTGGCTTGTGTTGGTCTTTTGGGACAGTGCCGAGCCACAAGAGCATTTCTTACACACAGTCGTGGATATGAGGAGCTGATGTATGAGAAAATGTCCATCATGGAAGCAAGGAAGGCTCAGGTAGGTGCTGTGAGTTGGGAAGCCAGGGAGGATAAAAGGAGAGAAGAGCAGGTGAGAGTAACATGGTTTGAGAGATGCTGGAGGGAGGCAACTGCTGCCCATGGCTGAGTTTTCCTGTGCTGACTACTACTAGCTTTGGTAATTGGTTGGGGGAAATAACGTTTTGGCCACAGTCAGTGGAATGCTGTCTAAGCCCAGTCCATCCTTCCTTGCCCTGCTTTGTACTGCCGCAGCTGGAACCAGTAAACATTTCTTCTTAGCTACCTGGCACAAAGTTAAGCTTTGTTGGTAAGAGGAGTGGAAGGACACTGTAGGAGAAAGGAGTTTGCCTCAGTCCTTTCAGCGTGTTTTTTCCTTCTTGTTCCTGCGGTGTATGGGAGCCAGTACCCAGGGATGCTCACTATTCTGCTTGTTTTGCCAGCACTTCAGTGGGGCAGTGTACCCCAAAGGGTGGCTTCTGGGTCAGTGTTGCCCATAGCACTGTTGATCTGATGAGACTCCCAGAGAGTCTCATCAGTGTACTCCAGCAGCTTCTCAGTGAGTTTCAGCAACACCTTAGCAAGTGGTTTCCCAGCGAGTCTTGTTAGAACCTCAATGGGCAGCTTCCCAGAGAATCTTATTGTTGCCTCAGAGAGCAGCTGCCTAGTGAGTTTTTTGGGCACCCCAACAGGCTGCTTCCAGCTAGCTCCTCAGCCATCTGGTGAGGTCTGACTCTAAGCCTTGGGGACAGCTCTCTTTCAAGATGATTCCCTCTTTGGATACCTTGTCTTAGCCTGGATGTTGTAGCTGATTCATTATCTGCTTTTGCCATGTTCTTTAAACTTTTCTTACCCCTTTGTAGTTAATCCTCTGCTACAAGTTAATAATTCTTTATATTAAATTTTCTCGTTTAAATTACTGGTGTGGTTTCTGTTTCCCTGCTGGACCCTAATCAATACACCAGATTGCCCTCAAAAACAGAGCCTAAGGCAAAGACCTATTGAGAATTGTTTATTTGGGAATGTAATTTTAGAGAGCAGAAGATGAGGACAAGGGAGTGAAACAGGAAGAAGGAAAAGCCAAGGTAAGAGTGAGTTATCAAGTCACACCAAAGAGGAACAGGTTTGTCAATCCCATGGGGCCTTCTGAGAAACTATATAAGATATCTCAGAACCAACTGATAGGGGGAAGAAGAGAGGAAGCCTTGGCTTCCTTCCCTCATTGTCTAAGGGGTTCAGAGTGAAGGCCTGTCAGATTGCATTCATGTGAAAGTGGGTGAAGCCTGCGTAGAACTGTTGCTACCACAGTAGTTAGCATAAGAAGTGAAGCTGATAGAATGTGAACTGGAGCATAAGTGTTCGGTGCAATTACCAAAATAAGAAATGGATCTTTAAAAATCTTTTTTCAACTATCTCATCATAAAAATTTGGCTACAATATCAGGGTCAGAAAATTAATTTGGTAACTAAAAACTTGTGTGAACTGCAATTTGGTTTCTTCATTTAAGATGCCTAGATAAGGCAGGAATGACAGTAATGGGAGATGTCTTGTATAAAACAAGCAAGGAACTAGGAAGTATGCAGTAATGTATATCATCTGCTTATGATACATTACAACATGCTATTATTGAAATTTACTAAAGGGAAACATTATATCTTACTAGGGCAAGAGGCCCAATAGTTCAAGAAATGGCATTTTCTCTGCCAAAGCAAAGAGGTCATAGATAACTATGGCAAGGAAGAGGGAACATTGTCAGAAATTCAGGAAATATCAAGAGGTAAGTCAAGTTGCTAACAATTTAGGATGCAAGTTAAAGTAAGCATCTCAGGATTTTGTTATTCTGTAGGTCTGGGACTGTGGATATGATTCAAGAGCAAAAACTACAGGTGAATTCTGACACTGATAGGGAAGTTGTGGGGGAATAATAATACCCTATATTCTGTTGCCTTTTCCTATAAACACCTCCCTATTTCCTCACATCCACTGTTCACTTTCCATCTCGACTCAGTAGGAGAGGGGTGAAGTTAGTATCTCCCTTGTACTTCCTCCGTGCCCCTTCCTGACCTCATGCCTGTAAGTTTCTCCGATCCTCATTATTTGAAGCCTGTGGTATTTGTTTGTAAGACAGGCTTTAACTTATGATTTCCATTTTCTAACCTATGAGCAAAATTTACAAGGTTTGTAGTTATTCTAAAAATATTTATACTTTTTGATTTACAAATATCCAAAAGTATTTTTATTTTAGAAAAATATTTTTTAAAGATTTATCATTTTTGAATTCCAGGAAGCTAGAGGTTTGTGTGAATCATGGAGAAAGAATATACACATTTCTGCAGAATGGTGAAATTTCCAAATAATGTAATAGTTGGGGTGGAGGGAAATTAGAAACTAATTTTGGAGACAGTAACAAGAATCAACATTGATTGAGAGGTCAGGCTTTGTGAAAATGCCTTTTCATTTTATCTGCATAGGAATGCTACCAGAAAGGTGCCAAAGAAACTAAGTGCAAAGGGGGCACAGGTAACATGCTCTAAGTCAAATAGATCACCCTGTCCTGGACTCCTATGTCCACAATCTTTTCTTGCTTCTGTGAAATCCTGTTGCACATTTTATATGTAGTATGTTTTTGGCCCTGTTGATATCCAGACTATACTGTCAAAATGTTTGTAAGCTCAGCCTCTTCTGTTAAACACAAGGAACCTTTTTTAATATCACTAGCGCCTAGTGATGCTAAAAGGATGACGAGTTGTGTGTGGAATGGGGAGAAGAGGATAGATTTGGTGTATTGATGCCAATTCTGTCACCAGCTGGAAACTTCAGGAAAGTCACTTAAGCTTTCTAAGTCTCAGCATCCTTAATTTGTAAATGAGCATAATACAACCTATCTGACAGGGTTGTGAGATGCTGTAACTCAGCAGTCTCCAAAGTGTGTTCTTTGGCATACCAATCTCAAAAGATGCTCCTCAGCAAGAAAACTCCTTGGTTAAATTATTGTGTGAAATATAATATGCTACATAAGCCCTTTAATGAGTCATGGTTAAAGTCAGCACATTCAGGAATCTGGAATGTCAGGCAAGGAAGAAGGCTGTTTACCTTTTAACTGAGTGTTTCTCATACATATCTGATTGACCATTCTATTACCAAACAAATATTAACATAGGTAGAAGAAGCACTGAGAAACGTGGCTGAATGACAGTAACACTTTGTGCCTGTGTTATGGTATACAGATTTTAGGATTTCATCATTGCGTTGAAAAGATTGTATGGCCACTAGGAACAGATGGAAATTTATTCAAAAATGTTAAGTAAAAAAGCAGCCAGGTGTGGTGGCTCATGCCTGTAATCCTGGTACTTTGGGAAGCTGAGGCAGGAGGATCTCTTGAGCCCAGGAGTTCAAGACCAGGCTGGGCAACATGGGAAGACCATGTTTCTACAAAAAATAAAAAAGTTAGCTGGGTATGGTGGCATGTCTCTATAGTCCCAGCTACTTGGAAGGCTGGGGTGGGAGAAGATCACCTGAGCCTGGGAGGTCAAGGCTGCAACAGCAAAGTGCAGAAAACTTTCATTTGCATTAAAAAGAAAAGATATATTTTCCTGTATTGTATAAAAGATTTTGAGCAGGATACAATAAACTATTAGTAATGGCTTTCTCTATGACACTGTCTGGAATGGAAGGGACTCATATACAGATATTTTTAATCTTTTGTACTATTTCATTTTGTTACTCTAAACATATTACTTGGCTAAAAACACACCTTAATTTTTGATGACTTGTGATAGATTAAAACTTTAAGAAAGCTTTACTAGTGGTAACAATTTGTTAATTATTTCTGGGAAAAGGAATTTTATGATCAGCAGGCCCGTTTTTACACTTGTTATGTGAGTTTGCCAGTTTGGTAATGTGTATAATAGTTTTGTACCTTGTTATGTGCAAGCTTCAATAAAGATGTCGATCTTTTAATTTAGAAGTCCGTTTCCAGATCTCCTACACTACAGAAACCAGTGCTAGAGACTTAGTAGTACTGACCTGTAGAATTAAGTTTCCAGTTGATTATTTGATCCAAAATCAACTTAATATATAATGCTATCTTCGAGACTCTTAAAATAATTTGCAAAAATGTTAGTAGTTGTACAAGATTTGCTATTTCCTGGCTTAAGAAGTTGAAATTACATTCAGGCTTAGAGGCTCACCAGGAAGATCACTCTGTGTAACTTCATACAGCTTCAAATCCAAAAGATTCAAAGTTTTACAAAATACATCCTATATATCAATTTCTTACAAGACGGAAGAGGTGGATTTGGATGTGCAGTGATCGATAATATAAACAGGAAAGAAAGAAAAAGCTTCTGTTCCTATTCACAACATAAGGAATGTAATTTGCAGTGTATTTCCAGTACATGAGATACTTAAAGCACATTTGGCAACACTTAGCAGTAAGTGGCAAATCATTGTTATGTCTTTCAGTACCCTACACACCCTCATCCTTCCGGTGTTGGGGCATTAGAACAGTTCTGTGGCTATATCTGTTCTGTAGGTCTTGCCAGTGTTTTGATTTGAATTTTGCCTTAAATCAACTGATCTGTTTTTAAAAACTTGTGCCTTGGGCATAAATGGAAGCTGCTAGTTTCATCTCTAGTAGGGGAAAAAAAGACACAAAAATGGCCTCTTGTTTTACAAGTATCTATCCATCCTTCCTTGGCCCAGCTCTTTGGTCTGATCTCCATTACTGATTTCCCAGTGGGCTCCACCCTCTGATCTCTAGCTAGAAAATTCACCATTTCTTAGTGGAGTGGATTTCCTGTTTGATATTCATCTAAAAATAAAGTCAGAAGGAAAGAAAGGAGAGGAAGTTAAGAAAGGTCAAAAAGAATACTCTTGGGGATATTTCTTGTTCCCAGAAGTGGCAGATTAGCATTTAAACCAACAATGGAGAAATCAGAACAGCAATTTCTTCAGGTACCTTTCTGTCTTCTTTCTTGTTCTTTTCCCAGTGCCTACAATTTGAGAACTTGTAGGCAACAAACAATGTTTTTTACCAACTTCAAACCATCACCACCCAAGAACAATGTGCTAAAAGCACCAAGTGGGAATATCAGTGATCAGTAAAAGAAAGTTTGTAGTTGGAAACAATTTGTTTTTTATTCCCTACATATGTGAACATTTGCTGAACAATTATACATCTCCATATTACAATAATGATTGTATTATTGTACAGTTATTGATATTAAACAATTTAAATAATTGAAAAGCAGAGATATGATACAGATAACCTTTATTAATTTGTTTTGCCATGTGTCAGGCACTGTTGGAAGCATTTTACACTTAACCATAATGTCAGCCCAATGAGATAGGTACTCTTAATATTACTTCCAGTTTAGAAGAGGAAAATGAGACAAAGGGAGGTCAAATAACTTGTCCACAGTCTCTCAGTTAGTGAGTGGTAGGCTAGGACTGGGTCCCATGCAATCTAGTTCTAGAACTAGTGCTGTTAACCATTATACAGCACAACATACCCTCTTCATGGGTTTAAAGAATTACAGGCATAACGCAGTATTATTTTAAATAAAATTTGCATATTTCTCATTAATTTTATATATTGTACCACATAATCTTAGAATAAAAAGAATTTAGCAGGAGGTTGCTGATAAAGGCTAATATTAATTGAGTGCCTGCTAAGTGCCAGGCTATTAATGTGCATGAAGAGGTGAGAATGGTTACTTTCCACATCCATTTGGATGCTTTGGTTGGCTTGAGGATGAGGGCACTTTCTCCATAAAGGGCTAGATGGTAAATATTTTAGGCTTTGTGGGCTGCATATGTTTTGTTCCTCCTCCTCCTCCTCCCGCTCCTCCTCCTCCCCCCCTCCTCTTCCCCACCTCTTCCTCCTCCTCCTCCTTCTCCTTCATCTTTTGCTCTTCCTATACCTTCTTTCATTTTCTTAAATTGTAGTAAAATACACATAAAATTCACCATCTTAACTATTTTTAAATATGCAGTTCAGTGGTACAAAATACATTCAAAATGTTATATAACCATCACCACTATCCATCTTCATAAGTCTTTTCATCTTGTAAAATTGAAACTCCATACCCATTAAACAATACTTCCCTTTTCCCTCATCTCCAAGACCCTGGAAACTACCATTCTATTTTCTGTCTCTATAACTCATTATTCTAAGGACCTCATATAAGTGGAATCATAAAGTATATTTCTTTTTGTGACTGGCTTATTTCACTTATCGTAATGTCCTCGAGGTTCATCTAGGCTGTAGCATAAGTCAGAATTTCATTACAGGGCTGAATAATATTCCATTTTACTTATAGATCACAGTTTGCTTACTCATTCATCTGTCCATGAACAGTTGGGCTGCTTCCACATGTTAGCTATAGTGAATAACACTGCTACTAACATAGGTGTACAAATATCTCTTCAAGACCTTGTTTTCAGTTCTTTTCAGTATATACCCAGAAGACGAATTTCTGGATCACATAGTAATTCTATTTTTAATTTTTTGAGGAACTGCCACACTGTTTCCCATAGCATCTGTAACATTTTATGTTCCTTTCAATGGTGCATGAGGGTTACGCTTTTTCTAAGACCTTGCCAATTATTGTTTTTTTTTTCTTTTTGATAATAGACTTCCTAATGAGTATGAATTGGTAATTCATTGTAGTTTTCATTTGCATTTCTCTAATGATGAGTGATGTTGAGTATCTTTTCATGTGCTTATTGACCATTTCATGTCTTTTTTTTTTTTTGAGAAATGCCTCTTCAAGTCCTTTGTCCATTTTTGAATCAGGGTTTTTTGTTGTTGTTGAGTTTAAGGATGTCTCTATATACTCTGGATATTAGCCCCTTATCATATATATGATTTGCAACTATTTTCTCCCATTTTGTGGTTTTCTTTTTTACTCTGTTGATATTGTCTTTTGATGCACAAAAATTTTAAATTTCAATGAAGTTAAGTTTGTCCATTGTTGTTTTTGTTGTCTGTGACTTTGGTGTCATATCCAAGAAATTGCTGTCAAATCCAGTGTTATAAAGCTTTTGCTCAGTTTTCTTCTAAGAATTTTCTAGCTTTAGGCCTTACATTTAGGTATTTGATCTATTTTAAGTTAATCTGGCTAACTAACCACAAGTAAATACAGTGTTAGGAGAGATCCAACTTCATTTTTTGCATGTGGATATCCAGTTTTATAAGCACTATTTGTGAAAAAACTGTCTTCCCTCTATTGAATGATCTTGTCACCTTTATATTTATAGGGTCTCATATATATAGCATTTGACTCATATATAATAAGAGTTTATTTCTGGGCTCTCTATTTTATTCTATTCTATTCATTTATATGTTTGTTTTTATGCCAGTACCACACTGTTTAGATTACTATAGTTTTGTAGTAAGTTTTGAAACCAGGACATGAGCGTGAGTCCTCAAGCTTTGTTCTTCTTTTAGAAGATTGTTTTGGCTATTCAAGGCCCTCTGAGATTCCACATGAATTTTAGAAAAGAGTTTTCTAATTCTGCAAAAATATCAGTGAAATTTTGATAGGGATTACATTGAATCTGTAGATTGCTTGGGTAGTATTGATAGCTTAACAATATTGTCCTCTGCCCCATGAACATGGCATGTATTTCCATTTATTTATGTCTTCTCTAATTTTTTAAGCAATATTTTGTAGTTTTTATTGTAAAAGTCTTTCACTTCATTGGTTAAATTAATTCCCAAGTATTTTACTCTTTTTGAAGCTATTGTAAATGGAATTTAAAAAATAATTTTCTTTTCAGATTATTTCTTGTTAGTATATAGAAATGCAACTGATTTTCATGTATTGACCTCGTATTCTTCTTTTCTGTATTCATTTATTCTGACAGCATTTTTGGGGGTGTGGAATTTTTATGGTTTTGTAAATATAAGATCACATGATGTGTCTTCAAAAAGTTCATAGAAAATGCACATGATGGAAAAACTACGCATGGTTTTCAAAATACTTTTCCACCAAAATAAACTACCTTGTTATAATGTGCCTGAACAGGCTCTAGTCTGAGGTGCTAAGGGGATAAGATAAATTTGTAAAAAGCTCCTATCAGAGCAACATGAATGCTGCTGAAATTGAAGCAAGAATAAATGTCAAATTTATGGTGAAACTTGGTTGGAAGAATGGTGAAATCACTGATGCTTTAGAAAAGTTTACAGGAACGGTGTCCCAAGGAAATTAGCAATTTACAAATGAACAACTAGTTTGAAGAAGAGACAAAATGATGTTCAAGAAGAAGCCTTCAGCGGCAGACCATCCACACCAATTTATGAGAAAAACAATTCATCTTGCCTTTGCCCTAATTGAAGAGGATACAGCAATAGCCAACTCCATGGAAATCTCAGTTGGTTCAGCTTACACAATTCTGACCCCCAAAATTATAGGTGAGCAACTTTCCACTTAATGGGTACCAAAACTGTTGCACTCAGATCAGCTGCAGACAAAAGCAGAGCTTTCAATGGAAATTTAAAATGTGTGGGATCAAGGTCTTGAAGGATTCCTTCAAATAATTATAACAGGAGGTGAAACATGACTTTCCCAGTATGATCCTGAAGACATAGCACAATCAAAACAATGACTTTCAAGAAATGGAAGTGATCCAGTTAAGGCAAAAGCAGGTCAGTCAAGAGCGAGGGCCATGACAATGTTTTTTGGGACTGTTTAAGGAATTTTGCTTGTTGACTTTCTGGAGGGTCAAAGAACAATAACATCTGCTTATTTTGAGAGTTTTTTTGGATAAGGTTAGCCAAAGATTAAGCAGAGAAACACCCAGGAAATCTTTATCAGAGAGTCCTTCATCATCACAACAATGCTTCTACTCATTCTTCTTATCAAACAAGGACAATTTTGTGAGAGTTTTGATAGGAAATCATGAGGCATCCACCTGACAGTCCTGATTTGGCCCCTTCTGACTTCTTTTTATGTCTTATTATTAATAAATCTTTAAAAGGCCTTTACTTTTCTCTAGTTAATAGTTGAAAAATGAAGGCATTTACATGGTTAAATTCCTTGGGCCCTCAGTGATATAAGGATGGACTAAATGGCTATTATTATCATTTACAAAAGTGACTTTTATTTGGTGGAGTTTATGTTGAGAAATACAGTTTATATTCCTTATTTTTATCTTTTAATTTCATTTTTTTTCCATGTGCTCTAAAAAGTCCTGTAGTACCATCTGTGGGCAGAGATAATCTCACTTCTTAATTTTTCCATTTGTATGTCTTTTATTTTATTTTCTTACCTAATTGCTCTGGCTGGAACTTTCAGTACTATGTTGGATAGAAGTGGTGAAGTTGAACATCTTTGCCTTGTTGCAGATCTTAGAGGAAAATCTTTCATTTTTTCACCATTGAGTATGATGTTTTTTGTGGAGTTTTCATACATAGCTTTCATTAGGTTTCATACATAGTTTTTATTATGTTTATTAATTTTCTTCTATTCCTAGTTTATTATTTTTATCATGAAATGCTGTTGAATTTTGTCAAATTCTTTTTCTGTATCAATTGAAATGATCATTTTTTCTTCATTTTGTTAATGTGATGTAGTATATTGATTGATTTTAGTATGTTGAACCATCCTTGCATCCCAGGAATAAATCCCACTTGGCATGACATATAATCCTTTTAACATGCTGCTGAATTCAGTTTGAACATATTTTGTTGAGAAGTTTTGCATCAGTGTTCATAAGGGATATTAGTCTACAGTGTTGTAGTCTCTTGGTCTGACTTTGGTATCAAAGTAATGCTGGCCTCATGAAATTAGTTAGGAAGTGTTCCTTCCTCTTCAGTTTTGTGGAATCCCCCAATTCTTCTTCCTTCCCACTTCCTTTTTGTGTCCTGATTGCAAATGACAGGGAACCTGGACCACTTTGTGATCCACACAGCTTCAGGTTTTCTCCAGCAGGCTTGAATACAACCAGAAGCCTAGAGTATTCCTAGGCACTAATAGAAGTATCTAGGATGTTGCCAAAAACACTGAAAGAAGCTAGTCTTGACCCTGAGCCAAATTCCTTAAACCCTCATATAAACTCCATATCCTGATCTCCATGCTTTGGACATATACTCAAGTAGAATACCCCTTTCCTCTCACTGTCTGCAGTGAAGATTGCTGCAGCTCTCTGTACATAAGTTCCCCTAATAAATGCTTTGAATTTATCAGCCTGGCATTTAATGCTTCTTTCTTTAGAATTCCAACTGGCCAAATTTTGGGGTGATCTGAGGCATGCCCTTGTGAGAACTTCCCCATCCTTGATTTTGGGGGAAATTCTAGTTGTTGATTGAGGGGGAAAATTTTTTGGACAAGTTTGAGAAGAGCTGGTATTAGTTTTTTAAAAAATGTTTGGTAGAATTCACTACTGTAAACATCAGGTTCAGGGTTTTTCTTTGTCAGGAGATTTTTGATTACTAATTCAATTTCCTTAGTAGTTACAGGTCTATTTATATGTTTTATTTCTTCATAATTTAGTCTTAGTAGGTTTTGTGTTGCCAGGAATTGGTCCATTTCATCTAGGTTATCCAATTTCCTGATGTACAGTTGTTTATAGTACTTTCTTATAAATCCTTTTTACTTTTGTAGAGTTGGTATTAACATTTACACTTTCATTTCTGGTTTTAGTAATTTGATCCTTCTCTCTTTTTCTTAGTCTATCTTTTTATATCTTTTCAAATAATCAACTTTTGGTTTCATTGGTTTTCTCTATTTTTTTTCTATTATCTATTTTAATTATCTCCGATCTAATCTTTTTTATTTTCTTCCTTTTGCTAGGTTTGAGCTTAGTTTGTTCGTCTTTTTCTAGTTTCTTTTTTTTTAAATTTTTTTTTATTATACTATAAGTTTTAGGGTACATGTGCACATTGCGCAGGTTAGTTACATATGTATACATGTGCCATGCTGGTGTGCTGCACCCACTAACTTGTCATCTAGCATTAGGTATATCTCCCAATGCTATCCCTCCCCCCCCCCACCCACCCCACAACAGTCCCCAGAGTGTGATGTTCCCCTTCCTGTGTCCATGTGATCTCATTGTTCAATTCCCACCTATGAGTGAGAATATGCGGTGTTTGGTTTTTTGTTCTTGCCATAGTTTACTGAGAATGATGATTTCCAATTTCATCCATGTCCCTACAAAGGACATGAACTGATCACTTTTTATGGCTGCATAGTATTCCATGGTGTATATGTGCCACATTTTCTTAATCCAGTCTATCATTGTTGGACATTTGGGTTGGTTCCAAGTCTTTGCTATTGTGAATAATGCCGCAATAAACATACGTGTGCATGTGTCTTTATAGCAGCATGATTTATAGTCCTTTGGGTATATACCCAGTAATGGGATGGCTGGGTCAAATGGTATTTCTAGTTCTAGATCCCTGAGGAATCGCCACACTGACTTCCACAATGGTTGAACTAGTTTACAGTACTAGTTTACAGTCCCTCCAACAGTGTAAAAGTGTTCCTATTTCTCCACATCCTCTCCAGCACCTGTTGTTTCCTGAATTTTTAATGATAGCCATTCTAACTGGTGTGAGATGGTATCTCACTGTGGTTTTGATTTGCATTTCTCTGATGGCCAGTGATGGTGAGCATTTTTTCATGTGTTTTTTGGCTGCATAAATGCCTTCTTTTGAGAAGTGTCTATTCATGTCCTTTGCCCACTTTTTGATGGGGTTGTTTGTTTTTTTCTTGTAAATTTGTTTGAGTTCATTGTAGATTCTGGATATCAGCCCTTTGTCAGATGAGTAGGTTGTGAAAATTTTCTCCCATTTTGTAGGTTGCCTGTTCACTCTGATGGTAGTTTCTTTTGCTGTACAGAAGCTCTTTAGTTTAATTAGATCCCATTTGTCAATTTTGTCTTTTGTTGCCATTGCTTTTGGTGTTTTAGACATGAAGTCCTTGCCCATGCCTATGTCCTGAATGGTAATGCCTAGGTTTTCTTCTAGGGTTTCTGTGGTTTTAGGTCTAACGTTTAAGTCTTTAATCCATCTTGAATTGATTTTTGTATAAGGTGTAAGGAAGGGATCCAGTTTCAGCTTTCTACATATGGCTAGCCAGTTTTCCCAGCACCATTTATTAAATAGGGAATCCTTTCCCTACTGCTTGTTTTTCTCAGGTTTGTCAAAGATCAGATAGTTGTAGATATGCGGCGTTATTTCTGAGGGCTCTGATCTGTTCCATTGATCTATATCTCTGTTTTGGTACCAGTACCATGCTGTTTTGGTTACTGTAGCCTTGTAGTATAGTTTGAAGTCAGGTAGTGTGATGCCTCCAGCTTTGTTCTTTTGGCTTAGGATTGACTTGGCGATGCAGGCTCTTTTTTGGTTCCACATGAACTTTAAAGTAGTTTTTTCCAATTCTGTGAAGAAAGTCATTGGTAGCTTGATGGGGATGGCATTGAATCTGTAAATTACCTTGGGCAGTATGGCCATTTTCACGATATTGATTCTTCCTACCCATGAGCATGGAATGTTCTTCCATTTGTTTGTATCCTCTTTTATTTCCTTGAGCAGTGGTTTGTAGTTCTCCTTGAAGAGGTCCTTCACATCCCTTGTAAGTTGGATTCCTAGGTATTTTATTCTCTTTGAAGCAATTGTGAATGGGAGTTCACTCATGATTTGGCTCTCTGTTTGTCTGTTGTTGGTGTATAGGAATGCTTGTGATTTTTGTACATTGATTTTGTATCCTGAGACTTTGCTGAAGTTGCTTATCAGCTTAAGGAGATTTTGGGCTGAGACAATGGGGTTTTCTAGATATACAATCATGTCGTCTGCAAACAGGGACAATTTGACTTCCTCTTTTCCTAATTGAATACCCTTTACTTCCTTCTCCCGCCTAATTGCCCTGGCCAGCACTTCCAACACTACGTTGAATAGGAGTGGTGAGAGAGGGCATCCCTGTCTTGTGCCAGTTTTCAAAGGGAATGCTTCCAGTTTTTGCCCATTCAGTATGATATTGGCTGTGGGTTTGTCATAGATAGCTCTTGTTATTTTGAAATATGTCCCATCAATAGCTAATTTATTGAGATTTTTTAGCATGAAGGGTTGTTGAATTTTGTCAAAGGCCTTTTCTGCATCTATTGAGATAATCATGTGGTTTTTGTCTTTGGCTCTGTTTATATGCTGGATTACATGTATTGATTTGCGTATATTGAACCAGCCTTGCATCCCAGGGATGAAGCCCACTTGATCATGGTGGATAAGCTTTTGGATGTGCTGCTGGATTCAGTTTGCCAGTATTTTATTGAGGATTTTTGCATCAATGTTCATCAAGGATATTGGTCTAAAATTCTCTTTTTTGGTTGTGTCTCTGCCCGGCTTTGGTATCAGAATGATGCTGGCCTCATAAAATGAGTTAGGGAGGATTCCCTCTTTTTCTATTGATTGGAATAGTTTCAGAAGGAATTGTACCAGTTCCTCCTTGTACCTCTGGTAGAATTCGGCTGTGAATCCATCTGGTCCTGGACTCTTTTTTGTTGGTAAGCTATTGATTATTGCCACAATTTCAGCTCCTGTTATTGGTCTATTCAGAGATTCAACTTCTTCCTTGTTTAGTCTTGGGAGAGTGTATGTGTCGAGGAATTTAACCATTTCTTCTAGATTTTCTAGTTTATTTGCGTAGAGGTGTTTGTAGTATTCTCTGATGGTAGTTTGTATTTCTGTGGGATTGGTGGTGATATCCCCTTTATCATTTTTTATTGCATCTATTTGATTCTTCTCTCTTTTTGTCTTTATTAGTCTTGCTAGTGGTCTATCAATTTTGTTGATCCTTTCAAAAAAACAGCTCCTGGATTCATTAACTTTTTGAAGGGTTTTTTGTGTCTCTATTTCCTTCAGTTCTGCTCTGATTTTAGTTATTTCTTGCCTTCTGCTCGCTTTTGAATGTGTTTGCTCTTGCTTTTCTAGTTCTTTTAATTGTGATGTCAATTTTGGATCTTTCCTGCTTTCTCTTGTGGGCATTTAGTGCTATAAATTTCCCTCTACACACTGCTTTGAATGCGTCCCAGAGATTCTGGTATGTTGTGTCTTTGTTCTCGTTGGTTTCAAAGAACATCTTTATTTCTGCCTTCATTTTGTTATGTACCCAGTAGTCATTCAGGAGCAGGTTGTTCAGTTTCCATGTAGTTGAGCGGTTTTGAGTGAGATTCTTTATCCTGAGTTCTAGTCTGATTGCACTGTGGTCTGAGAGATAGTTTGTTATAATTTCTGTTCTTTTACATTTGCTGAGGAGAGCTTTACTTCCAAGTAAGTGGTCAATTTTGGAATAGGTGTGGTGTGGTGCTGAAAAAAATGTATATTCTGTTGATTTGGGGTGGAGAGTTCTGTAGATGTCTATTAGGTCCGCTTGGTGCAGAGCTGAGTTCAATTCCTGGGTATCCTTGTTGACTTTCTGTCTTGTTGATCTGTCTAATGTTGACAGTGGGGTGTTAAAGTCTCCCATTATTAATGTGTGGGAGTCTAAGTATATTTGTAGGTCACTCAGGACTTGCTTTATGAATCTTCGTGCTCCTGTATTGGGTGCATATATATTTAGGATAGTTAGCTCTTCTTGTTGAATTGATCCCTTTACCATTATGTAATGGCCTTCTTTGTCTCTTTTGATCTTTGTTGGTTTAAATTCTGTTTTATCAGAGACTAGGATTGCAACCCCTGCCTTTTTTTGTTGTCCATTTGCTTGGTAGATCTTCCTCCATCCCTTTATTTTGAGCGTATGTGTGTCTCTGCACGTGAGATGGGCTTCCTGAATACAGCACACTGATGGGTCTTGACTCTTTATCCAATTTGCCAGTCTGTGTCTTTTAATTGGAGCATTTAGTCCATTTACATTTAAAATTAATAGTGTTATGTGTGAATTTGATCCTGTCATTATGATGTTAGCTGGTTATTTTGCTCGTTAGTTGATGCAGTTTCTTCCTAGTCTTGATGGTCTTTACATTTTGGCATGATTTTGCAGCGGCTGGTACCGGTTGTTCCTTTCCATGTTTAGCGCTTCCTTCAGGAGCTCTTTTAGGGCAGGCCTGGTGGTGACAAAAACTCTCAGCATTTGCTTGTCTGTAAAGTATTTTATTTCTCCTTCACTTATGAAGCTTAGTTTGGCTGGATATGAAATTCTGGGTTGAAAATTCTTTTCTTTAAGAATGTTGAATATTGGCCCCCACTCTCTTCTGGCTTGTAGGGTTTCTGCCGAGAGATCCACTGTTAGTCTGATGGGCTTCCCTTTGAGGGTAACCCGAACTTTCTCTCTGGCTGCCTTTAACATTTTTTCCTTCATTTCAACTTTGGTGAATCTGACAATTATGTGTCTTGGAGTTGCTCTTCTCGAGGAGTATCTTTGTGGCGCTCTCTGTATTTCCTGAATCTGAACGTTGGCCTGCCTTGCTAGATTGGGGAAATTCTCCTGGATAATATCCTGCAGAGTGTTTTCCAACTTGGTTCCATTCTCCCCATCACTTTCAGGTACACCAATCAGACGTAGATTTGGTCTTTTCACATAGTCCCATATTTCTTGGAGGCTTTGCTCGTTTCTTTTTATTCTTTTTTCTCTAAACTTTCCTTCTCACTTCATTTCATTCATTTCCTCTTCCATTGCTGATACCCTTTCTTCCAGTTGATCGCATCGGCTCCTGAGGCTTCTGCATTCTTCATGTAGTTCTCGAGTCTTGGTTTTCAGCTCCATCAGCTCCTTTAAGCACTTCTCTGTATTGGTTATTCTAGTTATACATTCTTCTAAATTTTTTTCAAAGTTTTCAACTTCTTTGCCTTTGGTTTGAATGTCCTCCCATAGCTCAGAGTAATTTGATCGTCTGAAGCCTTCTTCTCTCAGCTCGTCAAAGTCATTCTCTGTCCAGCTTTGTTCTGCTGCTGGTGAGGAGCTGCGTTCCTTTGGAGGAGGAGAGGCGCTCTGATTTTTAGAGTTTCCATTTCTTCTGTTCTGTTTTTTCCCCATCTTTGTGGTTTTATCTACTTTTGGTCTTTGATGATGGTGATGTACAGATGGGTTTTTGGTTTGGATGTCCTTTCTGTTTGTTAGTTTTCCTTCTAACAGACAGGACCCTCAGCTGCAGGTCTGTTGGAGTACCCTGCAGTGTGAGGTGTCAGTGTGCCCCTGCTGGAGGGTGCCTCCCAGTTAGGCTGCTCAGGGGTCAGGGGTCAGGGACCCACTTGAGGAGGCAGTCTGCCCGTTCTCAGATCTCCAGCTGCGTACTGGGAGAACCCCTGCTCTCTTCAAAGCTGTCAGACAGGGACATTTAAGTCTGCAGAGGTTACTGCTGTCTTTTTGTTTGTCTGTGCCCTGCCCCCAGAGGTGGAGCCTACAGAGGCAGGCAGGCCTCCTTGAGCTGTGGTGGGCTCCACCCAGTTCGAGCTTCCCGGCTGCTTTGTTTACCTCAGCAAGCCTGGGCAATGGCGGGCGCCCCTCCCCCAGCCTCGCTGCCGCCTTGCAGTTTGATCTCAGACTGCTGTGCTAGCAATCAGCGAGACTCCGTGGGCTAGGACCCTCCGAGCCAGGTGCAGGATATAATCTCATTGTGCGCCGCTTTTTTAAGTCCGTTGGAAAAGCGCAGTATTCGGGTGGGAGTGACCCGATTTTCCAGGTGCCGTCCATCACCCCTTTCTTTGACTCGGAAAGGGAACTCCCTGACCCCTTGCGCTTCCCGAGTGAGGCAATGCCTCGCCCTGCTTCGGCTCCGGCACGGTGCGCGCACCCACTGACCTGCGCCCACTGTTTGGCACTCCCTAGCGAGATGAACCCGATACCTCAGATGGAAATGCAGAAATCACCTGTCTTCTGCGTCGCTCAGGCTGGGAGCTGTAGATTGGAGCGGTTCCTATTCTGCCATCTTGGCTCCTCCCTATACTATCTTCTAGTTTCTTAAGTTGTAAAGGTAGGTTGTTTATTTGAAATCTTTGTTTTTTCAAATACAAGCATTTATAGGTATAAATTTTTCCCTCAGCACCACTTTTGCTGTAAATTTTGATGTAAGGTTTTTGTTTTTGCCATCTCTAGGTATTTTCTAATTTCCCTTCTGATTTCTTCTTTGATCCATTCTTGTTTAATAATGATTAACAACAATATTATGAGTTGAGTGCATTGTTTAATATCCAAAAATTTATGAATTTTTCTGTTTTACTTTTTATTGATTTCTAAGATTATCCTGCTGTGGTTGGAGAAGATTCTTTGTATATTATCAACCTTTAAAATATATTGAATCTTGGGCCAGGCACAGTGGCTCATGCCTGTAATCCCAGCACTTTGGGAGGCCAAGGTGGGCAGATCACCTGAGGTTGGGAGTTTGAGACCAGCCTGGCCAACATGAGGAAACACCGTCTCTACTAAAAATACAAAAATTAGCCAGGCAGGGTGGCAGGTGCCTGTAATCCCAGCTACGTGGGAGGCTGAGGCAGGTGAATTACTTGAACCCAGGAGGCGGAGGTTGCAGTGAGCTGAGTTTGCACCATTGCACTCCAGCCTGGGTAACAGAGTAAGACTCCATCTCAAGAAAAAAGAATTTTTTATATATATATATATGTATATATACATACACACACACACACACATATATGTATATATAAACTTAATTTGTGGCTTAACATATGGTCTATCCCAGAAAATGTTCCAGGTGCACTTGAGAAAAATGTGTATATTGTGGTTGTTGAGTGGAGTGTTCTGCATCTGTCTATTACATCTAGTTGGCTTATTTTATTGTTTAAGTTATTTCTTTTATTTACTTTTTTTCCTGGTTGTTCTATCCAGTCTTGAGAGTAAGTTATTAAAATATGTAGAACTTTATATCTCTCCTTTAAATTCTGTCAGTTTTTGCATCATATATTTTGAAAGCCTGTTATTAGGTGCATAAATGTTTATAATTGTTATATTTTCTTATTGTATTAAAACTTTTATTAATATATAATATTTTTGCTTTGTCTCATTTTGTCTATTTTGTCCAATATTAACATGGCCACATTTAGTCTCTTTTAGTTACTAGTTATATGAAGTATCTTTTCCCATCCTTTCACTTTCAGTCTCTTTTGTCTTAAGATCTAAAACGAGTGAGTCTTTTATAAACAGCATATAGTTTGATCATAAAAGTTTAGAAATTCTGTCAATCTGTCTTTTGTACGAAGAGTTTAATACATTTACATTTAACATTATTACTAATTAGAAGGGACTTATTTCTGTCATTTTGCTATTTGTTTTCACCATGCCATATATGTTTGTATCATATATTTCTGTCATTTGTTATATGTTTTCTACATGCCTTTTGGTTTTGTCCCTCACTTCCTGCATTATTGTCTTCTTTTCTGTTTAATTTTTTTTGTAGTAAAACATTTAAATTCTTATGTTTAAATTATTCTCTCATTTTCTTTTGTATATTCTGTATTTATTTCCTTCATGATTAACTTGGGGATTACATTTAATAGACTAAAGTTGTGATAGTCTAATTTGAATTTATATCAGTTTAACTTCATTCATATACAAAAACTCTGCTTCTTTACCACTCATGTTTCCCTCCCTTTTAGTTCTTGTCACCAAATTATATCTTTATACATTGTGTGCTCCAAAACATAGTTACTTATTTTAAATGCATTACTCTCTTAAAAAATGTAGAAAACAGAATGTGTAGTTGTTGCAAATAAAAGTTACAGTAATATTAGATGTTAGACTAATAATTTTTTTAAAAGTATGTCTTTTAAATATTGTTACTGTAGAGAACAAAAAGTGAAGTTACAAATCATTGTTGCAATAGTACTAGCTTTTATAATTTCTCATGTATTTATCTTTATTGAGATCTTTATTTCTTCATATGGCTTTGAGTTAATGTCTACTGGCCTTTCACTTCACCCTGTAGGACTCCCTTGAGCATCTCTTATAGCATAGGTCTAGTGGTAATGAACTCCCTTGGCTTTTTTTTATCTGGGAATGTTCTCATTATTCCCTCAATTTTGAAAGACAGTTTTGCCATATATGTAATTCTTGGCTGACAGTTTTTTCTTTTAGTACTTTGAAAGTGGTAGCCCACTGCCTCTGGCCTTCAAAGTTCCCCATAAGAAATCTGCTGGTTATCTTATTGGGCATCCCTTATATATGATCAATTGCTTCTCTCTTGCTACTTTCAAGATTATTTGTCTTTCAAAAGTTTGCTTATATGTGTCTTGATGTGGATCTTTTTGAGTTCACCATACTTGGAGTTTATTGAGCTTCTTGGATGTTTATATTCATATTTATGTCTTTCATCAAATTTGAGAAGTTTTTAACTATTATTTCTTCAAATATTTTCTCAGCTGTTTTCTTTCTCTCTTCCCCTGGGACTCCCACAATACATATGTTAGTCTGCTTAATGCTGTACTATAGGTTCCTTAGGCTCCGTTCACTTTTCCTCAATCTTTTTTCTTTCTGTTTGTCTGACTTAGTAATTTCATTGTCCTAGCCTTATGTTTACTGATTCCTTTTTCTGTCTGTTCAAATCTGCCTTTGAATACCTCTAGGGAAATTTTCATTTCAATTATTATAATATTCAGCTCCAGAATTTCTTTTTGTTTTTTTTTTAGGTTATTTAACTCTTCATTGATATTTCCATTTTGTTCACTCATCATTTTCTTGACTTTCTGCACATCTCCTTTAGTTTTTTGACTATCTTTATTGTTTTAAAGTGTTTGTCTAGTAAATCTGCCATTAGCCCCTTTTCAGGGACAGTTTCTGTTGATTGATTGATTTATTCTTTGAATGGGCCATATTTTCCTGTTTCTTTATGTGCCCATGATTTTTTGTAGAAAACTGGACATTTGAATCTAATAATGTGCTAACTCTTTAAATCAGATTCTCTTCCTTCTCTAGAGTTTGCCGTTTTTTTGTTAATTTTGTTAGTTTTATTTTTATTTTTATTTTTTGATTGTTGAAGGCAGTCTGTGTGCTAAGGATAAGCCTGAGGTGTGAACTTAAGGTCTTCTCAGGTCTTTTCTGAGTCTGTGCCTTTCCCTGGGCATGCATGGTCACCTTCTACTTCCCCCATATATGCAGTTGTTTTTGAATGTCCTGGTCCTTAATATCTGGCTCCCAAAAAAGGAAAAAGGGAAAAGTGAGAGGAGAGAAAGGGTGTTGGCCCTTTAAATCCCCTGGAAGTCCTTTCAGCTGGAGGATTGAAGGGCTTGTAGCAACTGGGGGAGATGCAATAATAATGGCCACCTACCCCTTTGTCTGCACCTCTGTAATAGAAGCAGCAATCAGTAATCAGAGCACAGATTCCTGATATTTGGAGGATGGGACACTTTTTGCTCACTCTGGCTCCTACAAGCTCTGTACTTGTTGATTCAGGAATAGGTACACAACTGCCTGCTGTGGGGCTGAGGGTGGGGGATTGGTACCTGCTACTGTGATAAGAGCTGAAACAGACCCAAATCAACAGCAATTTGTCTTCAAGCCTTATTCTGGAAGTTATAATTCTTCAATAGATTCTACAGTTCCAAACTAGTTATATTAGACAAATTCTGTCAATGCAATTGTTTTCCAGGTGGGGGAACAGATTTCTGGTGCTTCCTACTCTGTCATCTTTTTGAACTCTTCTCATGTCTTTCTACATCTTTTTAGAATTAAAAATAATTCTTTAGATTACAACAATACAAACTAGATTTGGCCTATAGGCCATAGTTTTTCCAGCTAGCCTCAAAAAATAATCTGAATTAGTTTGGTTATGTTGTGGAAAGGTAGAATGAGCTTCAGAGGGCAGTTCATCACAGTTGTTTCCATTTCTCTGAGACTTATGAGACCCTCTTTATATAAGATTTGTCCTCAGGCTTGTTGCTTCACTATTACAATGTGGCTTCATAGAGCAACCAGAGAGCCATACTTCCTTATGCATATTTGAGGGATGGTGTGGTGGGGAAAGAAAAAGTCTGTGTTTACAAACACAAAACACAAATCATAAGCATCACTGATTGGACAGTCTTAAGGTTTTACACATCTTAAACTGATTCCTGAGACTAGGAATTTATAAGTGTGATTGGCTTAGGCTTGAGTTGTGTGAACTTTTGAAGATTGTGTGGCAAGAGAGATGAAGTTACCTGTGGCTCGAGCTCATTATTCTGGAATGGACCCTGAGATTTTGCTTTTTTAATGAGTTTCCAGGTGATGTTGACAGTGGATGGCCTTTGGAACACACTTTGAGTAATAAGGCTTAACTAAACCTAAACAGCACGACTACTAAATATAAAAAAATTGATGGAATAAATATTGAGGAGATAATCACAATGCTAAAACTTTCTAGAAATATGTTTTCTGTAGCTGTTGAAAATAATACAAGGGCAATATGTGAATTAGGTGAGGTCTCTACCATCAGGATACGAATGATATCTATTGCCAAAGCTTTACATCAAAAGAAATTGTTCTTCATAATGAGGAAGAAAAATTTAGAATTGTCAGGCCAATCCTGGAGAAATGAATGGAAAGGCACATAGGGAGAGGAAACTAGGAAGAGAGACAAATATATGAACTACCTTATGTAATCACATTTTTACTTATGAATGCCTGTGAAAACTAAAAGAATATTGATTTTCATGTGGAGTGAAGCAGAGGTAATATCTGAGGAAGATAGAGGCACAAAGGCAAAGGATAACAATGTGTGTAATTGCCTCAAGAATTACTATAATTCTTAGGGGTGCCACTCAAAGAACTGGGGAGTTATCAGAAAGTTTATAGTCCAAAGAAAGCCATCCAATCTTTAACATTTGAGTTATATGCAGTATTTTATTTATTACCCCAGTGACATTGTAAGGTAGGTATTATTATCTGTTTTAAAATGAGAAAACCAAAGCTCTGAAATATTGAAAAACCTGTCCAGGGTTTCATAGAAAGCAGACTGGGGATTTGAACCCCAATTTGTCTAACCACAAAACCCATTTTCTTTTGGTTATACTAGTCATTAAAAAAATTGAACAAAACAAAACTTTAAAAAATGAAGTAGTGGATTTAGTGGTGGCTTGAGAATTTCTATATTGAAGAGATTTGGAGGCAACAACCTGTATGTTTTGGCCAAGGGACTTGTCTTGAGGCTGTGTTTGCATAGTAAGCATACTATTTCTACTTAGATTGTATAGTTACTTAAAATGTTTTTTTTGGGAGGATCTGTTAAAACCCTAACTCAGTTTTTCATGGTATCCCTGTGTGGGACCAATATTTAATAGAAATAAAATTCAATTTCTTTCTTGCTGTTTCTGAAGCATCTTGAAGAAACCATAAAAACCACTGAACTCTATGCTTCCTGTTATTTTTTACTGTATAAATGAAGAAACTGAGACCAGAAATTTAAAATGAATTGTCCAAGGTAACACACCAAGATAGAAGCAGTTATTCCAAGGACTATTCAATGCAAATGCTTAGAGAGAGACACATTTCTTCAGTTTGTGTTTACTGTGCAAATAAAAATTAAAACATTTGTCTCAAGTGTTGAAGTTCTTTGAGATTTGTAGAAAGTAGAATACTTGAGAATTAGAACTTACTTTCTCTATAGAAGCAGCATCATATGAAGCACATGACATGTATTTTTAGTTTCTAGTATAGTATATTTTATTTGTTTTTGTTTTATCTTTGTGTTTATTACATTATTATAATTTTGAAGGTTTGCATAGTTTTTAATCAAAAATGTTATTTTTTATTTTAAATATTTGATTTTATACAAATCCCATTTTTACTTATAACACATACTACATACAAAGGCCAAATTTTTGCCACCAAAATACATATCTGAATTTATGTTAAAATCAATGACAGATTAAAAGAAATTTACATAAGAATGTTTTTTCTCTTAATGTGCTACTTAAATCAAGTGACCAGTGTGTTACATTATTTTGATATCATAATTGTCAATTACATTGCTTTTAATAGGCAGTAGTTCCTTGTTATAAAAGTATCTTTAAAAAATATAGATGCATAAATTCATCTGAATTCAGTATTGACTCTGCCTCTTATTAGGCTTGTAGCCAAAATATGACTCAATAGGGTGAATACAGTAGCTGAAGTAATATAATAGCTTCACCCTTGGAAATCGTTTGGAGTAAAATGGTAACCACAAGGGCAAAGGGACATGTCTTAACAACAGTGCCTTTCATTGGTGCAGACGGTCAACTAAAGGACAACACACAGTGTTACAGGCTAGATGTGTAATTCTAATGGCTCAACTATTTGGCAGGAAGCATCATATACATAAAAATCATGAGACTAAAATAAAAAATATTCGTGGTACCCCAAATCTTGTCTCTAGATAGAAAAAGAAGACTATAGATTGACTGCAGACAGAGAGAGAGAGAGACAGAGAGAGAGAGAGAGATTGTAAGGTGATTTGGATTTCTGTAAGGTTATGCTAAATTATCTATTTTCCCCACAGTTTGTTTCCTTGAGTTCTGTTGCTCATTACTTCCCTTTCCCCACCTTTTCTAAAGAATACCTGAGTTTTTTAAATTCTTGAATTAGTGATTTGTATTTTTCATAATTGGGGAAAAGCTGCCCATTCATTTCCACCCCTCCCCTCTGTCCATGTATGTTAGAAACTACAATAAATAAGAGGACCTCATTTTCAGTAACACAAAATTTACTTACAGAATATAAGCACTTTTTATTTGAAGGTCTTATGTCCCAATGTTCATTTGTGTAATTCCCTAGTGATATAAGAACATAAATATAGGAGCATTTATTAAAGAGACGATGAGTCAGTGAATCTAGTGTGAAGAATGAGGTATAGATGAGCAGTTTAGAGTCTGGGTGATCTGTTTGATTTCTTCTGATGAATCAAGAGAAGTGGGAAGTGTGAATCTTAACATTAAGGACAGGATCCGAATCCAAGAACAGGGTGGTGGGGTGGTGGTTGACGTTTGAGGGGGAGCAACTGTTCATTATCAGAACATCTATCCAGGAAAGTAAAATCCAAAAAAAAGGTGGGGAAAAGGGAAATGTTTGAGAAGTCAGGAGTTCCAAGAGTATAGGATAATGGAGAGGATGAACAGGAGGGTTGGAGAATCATGAAGAGAAGTGGGCCTGTGGCTGGGACTGTGTGCGAGGTTAATATAATGGGCTGTAAACCGGGAGGACACCTTTTAGTCCAGTTCTTGTCATGTCCTGTGTACGTTGACCACATTTCCCTTTCCACTAACATTTAGCATTTTAATTTAGCTTTCACCTCTGTCAAAACTAAGTTACTAAACACCTTTATAATTTCATTCACTAATTTAAGTTGATTTTTGGTAGAAGAAGAACTCATTTTTCATTATAAATCACAAGACACGGTAGAAAGACAGAGGAAATCCTGAGTAAACAGAAATCTAGCAGGCAAACCCTAGGTCTATTTTTGCTTAAAGGAAGATTCATGTCATTTTTTATTACTTAGGGCAATATTTCTCAAAGTATGTCCAGTGGAACACTTGTGTACAATAAAAATTACTCATTTAAAATATGTAGACTTTTTAAAATTTAGGACTTCTTAGAACTATTATTATGCTAACATAACATTGTCATATTCAGTATTAAAACAATTTATTTTTTGATAATTTTCCTATCTTGAAGTTTATCAGAGGTATTAGAATCATGTTAACTGAATGTGGGAACATGAGGATAGAAAAACAAATATTTTCCAATTGATTTTGGTACTTCCTTTTTCCCTATTATTATTTCCAGGGGGATGCATCAGGACGATAATTCCAAGAGTTCAATGGTGAATTTCCTTGGCTTCCACTGAGGTAATAGTCGTGTTAGGTCACTCTGCGAAGAGGGACAATCTACTCTGATCAGACATCTGCAGAGCTTTAAAGGCTGTTGCAGCCAGAAAGCTCTCAAGAATTCTGAATCCTGGGGCTCCCAAGGTTCCACCTCTTTGGACCAACTGATCTTTCATTTTAGTTTATTTGTTAGAGACACTGGAAATGACCTTACCTCAGACTTCCTTTTCCATTCTCCTTTAGTAGGATCTTTGGATTTTCATCCTGAGAGATTAAATTTTTTAAAAATTATTTATTTATCTTTTATCCCATTAATAGACCAACACTAAAGCAGTAATGAAAAAGGAATTACTTTCTCCCCAAATTCACACTGCTAATTGGCTGACAAATGGTCCTCTGCTGGAGCATTTCCTCCAGAAGGGCCATCCCACCATGTATTCCAAATACATTTTGCTCTGTGAACTAACACTGTTAACAAGAAGCCTTTTTTTTTTGGTCCTTGAGAACAACAACGTAACACCTAATGATTGAATACAATTGAACGCCTTTGTTTTTAAAATGTGATAAAATAAGTTCTATTTTATACCTGACTTGATGGAAATCTAAATATTATTTCTTAGTAAAATTTAATCTATAACTTATAAATATGCATTTATTGACATATCCAAAAAACTGTAGTCACATACTACTTTAAAAATTGTATTTATTAGTGGGGAAGAAAGATAAGCCTCTACTTTTCCTTATTCCTTAAAAGTAAAGAATACCTTTAAGACTCTAACAGCTTTAATTTTATTAGTAGCTAAAAGAAATCTCGAGGAGAAGTGGATACTTTAAAAAAAAAAAGGAGCATAACAAAGGTGCTCATCTCTCTGAAACCTGTATTTTAGAAATGCCTAATGTTAGACATTAAAGGTTTGCATGTGCATCATCATATTTTATTGAAGTTGGTAATAATTTACTTATTATCTGCAATGGGTTTCTGAAAAATATTTCTCTTTCCATTAAGGATTTCATTTTCAGCATTTGCTTGTCAGTTAAATCCTCACATCATTAATGTAACTTCTCATCACAGGGAGAATTGAATATTCATGCATTGCTCAAATCACTGTTATTCTGGCCTGTTACTTTTTATTCTTTGTGAAAGTGGAGATTGTTAACCCATCACTTTACAGCTAAGGTTGTTACATTTTCTGAGACTGCTTTGGTTTGTAAATGTAACATTTTGTCATATTTCTACAGCAGGTAGTAATTTCAGCTTTTTCTCTTGACCAGGTCCAGGTAGGTCATTTAGCTGTTTGTTCTTTGTTAGCCACTTTATTAACTCTTTGGTAGTGTTCCAGACCCTGGATTCATGCTATTTCAACCCTTCATTCGGAGCGTTGCCTGCTTTTTTGCATGGTGAATAAAACTCTTGAATGATGATCATGCTCTCACGTGCCTGACCTATACCCAAGGAATTAGTTTTCTTGTCTGTGAGACACTCGAGGAGCATTTTTAGATGGCCAAACAGACTAGATGATCTTTTTTTTAAGCCCCTTTTTGCTATACGATTCTAGGATTCTATTTGTCTGTTGTTTTATCTCACTTGCAGTGAATCATCATTAATAAGACTAGCCTTCAAACCTTTTTTTTTTTTTTGAGGTCAGAAGCTACATTTTCCTTAATCTGTATTATGGCAGGATCAAGTCCCTCCTGGGTCCTGCTCCATTTCTGGGTCCCTGCATATATACATCTGCCTTCAGAGGCCAGGTTCAAATTAAACTAGGGCAGCAGAAAGAGACCTTATAATGCTGCCACAAAGTAAAAGAAGAAACAATGACTCTTTTTGCATAATAACTCACAGGAGAACTGATGACCTTTGGCATTTTAAAAGTCTGGTTGCCATTTAGCTGCTTGCTTCTAAAACATGATCATTGAAATCAGCTTTCCTTCCTCTTTCAGAAGGAAAAACAAAACAAAACAAAACAAAACAAAAAAACCCTAATGGGCCATTAACAAAACTTTCTAAAAGTCAATGAAACATTGGCAACTAGTCTAAAGCAGAGTAGAAGGAGATAAAAGTAGAATGACAGTGGGAAGCAAATTGGATTCAGAGACTACGGGACCTATCAGGAAGGAGTGGGGAAGAGGTTCTGGGGAAATCAGAGGATGTAGTGGCTGTAAATCTGCTGTGCTTGTTTAGAAGGGAGTGTGGCTGGACAGAGCTGAATGTGGTATAGAACACCAAAAGTGGATACTATGTTGGATTACAGTGCATGACTTGAGCCTGAATATGCTCGGGAAATTTATGAAGGTTATTGCTTGGTTAATGGTAAGGAATTATTTTGTCAATGGATTGTACAATTTTGCTTTTCTATGAAGGTTTAATAGGAGAGTTACGTTGTTAATATGCAATTAGTATTCATCTAAGAGATGTTTGTTCTAAAAAAAAAAACCTAGTGTCAATGATGAATGTCAGGTTTCATAATGTAATCTTCTAGAAGGTAAGGAGAGAGTATATTCTATAGGATGTTTATGAGACTCAGTTAATCCAATTCTGCCTTTGCATTACTCCTTGATAGCACACACATCGTTTCAGGCCACACTTAGCCATTTCATGGTTGATTTACTATCAGAGAGTTACTTGAGGAAGCCACAGGGCAAGAGAGAACCTAATTAATATTAAACATCAACAATAATTTGGGCTTGTTTTCAGAAGTTGCCTGATAAAGGAACATGCTAGCTCTGGGTTATCAGTATAAATTAATGGTGGCTTCTTGTGCTCCTGGCCAGAATCATTATAAACTGTTTAACATACAAATTATTATGGAAAGTATTTTTCATACAGTAGAGCTCAACTCATTCATTTCACTAGTCTAAGGATCCAATAATTTTCAGACCAACCTCAACAATCTCTCTCTACTCTCACTAAAATTTATTAATAGCAGAGAGCTGTCACGAAATCACTTATTGCAAAGACTTAATTACTTCTACAAAAGACGCTAGGGTGCTATTGTTTGTCTTTATTATCAAATAATTTAATAAAAAATTAAAATGCAAGTCTATTTATCAGGAAGAGAAGTACACTTCTTTGTACTATGACATCTTAGCAGTCTGTCAGATCCATACGCGTAGAGAGTACTCACACCGGCTAATTTGCTTTGGATTTATTAAGGCTCCTCACCAGTATGATGCTAAAACTTTAGAACACTTAAGTACAAGAGGAATTCTACACGTTACTAGGAACATATAGCAAAAGTAGAAAGAATGGCAAATGTCTTTATGGTTAAAACAAGTATAAGATTTTTAATTGTGTCTAATTTTTATGTCCCCACCCTCCATAAAAATCTAATAAAATTCCTTACCAAATTTAGTTAATATAACAAAACAGACTGAAATAAAGTTTATAAATGGCAAAGTATAATAAATGTTTTATACAAATGAGGATTTAACTATCTGAGGAGAAAAAAAAGCAACAGGCCAGAACAACAGTGATTTGAATTAGGCATGAATATTCAATTCTGCCTATGATGAGAAGTTACATCAGTAATGTGAGATTTTTATTGACCAGCAAATGCTGAAAATAAAATCATTAATGGAAAGAGAAGTATTTTTCAGAAACCCATTACAGATAATAAGTAATTTATCACCAATTTCAATAACACATGATTTCTGTATGGCGGCTAATTCATTATATGCAACTTGAGATTTGGTTGAACAATAGTATTTCTATGTAATTCAATTCAGCAATTCACAATTTGAGTGCCTACTATGTGATCCTTTGAATTTCTGTGGTATCAGCTGTAATACCTCCTTTTTAATCTATGATTTTATTTATTTGAGTCTTTTTTATGTTAGTCTGGCTAAAGGTTTGTCAACTTTGTTTAACTTTTCAAAAAAATGACTTTTTGTTTCATTGATCTTTTGTATTGTTTTCTTCATTTCAATTTCATTGATTTCTTCTCCGATCTTTATTATTTCTTTTCTTCTACTAATTTTGTGTTTGTTTTTTTCTTGCTTTTCCAGTTCTTTAAGATGCATGATTAGATTATTTAGTTGAAGTTTTTCTTCTTTTTTGATGCAGGCATTTATAAGTATAAACTTTCCTCTTAGTACTGCTTTTGCTGTATCTCATAGGTTTTGGTATGTTGTGTTTACATTATCATTTGTTTCAAGAAATTTTTCAACTTCCTTTTTAATTTCTTCATGGACTCACTGGTCATTCAGAAGTATGTTGTTTAATTTCCATGTATTTATACAGTTTCCAAAATTCCTCTTGTTACTGATTTCCAGTTTAATTCCTGATGTTATTTCATTTTTTTGAATGCTGTAAGATTCATTTTGTGAGCTAACATGTGGTCTGTCCTTGAGAATTACTCATGTGCTGAGGAAAAGAATGTATATTCTGCAGTAATTGGATGAAATGTTCTGTAAATATCTATTAGGTCCATTTGGTCTACAGTGACAATTAAGTCCGATGTTTCTTTGTTGATTTTCTGTCTGGAAGATCTGTCCAATGCTGAAAGTGGGATGTTGAAGTCCCCAGCTATGATTATACTGGGGACTATCTTTCTCTTTAACTTTAATAATATTTGCTTTATATATCTGGGTGCTCCAGTGTTGGGCACATATATATTTAAATTGTTGTATCCTCTTGCTGAATTGACCCCTTTATCATTATATAGTGGCCTTCTTTGTCTCTTTGTTTTTCTCTTGAATCTATTTTGTCTGATATAAGTATAGCTACTCCTGCTCTTTTTTGGTTTCCATTGACTTGGAATATCTTTTTCCATTCCTTTATTTTCAGACTGCATGTTTCTTTATAGACAATGTGTGTTTCTTATAGGCAAATGATAATTGTGTCTTGTTTTTTAATGCATTCAACTACTCTGTGTCTTTTGAATGGAGAGTTTAGTCCATTTACATTCAATGTTATTGTTGATAAGTAAGGACTTACTCCTGCCATTCATCCTTTGTTTCCTGGTTGTTTTGTGGTCTTCTGTTCCCTCTTTCTTTCCTTCCTGTCTTCCTTTAGTGAAGGTGATTTTCACTGGTGATATGATTTAGTTTCTTGCTCTTTATTTGTTTATGTATCTATTGTATGTTTGTTTTTTGGTTTGAAACTACCATGAGGCTTGCAAATACTATCCTATTACCCATTATTTTAAGCTGACAACAATTTAACACTGTTATAAACAAACAAACAGGAGAACTCTACAACTTAACTTTGTCTCCCCGCTTTTTAGCTTTCTGTTGTTTCTGTTTATACCTTATTGTACTATGTCTTGAAAAATTGTGGTGGTTATTATTTTTTATTGGTTCATTGTTTAGTCTTCCAACTTAAGGTAAGAATGCTTTATACACCACAGTTAGAGTGTTATAATATTATATGTCTTACTGTGTACTTACTATTAGCAGTGCGTTTTCTACCTTCAGATGATTTCACACTGTTCATTAACAATGAGCACTCCCTTACTGAAGTACTTCCTTTAGCATTTATTGTAGCATAGGTCTGGTGTTCATGAAATCCTTCAGCTTTTGTTTGTCTGGAAAAGTTTTTATTTCTCCTTCATGTTTGAAGGGTATCTTTGCTGGGTATATTATTCTAGGGTAAAGGTTTTTTTCTTTCAGAACATTAAATAATGCCATGCCTCTCTCTCCTGGCCAGGTTTCCACTGAAAAGTCTGCTGCCAGACTTACTGAAGCTCCACTGTATTTGTTTTTTCTCTTTTGCTGCTTTTAGGATCCTTTCTTTACCCTTGAACTTTGGGAATTTGATTATTAAATGCCTTTAGGTAGTCTTTTTGGGTTAAATCTGCTTGGTGTCCTACAACTTTCTTGTATTTGGATATTGATATCTTTCTTCAGGTTTGGGAAGTTCTCTGTCATTTTCCCATTGAATAAACTCTCTACCCCTATCTCTTTCTCTACCTCCTCTTTAAGGCCAATAACTCTTAGATTTTGCCCTTTTTAGGCTATTTTCTAGATCCTGTAGGTGTGCTTCACTGTTTTTTGTTCTTTCTTCTCCTCTGATTGTGAATTTTCAAATAGTGATTGTGTATTTTTAAATAGCCTGTCTTCAAGCTCAGTAATTCCCTCTTCTGCTTAATCAATTCTGCTATTAAAACACTCTGAAATGTTCTTCAGTATGTCAATTGCATTTTTAAGTTACAGGATTTCTGCTTGATTCTTTTCAATTATGTCAATCTCTGTGTTAAATTCACCTGATAGAATTTTGAATTCATTTTGTGTTATCTTGAATTTCTTTGAGTTTCCTTAAGACAGTTATTTTGAATTCTCTATCTGAAAGGTAATATATCTCTGTTTCTCCAGGATTGGTCCCTGGTGCCTTATTGAGTTCATTTAGTGAGGTCATATTTTCTAAGATGGTCTTGATACTTGTAGATGTTCGTCTGTGTCTTGGCATTGAAGAATTAGATATTTATTGTAGTCTTTTCGGTCTGGACTTGTTTGTATTGGTCCCTCTTGGGAAGGCTTTCCAGATATTCAAAAGAACTTGGGTGTTGTCATCTAAGCTGTATCTGCTTTAGGGGACACCCCAAACCCAGTAACACTGTGACTCTTGCACACTCATAGAGGTATTGCCTTGATGATCTTGGACAAGATCTGGAAGAATTCTCTGGATTACCAGGAGGAGGCTTGGGTTCTCCTCCCTTATGTCCTTCTAAACAGAATCTCTGTCTCTCTGTTCTGAGCCACCTAGAGCTGGGGGTGGAGTGACATGAGCCCCTCTGTGGCCACCGCCTCTATGACTGCACTGGGTCAGACCTGAAGCTAGCACAGCACTGGGTCTCACCCAAGGCCTGCTGTCACCACTCCCTGGCTACTGCCTAAGTTTGCTGAAGGCCCTGGGTCTCTACAATCAGCAGGCAGCAAAGCCAGCCAGGTGTGTGTCATTCCCTTCAGGGAGGTGAGTTCCCACAGGCAATGATTGAGTTTAGAGGTGCTGTCTGGGATTCAAGGCCTAGAGTAAAAAAACCATAGAAATCAATCTAATGTTCTAAGAATGTACTGCGGATAGGCTGGCACCCAAACCACAAGATGCAGTCCTTTCCACTTTTCTCTCCCCTTTCCAAAGGCAAAGGCAAAGAGCCCCACCCCATGGCCACTGCCACTATAAGCCCATGGGGAATACTGCCAGACTACTGCCAATGTTCCCTTAAGGTTCACAGGCTCTTCATTCAGCTTGTGGTGAATGCTGCCTGCCTGGGACTCATGTTTTAGGGCAGTAGGCTCTCTTTTGGTCCAGGACAGGTCCAGAATTGCCATCCAAGAGCTAAGTCTTGGAATCCAGACCCCAAAAGTCTGCTTGGTGCTCTACTGCCTGGGGCTGACCAGGTACCTAAAGTGCAACACAAAGTCTCCTTTACTTTTCCCTCCACTTTTCTCAAGCAGAAGAATTCTTGACCTATAGCCACCACAGGTGGGAATGTGCTTAGTCTTACCTGAAGCCAGCAAGTCTCAGGCTCACTCAACGTTCAGACCCTGAACGTTGTACCTGGGAATTGCTGCTGGCTATTTAGGGCCCAGGGGCTTTCAGTTAGCAGGTGATGAATTCTGTCAGGTCTGGGCCCTTCCCTTTAAGGTGGCAGGTTTTTTTTCTGGGCCAGGGTGTGTCTAGAAATGTCCTCTAGGAACTAGGGCCTGGAAAGGGGGCCTCACGTCTCTGACCAGTGCCCTACTCTGCTGTGGCAGAGCCGGTATTCAAGATGCAAGACAAAGTTCTCCTTACTCTTCCCTCTCTTATCCTCAAGGAGTCTCTTTTGGAGCTGTGAGCTATGCAGCCCGAGCTTAGGGGAGGAGTGATATCAGCACTCCGTTAGCTGCCCTAAGCTGTTGTGTCAGTAGGTTGCATGCTCCCTCAGTCCACTGGCTCTGGGTGCATTTCAGCACTAGGTCTTGCCTAGGAGTTATAGTCCTTGTGGCCTATACTTCCCTTCCAATTTTTTTGAGGCCCAGAAGCACTTTCGCTTGTAGTGGCGAGGCTTGCAGGAACTCAAGTTCCAACCACTGGGGTTGGCAATTCCCCTCTGGCTAGGGCTGGTTTAAGTGCTCTCTCCATGGGCAGGCATCAGCTGAGATTGGTCCAGTTTTACTTTCTGCTATAACAAGGCAGCACTGAGTTCAGTGCCTCACAATTGCTGCACTCTCCCTCTCCCCAGCACACAGAATTGCTCTCTGCACCATGTTGCTGCTGCCAGGGCATGAGAAAAGGGTGGAAGGACTGTTTCTCCTACCTCTTTAGTGCCTCTTTCAGTGATATGAATTTAAAACCAGGTATGGTGAGTGCTTACCTGATTTTTGATTCTTATTGAAGGTGCTTTTTTTTTGTTTAGATAGTTGTTAAATTGGCGTCCTTGTGGGGAGACTGATTTGTAGAGCCTTCTATTCCACCATCTTGCTCTGCCCCTTCAAGGATTAGTCTTTTACAAGTCTATAAGGCACATCTTGTGTCATCTGGCGTCTCTCACTCCTAACTTATTCAAAGTAAATAAATATTAATTAATTGCTTCTGTGTGGGAATGATGTTAGGAGCAAGATATGTAAAAACAAGTGAGACATGGCCCTTGCCCTTCCTTATCTCAAAGACTACATCATGCCTTTTTATTTGTTGTCAGATGTGGAAAACAGGGCAAGACTCTCCTGAGTAAACTAACAACCTGCTTAAACTGTGTTAACATGGAGATGAACCCTGAAAAGTGCTCTGTTGCTGAGTCCTGCTGCAGGGGACTCACATTTGCTAGTGCAGAGGTTTCCTATGGTCAACACATTTATATAACTTGCATCTTTCAGAGCAGATGGTGCCACAGACTCTTAGAGTCAGTTTGTGCCAGTTAATGCATCCTGAGCATTTCAGCAGTTCAAGACATCAGCTACATGGTGAGGCCTTTGGAAATCTGATCTTTCTCAATGGCACTATCCACAGTGTAATAAAAGAGTGTTCTGAAGCCTGAGAGGAATTTATGGCAGCAGTAATTTGGTGCGGCAGGAACTTATGATGTTATCTCACATCAGAGAGTTACACTGCTAGTTTCCTGGTACCATTTTTCCCTTCTCCCATGTTGATTCTAAACATTGCTCTGTTTTTATTGTTATTTTGGTTGTAAAGGATTAGAAAATGTTATAGTAAAATGTTCTAGGAACTATTGAAGACTGAAAGCTCTTGGTATGATGCCTGGTCCTTTATAGTATTAAACAATCAGTGTACAGAAACAAAAAAAAAGGATGTCTGTGCAATTTTGTTAGATATGAAAAGACCCCTTAGGAGACAAATTGGAGAATCAATGCTGCCTCTCTTTTAATAATATGACAAAGAGCTAATTCAGCTTCTTTAACAGAAACTCAAATAAGCACAATCCTTTCAAAAAGCCTTTATATTCAATGCAAAGAAAACGTGTCTTCAAATCCTAAGAGTTCGGCTTCCACTGCTTTCAATGGGAGCTGTACGTTGAGAGCCAAGGGCTAATTTTGGTCGATGTATTTTCCCAATAAGTTCTCTTGGGTGATCATTTTAGCTTCAGCAAAGTGTTTCCTCTAGCTATTAGAGACAGTGTTTAAAAGTTTAAAGCAATGCGAATAGGCCGAAATCTAAATCAATATTCTGTAGAACAAATAAAGAGAAAAGAGATTTAGGCGGCAAGCTCATGGAATGTGCTCCAGTTCCCTGGTAGGCAGATCAAGGCGATTTCAGTAACAACTTAAAAATAAAAGAGCTAAAAAAACAGACGTTAACAAAACTATTCTCCCCCCTCAGTGAGAAATGACTGGTTTGGTTTTCAGATCAAGACATTGGGGTCATGAAGAGAAATACCATCGTGTAGTGTCAAATAAGAACTGAAGGGCATAAAGGATTCAGATCAATAGGCAGGAGCTTATTTATCTTTCTCAATGCCAATTATTTTAACAGAGTTTTTACTGACTTTGTTTAGCTTTCAGGTATATTACTTTTGTTCATGGAGTAGTTTATATGGAAACTACATAGTATGAATTCTGTGTTTTCTTCTCTTCTCTACCTCTCCTTCTTCCTTTCAACTCCCTTCTCAGAAGTCCTCTTACAAATAACCTTTGTGGGGAGGACAGCTTCCCTGCCCATCTCCAGGGTTCTGAGGATTGCAAGTTATCTTTTGCCCTTTGAGAACCCTGAGTGATTCTACCTTTAAACTGATGACTGAAAGGAAATATTACATTGAAAGGACATGCAAAAGCAAGTTCATCACAGGCTCAGGTTATCATGACCTTTTATTTCTCTGTAACAACAATTTGAGATGTCATGGTAGACAAATCGTAGGAAAGCATAAGACCTTCAATATTTAAAAAAAGAGGACTTGGCATAAGATGGTTTAATTGCTCAGATGCCAAATGCATTTTATTATGGGGAAAGTTTACCATTTAAGAATATCCCATGATAACTGCAGCAATAATAAAAATAAGTAGAATTTGTAGAGTGATTTATATTCCAGGGCATATCCAGAGCATATTTTTCCATGGTCTCATGGACATCTAAAGCACTTTATAAAAAAATTCCCAAGTTTTTTTTTTCCTATTTCTTTTTTTTTTCTTTCAGATAGAGTCTCGCTCTGGCACTCAGGCTGGAGTTCAGTGGTGCGATCTTGGCTCACTGCAACCTCTGCCTCCCGGGTTCAAGTGATTCTCCTGCCTCAGCCTCCTGAGTAGCTGGGATTACAGGCACCTGCCACCACGCCCGACTAATTTTTGTACTTTTTTTTTTTTTTTTTTTAGTAGGGATGGGGTTTCACCATTCAGGTGAGTCTGGTCTCGAGCTCCTGACCTCAGGTGATCCTGGTCTCGAGCTCCTGACCTCAGGTGATCCGCCCTCCTCGGCCTCCCAAAGTGCTGGGATTACAGGCCTGAGTCACCGGGAACACCCCAAGTTTTTTTTTTTTCAAGTTATGTTCCCTATAGGTAAGTACAAAAGTCCGAAGAAATAATCTTTTAAAAAAGTTGAAAAAGAAATATATAATGAAGAAAAACTAGCAAAGTCTGAGTTACAAAGTAATAAAATATGAGAATTTTTTTATGTTATATATATTTTGCCACAATAAAAATAATGAAAAAAAATGCAGTAAGTTGGCCTTAAGTTACAGAGGATATACCATGGTACTATCTCAGAAGATTAATCCTTCTTGAATAAGTAAGGATTACTGAGTCATTAAAAGGTGTTCCACATTCCAATTCCACTCCCCTTTCTATTATCTTCTCCTGTGGAAACTGTGAGAATTTCTTGAGTTTCTTGACACTATTTCAAGATATTAATACTTTGCTCAATGAGAAAATGCATGTGAAAGTGCTTAACACTGTGAGTTTTTTTAATGCTAGATGATATCTTGTATCAGTCTTGGAATGCAAATCTAGTAATTTTTAAAGCTTTTAACTTGTGTGTGTGTGTTTCCTCTCAGATTTGTGTATTGTGTTTGGAGTTATGGAGGCTATATAAAAGTATAAAATTTCATCCTTGTCCTAGAGAAGTTTGTTACTATGATAGGAATGAAGATCTATACACAAATGAAAACTTAAGTTACAAGATAGTGTATGTCTGGAGCAGTAAAATTTTAGTAAGGAAATCAGAGGAATTCTTCCTGTGGGTCTGGAATGAGGCCTATATAGAGGATGCTGGAAGAATATTTTGGTAGAAGAAGAGGAGAAAGCACTGTTACAGGGGTGGGGTAAGGGGGCAGAAGTAATAGTAACAGGGAAAGGAGGAGGTAGACACCACCAGTTGAGATGTGGAGGCAATATTAATGAATGTGAACTTGATAGATAGGACTTGATTAACCCAACTGATTAGCTTGACAGTGAGAGACAGGACTAGCTGGAGTTCCTAGGCCGACTAGAATTCTTAAGCCTAGCTGGGGAAGGTGACTGCACCCACCTTTGAACATGGGGCTCGTAACTCAGCTCACACTTGACCAATCAGGTGGTAAATAGGGCTCACTAAAATATCAGTTAGGCTAAAAGCAGGAGGTAAAGAAATAGTCAAATCATCTATCATCTGAGAGCACAGGGGGAGGGACAATGATTGGGATATAAACCCCAGGCATTCGAGCCAGGAGTGGGCAACCTCCTTTGGGTCCCCTCCCATTGTATGGGAGCTCTGTTTTCACTCTATTAAATCCTGCAACTGCATAATCTTCTGGTCCTTGTTTGTTTTGGCTCGAGCTGACCTTTCACTGGCCGTCCACCACTGCTGAACGCCGTCATCACAGACCCGCTTTCCACCCCTCTGGATCCAGCAGGGTGTCTGCTGCGTTTCTGATCCAGTGAGGCACCCATTGCCACTCCCGTTTGGGTTAGATGCTCACCATTGTTCCTGCGTGGCTAAGTGCCTGGGTTTGTCCTAATTGAGCTGAACACTAGTTGCTGGGTTCCACGGTTCTCTTCCTTGACCCACGGCTTCTAATAGAGCTATAACACTCACCGCATGGCCCAAGGTTCCATTCCTTGGAATCCGTGAGGCCAAGAACCCCAGGTCAGAGAACAAAAAGCTTGCTGCCATCTTGGGAACGGCCACCACCATCTTTGGAGCGGCCCGCCACCATCTTGGGTGCTCTAAGAACAAAGACCCTGACTAACAACAGGACAGAAAGGTTTGTGTTAAGGGGCTAATGAGAGCCATGGTTGAAAAGGAGATACTGGCACATTTCTAGAAAGAACACTAAACTATGGAGTTTGAAAATTCTTTGGCAAGATAAACAACTAAGGTTTCTGAAAAGAAACATGACTCTGAATAAACATTTTAGACAAATAAATTGGGCAGAAATATCCAGAATTGGGGGTACAACTATTATCAGAGAGAGCAATTAGGAGGTGGCTGCAGGAATCCAAGCAGGACGTGGTAAAGGCCTAGACTTTTCCCAGCATTGTACAAAACCCACATATTTCTGTGTCTTGGGAACACAAAATTTCCTGATGTTCCCTGAGAGTCCATCAGTCTGTTACTTTAAACCAAATGGATCACTTAGAAATGTATCATAGGTACTGTGGATGTATCTATGTTGTTAACTAAAGAAATGAAGCTGTTGCCCAGGGGCGGTGGCTCACACCTGTAATCCCAGCACTTTGGAAGGCTGAGGCGGGTGGATCCCCTGAGGTCAGAAGTTCAAGACCAGCCTCACCTGCATGGTGAAACCCTGTCTCTACTAAAAATCCAAAAAAAAAAAAAAAAAAAAATTAGCTGGGCATGGTGGTGCATGCCTGTAATCCCAGCTACTCAGGAGGCTGAGGCAGGAGAATCACTTGAACCAGGGAGGCAGAGGTTGCAGTGAGCTGAGATGGCACCATTGCGTTCCATCCTGGGCAACAAGAGCAAAACACCGTCTTAAGGAAAAAATACAATGTTATGTAGCCCAAGTTAACTAAAAGTAGAATTATGCAAACTCAGAATGGCAGATTCACAATGTATATAATCCTTTTATATTTTAAGAAAAAATTACTACCTTATCTAGGAGGGAAGAGATTTTTACTTCAAAGTTTTGGGAGTCTCCAGGCTTGCCTTGGTTTCATCCTTTTGCTTTCCCCCAGGCCTTGGCTCTTCAGAGATTAGTGTGGAGTTCCTATTGCCTACCTCCTAAATTCCTTCCCAGAGCTGCTTGTCCGTGAATGAAGACTTCACGTTGCGGTTCTTGAGAACATACAGGTGCAGCCAGTCAATGTCCTGGCTTACAACTTGGTTAACTAGCGACAAATTGCTTCTTGTTCAGTTCACGGGGCTGTTTTTCTGTTTGTTTGTTTGTTTGTTTTTACAAGGCATTATTACAGAATAGAGGAGTTAGACAGGATCTATGGCTTTTCTAAATATTGGCAAGGTCAAATTCTACTGAAGTTCAGGATTTGAAGCAATTTGTGTGTATTTTCATTTTGGTATGAGTCATATTCTCTACAGCTCTATTTTCTGTGGTACTTACTGTTCTTAAAAGTCTCTTTAAGTTAAGACGTTGTTTAGGAGTGTTAGAGCTGACTATGGCATTACATGCTGTATTCATTGTTTACTGACTAGACTTCATAACTGTGGTAAAAATAAACATGATACCTCTCAGCTTATTTCCATCCATCTAGTATTTTCATGAATGGCTTCCCGTAATTGTGTAACCCCCTTTAAAAAATGTATGAAGAAGAAAGAGAAGGAGGAGGAAGAAAAGGAGCAGGAGAAGGAGGAGGAAGAAGAGGAGGAAGAGGAGGAGGAAGGAAAGAGGAGGAGGAGGAGAAGAAGAAGAGGAGGAGGAGGAGAAGAGAAGGAGGAGGAGAAAAGGAGGAGGAGAAGGAGAAGAGGAGGGAGGAAGAGAAGGGGGAGGAGGAGGAGAGGGGGGAAGGGAGGAGAAGAAAGAAGAAAAAGAATCAGTCTCACTTATGAACTACATAACATAATTTTTAGAAGGCTGAATGGCAACTTCCAATTACTGAGAAGTGTAATAATTGCCTTAGTAGCACCCTAAACATAGTTATTTTTCTTTCACAACTACAGTTTTCTTTCCCATTCTTTAATTTGAAAACAGTCATTTTTATACTCATTTATATATCTAAAATGGGTAAAATTTTAGACGTCATAGGTAAAAAACATGCTTTAATTTTTCTAATTAAGATGGAGGAACTGGGCCAGGCGTGGTGGCTCACACCTGTAATCCCATCACTTTGGGAGGCCAAGGCTGGTGGATCAAGAGGTCAGGACCAATATGGTGAAAAACCCCGTCTCTACTGAAAATACGAAAATTAGCTGGGAGTGGTGGTGGCGCGCACCTGTAGTCCCAAGTACTATGGAGGCTGAGGCAGGAGAATCGCTTGAACCCAGGAGGCGGAGGTTGTAGCGAGCCAAGATCGTGCCACTGCACTCCAGCCTGGGCGACAGAGCCAGACACCGTCTCAAAAAAAAAAAAAAAAAAAAGATGGAGGAACTGATTTCTGGCCATGTTGGCTTCAACTTTACTTCATAAATTAACCAGTAGGTGTTGCTATGCTAGCACTAATGTTGATTCCACAAAAGTTAACTGGTCAGTTTGTGGTGAGTGGGTTCCCAAACAATTCTAATTTGTGTATTCCTCTTCGAAGACCGAAACCCTGCCACCAAATACTGAAGGCCTGATGGGATTATTTTGGGTGCAAAATAAGTTTTTAAATAAAGAGGACCTTCTATTCTCCTGTGTCAACTCACAATACTGGGAAATAATTTCAATGGCTTCCCAGTAGTTAAGATATTTTGGCCTTTGGAGAAGCAAGCAATGATCAATTTGTACAAGTAGGAAAAAAAGCCCCATTTTTATCTGCTTCACTCTTTTTTTCCTATCTGCACTTCATTCACAATACATATTATTATCACCCCAGTATCCCAAACCCACGTTAAAAAGAAGTGAAGGTCTCTCTGCCTGGCATAAGCTTCCAGGCATAGATAACCTTTGAAATGTTTTCGTTTGTCAGACAAACAAGTAAATTCACACAGGACTCACAGCTTAACTCTTCACAACATACCTCAGCATCTCAAGTGTGTTTACATTGAAAAGTGTTCTCATAATCCTTTGTGTAGGCAGAAACAAACGATTTCCTTGTTTAACCTCTATAACCCTTCCGCCTGTACTAATCATTCGGCAGAAACAGCAGACACTACTACTTCTGTTTTTGACTTCAATTTGCTAAGCAAAGCCCCAAAACTTAGAAGAGTGAAATATTTGTGATTTCTATGTTCAAAGATGAGGTTCTTAAAATTAAAAAAATCTGATAATTGAGTTTTAGGCAATAAGCCAAACACTTCAGTGTGTGCTTTGATGAAAAAAATAAATGCAGTTTGTATACATTCTACTGATTTTGCATCTCAAGTTTCCTCACTTGTACCAAGCATGTGAAACTGATAATCTAAAACTGTCAGAGTTGCTTTTTTTTTTTTTTTTTTAACTTGCTAAACACAGCAGAAACCTATACACTTCAGGATGAAAACTAGCACTTTGATCTAACAACACTGTTTAAAGAATGTTAGTGTGTATTTTGGTACAGAGCGAAAGGAATGACATTGGGTGAAGGAAAGAAGAAAGGATAAAGCTCTAGAAGGAGATGAGAAGGAAGGCGGGAGAAATGTGAAGAATGAATGAGAATGTGAACTTGTTATATTTTTTTTCACAGTTGCATCTATTCAGTAATGTGAAGCAATAACAGTTTATTGAGCCTTTAACAGCTAGGGCTGAATCCTATGAGCCAAAGAGAATGTGGATTTTTCTGTAAATTGTTCCTTGCACATTTAAACATAATCTTTAATAAAACAGTGAAGTACTTCTGTTGTAGAACTCTCTAAGCACTTTCTAAATGGCAAAACAATAAAGCATCTTGAAGAGTAGGGTTGAGAGCAAAGTAAAAAAACCTAAACATTTTCCAGTTATTTTATAATGAATTTTCATTGATTTTTATAATCATATGACTTGCAATGTGTGATCTTTTCCCCTTGCCCCTTTGCCTTCCTCCTTCTTTCCTTCATGCTTCCTTTTCTCTGTATTTCTCAGTGGTGTCATCTGCGGGCAGCTTCTGTGTATGTTAGATAGCTGACTGTGAGATTACAATAGGTGAAGGAAAAACATCTAAACAGTTTTTCTCCCTATAGAGTTTCATTATTGAAATGCTCTGAAGTCATGGGTGGTGAGTGCGAAAATGTAGAGATGTAGATTGGTTGGTAATCCACTCAATGTTTGTAGTAACCAGAGCTGTAGCATTCTAATCATTCCCTGTACCATCCCTTGGAAGCTGGGTTTAATTCAGCTAAATGGTCCATGGTATGGACTTCACTCCCCTTCAATTAGATTTCTCCCCTCTGGCGAATTCTTAATCAGAATTTCCTACTATTTAGTCACTAAATTAAACCTGTAAATTGTCAGTAACTTCATATAATGTAATGATATATCCATAAGCACTGAAATTACTTAGAGTATTGTGTATAACGAACATTCTAACGTAATAGTAACACAGTTAAGCTTTGGTATGGTGAAATAATCTTGTTAGATATAGCAATAAAGCACAAAGGATCGCTTATCTTTGCTTTTGAGAAAATATATAAAAGATAGATGCTTTTTTCAAGAAAGTGTGGATTTAAAAGGAGTTAGGTGTAAAACCCTCACTCAAATAATAAATAATTATATTTATGAACTGATTGCTTAATATGTACCAGATGTTTTGCTAAAGATTTTACATACCTTATTTCATTTAATATTCACAACAATTTAATGAGGGTAGGTACTGCTATTACTCACTTTTTAAATATCAGAAAACTGAGACTTAGAAAGATTAAGTAACTTGCCCAAGGTCACACAACTAACTAGTGCTGGAGCTGGGATTCAAATTCAGGTATGTTTGACTCCAGGATTTGGGCTCTCTACACAGTTATGGAAATATAATCAGCATATATTTATACACTGAGTTTTATTATTTTTACTTTATTTTGTATAAAGTGTTCATCTTGAAATGTGATCAAACCAAAGTGATAATTGAAAGTTCAGCATATTTATTGAGTTTCTCAGACAAGACTTCCTGCCCTGCAGGCATTTGTACTGGCAAGTCAAGCACTGCCACTAGAAATTGTGAAATAGTAAGTCAATAAAATATAAGACTATGAGAGATCAGAGTAGATAGGGGTAGTGAGGGAAGGCTTCCTGAAAGAGGTGAGCCTGAACCAGATCCTGCACAAATATAGAGGTGTGTGAGTTTTACTAAAATGGCTAGGTAGAAGAGCATGAAAATGTTGTCGAGGGTGAATAAATTGCTCTCAGGAAAAAGTGAAGCAAATACAGTAGCTCAGTATTTCTTAACCATGGTTGCCATTAGAATCATCCCAAATGCTTTTAAAAAGTACAGATGCCTAGGCCTCATCTTTGACCAATTATATAAAAATCTTTGGTAGAGGGACTTGGGTAATGGCATTTTTAAAAAGCTCTCCAGGGAATTCTAATGTGCAGCTGGTGCTGAGAATCACTGATAAAGCTGTATTGGTGCATTTGTATTGGGGTCAAGTAGGAAATAAAATTGAATGGGCAGTATGCAGCCACAAAAGACAGCAAGATTCTGATGTTAGACTTGATGGTATAGGCATGTGGGTATAACCGGAGATTTCTGAGCAAGAGAGGTCAATTCAATTCAGCTAACAAGAACTGAACATTTATGTGTAAGGTATCATAAAGGGACATGAAAGGATGAACAAAAATCTGGTCTCTGCCCTTTAAAGTTTCATAAATATAGTAGGAGGTATATGGATAGGTGTATTAAAGCACACCCATGTTAAAGACTATAATAGAAAATCAGAAATGCTCTGAGATTACTTACAGAGGCTCTATTTCTGGTTGTGAATAGCTGAGGATTCCAAAAAGGAGATAGCTATCATTTGAATTTTGACCAAAAGTAAAGTGATTTTTGAGAAAGACATGAGAAGATCATTCTTAGTACAGAAAGTGATTGATTTCGGAGACTCAGAATTTATGTGGGTGAGGGCAGGCTAGGGGACCTAGGAAAGGAGCCAGGTAAAAAGTGGAGAGAACACAGAGAAGGAAAACTTGAGGCCAGAGTGCTAAAATGGCCATCTGAAGGTCAAGGCGTGATCCCCCAAACACTCCATATGATGAATCCAATTATCATCCTGAAAAAGACTGTTTATGTTGCTCATGAAGAGGTAAAGTGTAGCTTAAGGTCAGATGTGGAGAAAATAGTAAGAGAGGGAAGCGCCTCCCATAGCAGGATTTGCCTAGTGATGAATGAGAAATGTAGCTGTTGCACCTAAAAGGATTATATTAAACTTGGCTTGCACTGTCATGACTGTGTTACTCTTTCTCCACCTGTCCAGCTGCTGATATCTTACCACTCTTTAAATTCCTTTTCTGCTAAGCTTTTCTTTGAGCCTTTTTAGGATGACTTAATTTGAACTTTCCTTTTCATCATGATAAACACTATTTAAAATGTCAGTTCCAACATTTATTAAGTTTTATTAGTGTGTGAGTATGTGTGGTTCTGCCTTAGATCGTTTCTTTCTTGAGGGAAGAACCATTTCACAGACAGTTAATACAATGCAGACACCGGTGTATGGAATGCTGAGTAGAATGGCTTGTCTGGACCATAGAATATAAAATATTTTTTAAAAAACTAAAACTATGATATTTTAAAATAATTTACTGAGCTTGTATGCACCAAATGGATTCAAATTTATCTCTTCCATAAGCCTGTGAGGTAGACAGTATTGTCTCTGTTTTTCAGATGAGAAATCCAAAGCTTAGAGAAGCTAAATAATTTGCTCTAGGTCATATAATTAGTTGCCTTTACAGTAATGGTTCTCAGGCTTTATGAAGCATCAGAATCATCTGGAAGGCCCGGCTTGATTCAACATTATGGGATGGGCCCAAGAATTTATTATTTGACAAGTTACCACTCAGGTAACTTAGATGCTGCTAGTCTGAGGACCACAGTTTGATAATGATTGCCTAGAGACTGGTTTGATTTGTTGCCCAGAAATCAGCTGGTGTTGGCAGCCACCATGCTGATCTTGATCACGGAGAGCCCTGAATACTAATTTGGCTAATTTATTGTAATTCCAGTTCAGAAGTGAGAGGAATGAATGATGGTTGTGCTTTATGACTCTGGGAGAAAAATGAATTTGGTGGACGTACTAGACCAGATGTATTGGAGTAGGGGAGATACTGAAAGTTGCATCTCTCCCTCTGTGGCAACTTGCACAGTCCAGCCCTTCAGACCTTCCTAAAACACTGCTCTCATCAAGGTGTTACTCAGGCATCTACAAAGGCTTCCAACCCACTGCTGGCCTCAGTGGCCTGGCCCCACCCTTCCTTTCGTCCGTGTTTTGCTGTGACACTGATGCTCTGATCAGGCCTGGCTTTTCACCAGACATAAGTCTGATATGGTGCTTTTGCTATGTTAGTTCTTCTTGATTCTTTTGATGTGTACTCTCACCCTCTCAGGGTTGCCAAATCCTATTCACCCTGCTAAGTTCTCTATTTTAAAAAGGCTTAAAATACAAAGTTAATATTCACATGTTAAAAAAAAAGTAATAGTACAGAAAAGCTGAAAAGAAAACCAAACTCTCCTGTGGTCCCTTCTCCGCAGGCCTACTGCTCAGAGGAAAGACTCTTTAACCCTTAAAAGCCATTCAACTATGCTGCTATTTTTTGATGGATCAATTTTAGAAATGATTTACTTACTGCCCTGAAGATAAGGATACAGGCCTCTTACACTCCCCATTTCTCCTATCATCTCTATGTAATAGTACTATATTTAATCAAATCCATTTTTATTATGACTACATGAATATTGCTCTTTCTAGATCTAAGTAAGGTACCATTCTCATTTTATTGTCTTCTACAGATTTTTTTTTTTACAGAAGTTTCAAATGTTTCTCTTCTTGCCATAGCTTCCTTCTAGTAACTTTCCACTTGTTATTCAAACCCTTTACCATATTAGGCATTTTCTTCTAAATTTTTATTTCTTCTAAAAAAAATGGGATACGTGTGCAGAACGTGCAGGTTTGTTACATAGGTATATGTGTGCCATGGTGGTTTGCTGCACCTATTGACCTGTCCCCTAAGTTCCTTCCCTTCACCCCCCACACCCCCCAAGAGGCCCTGGTGTGTGTTGTTTCCCTCTCTGTGTCCATGTATTCTCATTGTGCAACTCCCACTTATGCAGTGTTTGGTTTTCTGTTCCTTTATTAGTTTGCTGAAGATGATGGCTTCCAGCTTCACCCATGTCTCTGCAAAGGACATGATCTCATTCCTTTTTATGGCTGCATAGTATTCCGTGGTGTGTATGTACCACATTTTCTTTATCCAGTCTATCATTGATGGACATTTGGGTTGGTTCCATGTCTTTGCTATTGTAAATAGTGCTGCAATAAACATATGTGTGCATGTGTCTTTATAGTAGAAATATTTCTATTCCTTTGGGTATATACCCAGTAATGGGATTGCTAGGTCAAATGGTGTTTCTTGTTCTAGATCCTTGGGAATCACCATACTATCTTCCACAATGGTTGAACTAATTTACATTCCCACCAACGGTGTAAAAGTGTTCCTATTTCTCTACATCCTTGCCAGCATCTATTGTTTCTTGACTTTTTTTTTTATTATTATACTTTAAGTTTTAGGGTACATGTGCACATTGTGCAGGTTAGTTACATATGTATACTTGTGCCATGCTGGTGCGCTGCACCCACTAACTCGTCATCTAGCATTAGGTATATCTCCCAATGCTATCCCTCTCCCCTCCCCCCACCCCACCACAGTCCCCAGAGTGTGATATTCCCCTTCCTGTGTCCATGTGATCTCATTGTTCAATTCCCACCTATGAGTGAGAATATGCGGTGTTTGGTTTTTTGTTCTTGCCATAGTTTACTGAGAATGATGATTTCCAATTTCATCCATGTCCCTACAAAGGACATGAACTGATCACTTTTTATGCCTGCATAGTATTCCATGGTGTATATGTGCCACATTTTCTTAATCCAGTCTATCATTGTAGGCATTATCATTCAGGACATAGGCATGGGCAAGGACTTCATGTCCAAAACACCAAAAGCAATGGCAACAAAAGACAAAATTGACAAATGGGATCCAATTAAACTAAAGAGCTTCTGCACAGCAAAAGAAACTACCATCAGAGTGAACAGGCAACCTACAAAATGGAAGAAAATTTTCTTGACATTTTAATAATCGCCATCCTGACTGGCATGAGATGGTATCTCATTGTGGTTTGGATTTGCATTTCTCTGATGGTCAGTGATGCTGAGCTTTTTTCATGTGTTTTTTGGCCACATAAATGTCTTCTTTTAAGAAGTGTGTGTTCATATCCTTTGCCCACTTTTTGATGGGGTTGTTTTTTCTTATAAATTTAAGTTCCTTGTAAATTCTTAGACCTTTGTCAGATGGGTAGATTGCAAAAATCTTTTCCCATTTTGGAGGTTGCGTGTTCACTGTGGTGATAGTTTCTTTTGCTGTGCAGAAGCTCTTTAGTTTAATTAGATCTAATTTGTCAATTTTGGCTTTTGTTGCAATTGCTTTTGGCATTTTTGTTACAAAGTACTTGCCCATGCCTATGTCCTGAATGGTATTGCCTAGGTTTTCTCCTAGGGTTTTTATGGTTTTGGGTTTTACATTTAAGTCTTTAATCCATCTTGAATTAATTTTTGCCTAAGATGTAAAGAAGGGGTCCAGTTTCTGTTTTCTGCATATGGCTAGCCAGTTTTTGCAGCACCATTCACTGAATAGGAGATCCCATCCCCATTGCTTGTTTTTGTCAGGTTTGTTGAAGATCAGATGGTTGTAGATGTGTGGTGTTATTTCTGAGGTCTTTGTTCTGCTCCATTGGTCTATATGTCTGTTTTGGTACCAGTACCATGCTCTTTTGGTTACTATAGCCTTGTAGTATAGTTTGAAGTAAGGTAGCATGATGCCTCCAGCTTTGTTCTTTTTGCTTAGGGCTGTCTTGGTTATACAGGGTCTTCTTTGAATCTGTATGAAATTTAAAATAGTTTTTTCTAATTCTGTGAAGAATGTCAATGGTAGTTTGATGGGAATAGCATTGAATCTGTAAATTACCTTGGGCAGTATGGCCATTTTCATGATATTGATTCTTCCTATCCATGAGGATAAAATGTTTTTCCATTTGTTTGCATTGTCTCTTATTTCCTGAGCAGTGATTTGTAGTTCTCCTTGAAGAGATCCTTCACGTCCCTTGTTAGCTGTACTCCCAACTATTTCATTCTCTTTATAGTGATTGTGAATGGGAACTCATTCATGATTTGGCTCTCTCCTTGTCTATTGTTGGTAAAAAAGAATGCTTGTGATTTTTGCACATTGATTTTGTATCCTGAGACTTTGCTGAAGTTGCTTATCAGCTTAAGGAGTTTTGGGGCTGAGACGATGGGGTTTCTCCAAATAAAATCATATTGTCTGCAAATAGAGACAATTTGACTTCCTTTCTTCCTATTTGAATACCGTTTATTTCCTTCACTTGCCTGATTACCCTGGCCAGAACTTCCAATGCTATGTTGAATAGGAGTGATGAGAGAGGGCATCCTTGTCTTGTACTGGTTTTCCAAGGGAATGCTTCCAGCTTTTGCCCATTCAATATGATATTGGCTGTGGGTTTGTCATAAATAGCTCTTGTTATTTTAAGACATGCTCCATCAATACCTAGTTTATTGAGAGTTTTTTACATGAAGGGATGTTGAATTTAATCAAAGACATTTTAGCATCTATTGAGATAATCATGTGGTTTTTGTCTTTGGTTCTGTTTATGTGATGGATTATGTGTATTGATTTGTATATATTGAACCAGCCTTGCATCCCAGGGATGAAGCCAACTTGTTCGTGGTGGGTAAGTTTTTTTTTTTTTGGTGGGGAGGGGAGATGGAGTCTCATTTTGTCGCCTAGTCTGGAGTGCAGTGGCACGATCTCAGCTCACTGCAATCTCCGCCTCCTGGGTTCATGCCATTCTTCTGCCTCAGCCTCCCAAGTAGCTGGGATTACAGGTGCCCGCCACCATGCCCGGCTAATTTTTTGTATTTTTAGTAGAGACGGGGTTTCACCATGTTGGCCAGGCTGGTCTCGATCTCCTGACCTCATGATCCGCCCACCTCGGCCTCCCAAAGTGCTGGGATTACAGGCGTGAGCCACTGCATCCAGCCATGGTGGTGGATAAGTTTTTTGATGTGCTACTGGATTTGGTTTTGTTGAGGATTTTCTCATCAATGTTCATCAGGGATATTGGCCTGGAGTTTTCTTTTATGTTGTGTCTCTTCCTCGTTTTGGTATCAGGATGATGCTGGCCTCATAAAATGAGTTAGGAGGAGTCCTTCTTTTTCAATTGTTTGGAATAGTTCCAGAAGGAATGGTACCAGCTCCTCTTTGAACCTCTGATAGAATTTGGCTGTGAATCCTTCTAGTCCTGGACTTTTTTTGGTTGGTAGGCTATTAACTACTGACTCAATTTCAGAACTTGTTATGGGTCTATTCAGGGATTCAACTTCTTTCTGGTTTAGTCTTAGTAGGGTGTATATGTCTTGGAATTTATCAATTTCTTCTAGATTTTCTAGTTTATTTGCATAGAAATGTTTATAGTATTCTCTGAAGGTAGTTGGCATTTCTGTGGGGTCAGTGATAATATTCCCTTTATCATTTTCTATTGCGTCTATTTGATTCTTGTCTCTTTTCTTCATTAGTCTAGCTAGAGGTCTATTTTGCTAAATTTTTCAAAAAACCAGCTGCTGGATTCATTTTTGTTTTTGTTTTTGTTTTTTTTTTTTTTTTTTTTTTTTGGAGGGTTTTTCCTGTCTCTATCTCCTTCAATACTTCTCTGATCTTAGTAACTATTTCTTGTTCTGCTATCTTTTTGATTAGTTTTCTCTTCCCTCTCTAGCACTTTTAATTGTGATATTAGGGTGTCAATTTGAGATCTCTCTAGCTTTCCAATGTGGGCATTTAGTGCTATAAATTTCCCTCATAACACTGCTTTAGCTATGTCCCAGATACTCTGGTACATTGTCTCTTTTTTTTCATTGGTTTCAAATAACTTTCATAGCTTCCTTCTAGTAACTCTCCACTTATTTTTCAAACCCTTTACCATATCAGGCATTTAAAAAAAAGTTTTTGAAATGTTTTCTCCTGGTGTCCTCATTACTTATTTTTCATCTTTTTGTTCCTATGTGGGAGAGTGATTAACAAGCTTGCTATAATGTAGTAAGCTTAGAATAAGAAATATCTCCTTGGTTGAGTCAACTGTTTCTTTTTTGGTGTAATTTTTTGGCTTATTTTTGGCTTACTCGCATCTTTTGCTGGATCACATTCCCAGATAACTTCCTAAGAAAAGGTGTGTGTGAGGAAAATTGTACGAGTTCTTACCTGTCTGAGTATGTCTTTATATTTAAACATATTATTTATAGTTTAGTTAAATTCTAAAGATATAAACATTGAAAAGTGTTTTCCCTCAGAAATTTGAGGCATTGCTTCAATTTTCACTCTTTAATATTCTATGTTGTTGAGAAGCAGCATTCTGAATTCAAATTTCTGTGTAAGAGTACTGGATATTGCTTCATGGAGGGAAATTTTAGCGTCTCTTCTTTTTTATGACATTCTGAAATATCACTAGAACATGCCATGGTATGATGATTTTCATTCATTCAATAATAATTCTATTCTTTTAGTGGGGTGTTGGGAGCTAGAGACCAATCTCAAAAACTTTGGAAATTTTATTTGTACTTTTTTTTAAACAACTTCTTTCTTTCCATTTGTTCTGTTCTTTCTTTTGTCAGATGGTGAACCTCCAGTACCACAGTGTTATATTTTATAAAATTTCTGTCAGACTTTCCATCTCATATTTTTTTTCTCTCTTTTTGTTTAATCTTTTGGGAGATTCATATATTTTATCTTTTAACTCTTTTTAATTTCACTTATATTTTTTAATTTGCCAGAGGCCTTTCTTATTATCACTTCTTTTTTTTTCATAGCACCATGCTTCTGTGTAATAGATGCAATATAATTGTTAAAGAATTTTAAAAAATGTTTACAGTTTTAATTGTCTTTGGGGTTGTATATTCTTTTTGATTCTTATTATTCTTTTTGTCTTTTTCTTGCATCTTGAATGTTTTCCTCAAGTCTGATAATCTTGTCTATACTTAAAAATAAGACCTCAAAAAGTTAAATGGGAAATCTATGTTTTTGGATGTGGCTCATGGACTGGAAGGTATTGTCTTACAGTTATTATGTGAAGAGCTGACACTCATGCTAGAAAAGCCCTATGGATCAGAATGTGGTCTTTCTCTAGGCTCATTCAGGTTCCTATAAAGGAAGAGCATTCATTCTCTTTCCAAGGACAGATACCTGGTTTCTAGAGTTTTCTCTAGCACATGGCAGGTAAGTCCAGAGTTTCGAGGGCTAACCGACCTCTTTATTAGATGCATTCTCCTTGAAAACTTTCTAATCTGTGGTTTCATCTACATAGTTATCATTCCTCTATTTTAAGATTTTCAACAATTTTGTTAAAATTTTTTGTCTGCCAATGGCCCCTCTCCAGATTCTATTCTGGGCGCCTTGGGCAGTGTAGGTGGAATCTTTGTGGGACATTCTGTCAGTGTAATTTGGACATTGTTCTCGACTAAGTAGCACTTGTTATAGGTTCATAGCTTTTCATCTCTTTACTTTTATTTTAGTGAGGTTTTGGAAAAAGCACAAGTACATTCTTCTGTATATTCCTCATCTGTAGCTCAAACTTAAAGCTTAATTTAATACTGAATTTCTCTATAAAACTTTCCTTTCTTAACTTCTTTATCCACTCTGATAGAGCTCTCCTCAAAATCTTTATTGTATTAAAATCAATCTTCTCATTATACTACTTATAATTCTTTAACTATTTTCTCTATGTTATTTCTAAGATTTTCAGTCTAATCATGGCTTATACTTTGTTTGAATTTCTCCAGCATGAGTAATTATACTGGATAAGTAGTGGATTTCTTGAAAGTAATTGTTGATTGATTGTATTCAGGAAATGAAGGAGAAAAAAGATAACACATGACTGATAGAAGCCTTGCTATTTGGTAAAATGATGGCAACATTGGCAGAGATAGAGAAGTGGGAAAGGAAAGCCAGTGAGTTAATGTAGTGGATATTTGTCAGACCTTTTTATTTGTATAGAATCCTTGGATACCCTTTCTAGTTTGAGGATATTTCTTACCTTCTTAGTCTCCAGGGCTGAGGATAGTAATTCATTTTCCCAGCCTTCCTCATAGGTATGACAGAGTCATGACTGAGCTATTACCAATCAGATGGCCCTCAGTGAGACTTCAGTTCAGAAGTAAGCAATGGGAAAAAGTAGGCACAATGATTAACTCATTTCTGGTGAAGGTGGTGGCTGAGACCCTGCCCTTCTGGGGCAGCAGTAGAACAATTTCTGATGTCCTGTGCTGAGTGCCCTGGGCAGTGTGGCTGTGGTTTTTGCTGGACAGTCTCCGAGAGTGGTTTGGGCATTAGTCTTGACCAAGTAGCCACCAAACCTGACTCTTAGGTCATCCTGAAGACTCAGTATACATTCATTCTTTAAGCATTTTTTTTATGTCTGTTTACATTTAAGAACCATGAATGATTGAATGATAAAGCAAACAAGAAAAAGAATGCATATATGAGATGAAATACAGAATAAGACAAAAGTAAATCTCATAGTTTTTTTTTCTGAAACATGTAAACATGTGTAAAAAATAATCCAAGAAAAATAGGTCTCTGCCAAAAAAGTAGAACCAAAAATAAGAGGATAATAGACGGGTAGGTTTAATATCAACCATAGCTAAGGAAAGGAAAGGAAACGTAGCTTCCCATTTTAAAGTACAGTGGAAATGGAAGGAACCAGGAGTACTTCTCTGATTTGGTTCTGGGGTAGACGGTGCTATAGGGCCATCCTGAGGAAAGTCTGTTCAACATCATGAGTGTAGAAAATGAGAGAACAAAAATTAGAGGGATTTTTGTTGTTGCTTTTCTGTTATAAATATTTTTATCCAAGCCTGAATATTTGAGAACTCTTTGGAGACTAAGCATATTACTTCTTCCTCAAATACTTGTCAGGTTAACGTTGTTAGTACATATGTAATTGCTTATTGACATTTCTTCATTTGTTCCCCCACTTATTTGGCACTGCATAAAAGACACCATGCTCTGAGGGAAGGTAAATGCCTGTTTGCCTGCTACTATGAGTGAGTTGGCCTGAATTAAAGCAGACAAGGAAATAGATTGCTTGGATTGGAACTTCTGTTTTTACTATTGTCCAGGCAGGCTTGGTTAACCCAGAAAGAGAGAGCAAGACAAGAAAGTTGATGTACATGTATGTAGGAGAATATGTCAGAGGAATATATTAGATGAGGCATAGGAATGGGAGTATATGTAAGGTAAAGAAATTTGTTTAGTTTTAAACATGTTGGGATTTCATGGGTTGAGGCAATAAAGTGTAATTGGGACAATGAAACTGAAGCTTGGGTGGAAGTTTATGCCCAGAGACAAATGAAAATCACTTACAAAAGACAGTCAGTGAAGCTGGAACAACTGATGCTATTTCAAAAGGAGAGAGTACAAAGGCAGAGCAGAGGACCTGGTACTGAGCATTGGAGGAAACCTCTATTAAGGGGTATTGAAAGCGGATCAGCCCAGAAAAAGAATGAAATAATCAGAACAGTAGGATGAGAAGAAGAATGGTGTGTTTCCATGGAAATCATAAGAAGTTCAAGGAGATTCTTTAAAACGGTCCAATGTTATAAAACTGTGAAGATCTTCAAGCACTGTGCTTTGTATTCTAATCTGCCTATTTCATGACACATGGATGAGGCTCAATAAATGTTTGCTGAGTGTGTAAATAGTCTAGGAACATAAGAAATGGGAAAATAGAGTGATTATCTTTTAAGTGAAATTGTAGTAGATTGGGATGAAGCAGACACAGGTTTAGGGATTTAAGGAGAGAATGAGAATATAGGCATAGAAACAGTTGTCCTAGACCACACTGAGAAATTTGGGTAGGGAAAGTGATGCATAAAACAAATCTTATCAGAGGAACAGAAGAATCCAGTTAAGAGATATTATAAATTCAAATAGACCTTTGAGTGACTAAGGGTCCAAAGGAAGAAGCCAGTGGACAGATAGGAATTTAAAATATTGCAAAGAAACTATTATATAAGGAAAATACATGTATCAAAACTTTTCTATCTGGGAAATTATAGAAACAGCATTTACAGATGTACTTCTTTGGATACAATGCCAGAAACATATTTCAGATTGGTCTACTTCCAGTCATAGTAAAGTTCAGAACCTTAAACCACTGGATTTTGCAACTTCAACAGCCTCATCTTCCTTATTTTGCAGAACAGAGCCCATGAACTAAGTTTGATATTAAAGACAAGTTTAGTTCAAGAATTGGCAAAAATAAGGATTAGCCAAAGTTAAAGTTACTTTCAGTTTGGTTTACTAATGAACTGAACGATGCAAAAGATATACACAAAATTCTGGGCACAAGAGTAGATGCAACTTATTGATGCTCCCTTTGCTTTTATTAGTTGAGGTACAGCTTAACAAAGTAGCCCTCATCCACAGTGTGTTAACAGTGATTGAAGTTTATTTCTCTCATGGAAGAGTATATAGATGAATGATCCAAGGCTGTCAGGAAAGCTTTATCACCCAAGGTTGTTTACCCAAGGTTGCTAAAATTATCATCACTTCTTAGCCATCAACAGGGGGACAGAGAAAATTCAAGGCAAACCATCTGCATAAAGGTGCATTGGAAGTTGTACACATCCTTTCCACTCACATCCTGTGAGACCAAACTTCGTCATATGAGTACACCTAGCTACAAGAGAGGCTGAGAAATGTAGTCTGTAGCTGAGCATCCATTGCTGTTACCGAATTTTTATTCTTCACAGTCCTCAATTAACATTGCTGCTCCAAAGCATTAGTTAGGTATTTCAGATGAGAGAACTGAGGCAAAGAAAAAGACAAGCAAGATGAATACTTGCTGAAACATCACGAAATACTGAATACATATGAGAGAGATTAAGTACAGATTTACAGAGGTGTCTATTTAAAATGACAATTCTATTTGGGTGTCTGTTTAAGTTTCTACCATGCAGCATTTTCAGCCAGTTTGTGTCTGTTGTCTCTGGTCAATTAAAATTATTCAGCATCAAAATCCTAGCTCTAGGACCAAAAAGAAAAAAAAAAGAACCTAAGAAGCATTCACTGATAGTCTGATTCTGAACAACCGCTTTGCCTCTGGTCTATTCATGCATATTTCAATTGGCATTAATATAAAGTACCAAGTGGGCTCTCTTCTACATGAAATCCTTGTTCTCAACTTGGCAGCAATCCTGGCACTAGGTTCTAAATCGTCATTCTGGGATGGTAAATCAGCAATCCTCAGCTGATGGGTCTAACAATGAGATTGCTGGAGGCAGGTGGTGTTGTAAGGCCTAATTCTGTTGGCATTAAGTGACCATTCATATTTGCTGCAGGAGCAGTAAATTGCACTGTTTTAAAACAGGAAGTCTGAGTTAAAAGCTGTGCAAAACCATTATACTGTAGCCAGCACTCCAGGCTCTTCTAATTAGGTCATTTGGAAAAAGATGACCTTTTAGTTTCTGTGCCTCTTTGCTGGGGACACATGTTTCTAATTATCAATTGTATTTTACTTCACTAAAGCTGTTGACAAGCTGAGCATTTTTTGTGTGCATGTATGAGTGTGTGTGTGTGTATACACACTTTGTGAAGTTAATAACATTTTTGTGTTCTAGTATTCTACAAATAGAAGATGAAAACAATGTGTGCAGTAATTTTATTGTCAGAGCAACCAAAAATTCTAAGGACTTGAATGAAGAACACACTAAGGGACATTTCTGATGTTCCTGGTGCTTTAGGCCAACTTGACTTTAACTTTGTCTGAAGTCACTGTATCAATATTTATTCTGTTTAGATCTGGCAAGTGGGTGTGTAAGACAAAATGGAGAAATGGACTTTGGTTCACACTGTTATTGGAAAAATAACTGCAGGTCATGCTTGACATTCTGTCCAGGACCAAAACCAAAAATCTCATGATGCTCTTTTAAGGCTCACTTGTCCTTCTGCATGCTGTTTTTGGAATGCTTACAAATGCAAACAAATACTGTCTTCTAATAACCACTTATTCCAAAAGAAGCTCAGAAATAAAGGGACAATATGAGTATCTATGGTTCTAATATATAGTCTATATTTTAGGAGATAGTCTAGGAAGTGAGGCATTCCCTAAGGCTGGCTTCTCCACTGACTTTCCTTTCTGTTTCAGGGACAGTTTCTCAATGTGCTATCGTTTTTCATCAGAAATCATAAAATCACAGAGCTGGCAGGCCTTTGAGAAGGCTTCTAGCTCACAGTCTGCCTTGAGGCCTTTCTGAACTCAAACTCTCCTGGAACATAATGCTCTACTCTTAACAATCTCTCACAAGGGAAAGTTGACAAGGAATGATGGTACTATCTAAATGTTTAATATATGAATTACTCTGGCAGTTAGAAGAAAATGTATGGAGGATGATTTGAAGTTTATTATGAAATTGCTAATAATTTATTCAACTCAATTTTCCCTTAGAAGTTCTATGGTAGGTAATGATGGTTCTCTCATAGAGCATTTCAAAGTCTGGAAGGAGCTGGCAGTCATTGTATGACAGAGGGCTGGCAACACGCCAAGGTGCCCTGCAGTGGGGCCCTGAATGGCATATCCTGGGCCAGTTTCAAGTGAAGCTAAAAGGTGGGTGAAGAGTTTCTTAATTTGGGCACTCTCTAAAGTCTGAGAGTTTTCTGCTTCTCTGGTGATCCTAGAACAATTGACTTCTCATTTTCTTTATTCTTACACTCGGTTGGCAGCTATTTACTTTTGAGAGATTAATCAGCAATTAAAGTATCTGTTGCTACTCCTGTAGAAAAGAGGGCATATGAACAGATGGTGGGGTTGAGACATGGAAGTTCCAGGAAACACTTCCTCTTATCACGCAAATAGCTAGTTATAGTTTTATTCATGATGTGGCCATGAGAATGCACCTTGCTGACCTCCCAGTATAAGGACTGTAACTGACCTTGGCTGTTGCACTCTGAATCTATGGCTCCGTTTACTTTGAGGCCACTCTTCCTAAGGGCTTTGCCAATTAAGGGCTCAACCAGTGACTAGACCATGCAAGGATACTAAAGCATTTCATTCCTGGGAGATGCCAGATTCTTCTGACAGCCAACTTGACTCAATAACTTCCCTGCTGCTTTGCAGAACCTCCCATATGCTGTTGGGTGCTCTAGGAAGCTTCTGCCCCACCTTATTTCCCCCTATGCCACTCTCAGGTTGTGGTATCTCACTGCTCTCCCAGTCTGCCCTGGCTTCCTTCACACTTTTACCTACTTCCTCTAAAGACATCCTTGACTAGGTAATTCTTATTTCCTCAGACACAGTGAACACTAGGCCGTGGTGCTTTATAAAACTTTCTTTGAAGGCTTGCGGGTGTTAGAGAATAACAGTGTGAAAAGGGAAAACTTACAGCTGGATGAAATCCCACCAATTCCAGATGCCATCTGCCATGCTCAACATGGGGAGCACCATTTTGACTGGCTTTATTTAGCCTCTTGCCTACTGTGACATTGCTGAGCGTTATTTTATCTCCCTCTTTAGAAGAGAATTCCCTCAAATCAGTCCTTCCTGGAAATCTGGGACACTTCTTGACTCTTTCTTCCTTTCTCACTCAACGAATTTAAGAATTTAATAGGAAGTTAATATCATACCAGTCTCTGCAGAGACGCTGTTCACAAAGCCATCAGTAGGGCTTAGAGTCTGAAATTACCTATTTCAAAATAAGATCTTGACTTTTCTTTTGCATAAGTCAAAGGATTATTAAAGTGATTTCCCTCAAACAAGAAGCAATCTGGCATTTTTTTTTTGGACAGGGTCTCTCTCTGTTGTCCAGGTTGAAGTGCAGTGGCATGATCTCGGCTCACTGTAGCCTTGACCTCATAGGATTAAGCAATTCTCCCACCTCAGCCTCCACAAGGTGTGTACCACCACACCTGACTAATTATTTTTATTTTTTTGTAGAGACAAGGGTTTCACTATCTTGCCCTGGCTGAACTCAAACTCTTGGGCTCAAGTGATCCTCCTGCCTTGGCCTCCAAAAACTCTGATTACAGGTGTGAGCCACTGCACCTGGCCAAGCATTCTTGCCTTGAAATGTTGTATTGCTTTTACTTCTGGGACAGAGTTTCTCAAATTTGACACTACTAACATTTTGGACCTAGTAAATTCTTTGTTGTAGGAGATTGTCCTGTTTATTGTAGGATGTTTACCAGCATGCCAATACTACTATCCCAGTCAAGTCAGCCCCAAATGTCTTCAGACCTTGGCAAATGTCCCCTGGGGGCAGATTCACCCTTAGTTGAGAACTGCTGCCCTAGAGCAATAGGCACAAACTGAAGGCAACTTTTTAAATAACATTTTGCCTCTATAGGGATGAGCAGCTGAATTGCACATTTGAATGGTATTGTTAACCAAAAGGATAAAGTCTAAGGAAGACTGTGTGTGTGTGTGTGTGTGTTTGTGTGTGTGTGTGTGTGTATGCGGCAATCTACCTCTATTAATGCCAGGAAAAGTGAACTTATTTACCATCTGAATAATATTGTTGACTAATGCAGAAAAAACACTGAAAATTTCACACTTTACTAAACATGCCACTCTGCTAAAACATTTAAGTGTGTATAGGACTATATATTATCTCCAAAGGTAACAGAAATCTCCTGTTTTTATCTTTACTTTATTTATGATAAGACATTTGCTTATATGCTATAGGCACTTGGCTTTTCAAGGTCTCATTCCCTGGGTGTGTCTAGGATGCCTGTGCTCCATGGCATCTTTGTGATGCAGGCTATTTACCTGGAGGATAGCTTATACCTGTGGGGCTGAGGGCAAGGTCTGTAGCTGACATTCCTCTGGTTATGCATGACACATTACTTCTGTCTGATTCTTTGTACAATTCCCACCACCTGGCCCTGGTTGATGTTTCAGCCTTGCTGGTGAAGCAGTCTGTTTGCTAGAGTGGCTAATTGTGGTTATCTCAGTTTTGGCCTTCATTTGAGTATGACTCCAAGAGGCACACAATTTGAGGGGTGACTCTTGTGGTAGATGGGTGGAGATGAAGCTCTCTGTACCTTCTATGCTCATTGTAGATTAGACCTGGAAAACTTCTGAAAGTTGATGATCTAAGAATTGGGAAAGATACAAAGATCTTAGTTACCATGTGGGTCTCTCCTGAAGAATTTCATTCTTTGGTTTATACATATACCCTCCATGGTATGACATTTTGATCAAATGAAAGATCTAAGAAATACACAATGAAGCAATTGCAGGATGATGTAAAATGGAATAGGGCTAAACATCAGAATACATGGCAAGCACAGCAATTGCTGTCAGAATTCACAGAAGTGGGTTATTGTTGAGGGTAAATTTGATATGGGAAGTGTTCCAGGAGTCTTTGGGACTTGGGTTAGGCTTTGAAGGTTGGACAGGATTTACATTGACAGACAGAAGAATTTGTGCATCACAGACACTGGGTGCACGTGTGTTTAAATAGTGTGAGCAAAACCTCAGAGATAGAGCCAGCTTGGAATGTTGCTGGGGGGTGTACTTGACGGGGATGGAGGACTTTAGGGAGAGGATGGGGGACAAATTTGGACAGGTAGAATGGGGACCATCCTGGGGCATTTATTTTGAGAGCTTTTGGAAATTTCAAACAAACTTTTCTTCTGTATCTGCAATAACAGCATAACCGACAAAATCTGATGTAGGGTGGTACTCACTGTTCTCAAAACAAGTTTCACCAAAAGAGCATTGCAGGAAAAAAATCTGTTTACTGAGAGAGCAAGGAAACCAAAGTGTATTTGTGAGAGCTATGTCCTCTGAAAGTGAGCAAGGACTTGTGCAAAAATAAAAGTAGCTCTTCTTTGTGAGTGATGTGCATAAAAAATGAGTTACTAAGAAACCTGAGTTAATGCTTGTGGACATTGAATGGCATGGACTTACATGGCTCAGAGCATCTCACAATGCTGAGCAATTGGCAATGTCTGCATCAGAAACTGGCCACACTTACAAGAGGTAGGACTCGACTATTGACTTTTACAAACTATTGATCTTAAATTATCATAGGCTGATTTTATAGATACAAAGAATGTTGGCAAGGGTGCTTCTAGAGTTTCAGATTATCTTAACTATATATAATTAGCTCTGAAAGACTGTGAGTGAGGGTGGGTTATGATTTTTAAGTCCTTTTCTTTTTTAAAAAATCTGGTTGCTTTTCATCTGCTTTGAATTCTCCCACTTGAAAATTTAGGTTCATAAAATTCCAAAAGAGACTGAAAAAGCTAAGTTTCAATTAAAAAAAGAAAACATAAATGTTACTTCCAAACTTTACCTAAGATATTGCTTTTAAGAATGATCTGGCACTAAACTGACTGCAGAAGGTTATTTATTCAAACCCTGCCTTGTTCCAAAGATAGCTATTAAGGCATTGTTCATCACTGGGGAACCTTCTTGGAGGCACACACACACACACACACACACACACACACACACACACACACTTTTTTCTCCAATAGCTCATTATATTTAATGACCCCCAACATGGAGATAATTTATTAGATTATAAAGATTGAAAGCTGGAAAATTTGGGGGGAAAGGCAAACTTTATCTATTTTTTATCTTTCTATGGTGAGAAGTTGGGAAAGAAAGGAAGGCAGAATATTTGTTGCATCTCTGTCTGTGAACAGTGATGATTTGGTAGCAAGGTCAGCTACCTCATTGCCGGCATCCTTAGTCAACAGTGAAGAGGCAATGGCTGGTTCTCACATGAGGATGGCTGTCTCCCTTATGTTGTTGAGAATACCAGAAGAATCATTACTGCACATGCTTAGGTGTGTGTGGCCAAAAGAGCTCTGGCCTTGGATCAGCCAACCTGGGCTGCATTCCCTAGCTGTGTGACCTTGGATGAGTCACATAGATTCTCTGTGCCTCAGTTTCTCTTCTCTTCACTGAGGCTGCTTCTCTCAGAGGCCCCTTCTCTACTGGAATGCCTTATTTTATCCACTAAATCTGTGCTTCTGAAATTCTTTGAAATCTCCTCTTTCATCTTAAAAACTAATAAAATTTTGTACTCATTTGTGTATGTTTGAATATAAAAATAACATTTTAAATTAACAGTGAGTCCGGTGGATGCTCTGGTAACATGTGCCTCCCCTATCCTGTGGCTTCTCTAATCCCCTGGCATAGAACAGCATAACCCTGAAGGCACTTCAGTTTGAGGATCAGGGGATTAAGCATGGTGAGGTAATCGCTGATTTTATCAATCAGAATAGGGTGGGTTAAACTGTGTTAAGAAATAATTCCAAGAGTTCAGTGGCTTAAAATAACAAAGGCTTGTTTCTTCTTCATATTAAATCGCCCCCACTGGTCATTTGGAGAGCTTGGCTTCTTTCACTCAGGACCTTTGCAGAGCAAGTCTCTGTCTCTGTTTTCGTCATGATCTGTGATGAGCAAGGTAGGACAATGGAGACGCAGTGGCTCATTCTCTGGCTCTTAAGTCACTCACATTTCATTGGCTAAAACAAGCCAAGGCTATCCCTAATTGCGATGAAGAATAGGAGAATGCAATTCTATAAAGTTCCAGAAGATGGAGAGCCAGAAAAATTTGGTGAACAGTACTAATAACTACCACATCAGCTGAGGTCAAGAATAGGGTAGAAAGAGGTGCCTTGAACGCAGGGTTGTCTTGGAGGTGTCATCTGAAGATGACCAACTACCCCTGAGTCTCTTCACAAAGGGAACACACACAATGAACTCATGGCTAATTTGTGTTTCCCTTTACTATTCACACACACTTTGTGTCACAGTATCTTTCTCCAAAGACAGTATGGGATTCTGGATTACATTAGAATCACATGCTAGTCCTGCTTCCCTGAGATCACTTCTGGAAACTACCTTGATTGGAGTTCTGGATTTTTTAGAATCTTTTGGCTGCACCTCACAGACAGTTTCCTGCTCGGCTTTCTCTCACACCTGGTGAAGCACAGCTATTGTCTCTAAGTTCCACTGGTTTACAAAGCTGCCTTATCTTCAACTTCTTAGGAGGTGCTTCATTATCAAACAAAGAGGACAGACCCCTTCTTTTGATGCTAATGTTGTTATCAGGAAGGAGACAAGGTAGCTGTACAGGAGAGAGGGCCCTGAAAACACACACAACCGCTTTAGGGGCTCACTGTAGCCAGTCTGCGTAGAATCTTTTCAGTTGCCCTGGGTCTCTAACTCTGCTTTTGTTATAGTCAAGTGCTGTAACAGTTCTGTACTTCTTCCCTCCATCTGCAGCATGTCTGGTGACCATTAGGGAACATTTTCTGCATTTATCTTTTGTAACAGAGTGCCAGGCACTACAGAAAATCTGAGGTAAACTAAATTATTTCTATTTTTTGAGGCTTCTGGAGTATTAAAATAAGTAATACCAAAAGAGCATCATAGAAACTGATGAATTTTAAGTTGTTGGATGAAATGCTTCTTTTAAAAACTCTTGCCAGTACGTCTATGAAAATTGAGGTATAACCTTATTTGGAGATGTCATCAAAAATCTAAATTTGAGGCCTGTTTTAAATATGAGGCTTATGCCAAATGGTCCTCTTGGGTCCCCCTTCCTCACTCTTCCTGTGATAGGTCCTGAAAGTAAGTGTAAGACGTTCTGTTTGCCCTTGAGACACTCAAAATCTATTTGGGGAGTCAGTATTAAAAATATAATACAGAGGCTAATACAGGTAAGTATATAATAAAGTGCTAAGTTGGCAGCAGATACTACAGGTATTTTTAAGAGCTCAGAGAAAGGAGGGATTACTGTGGCTAGTTGAGTCAGGAGTAGTTTTGTGGAAGAGATGGGGAAATTGATACAGGACAAAAGGATTTTAGGAACAATACCACCAACAAAAGATGTTGACTTCCTTCTATCAATTTACATTCAAATAAAACTGGCTCTACTTTATGAGTTTCCACTTGTTGGTCCAGTCTCCATTCTCAGCCTGGATCAGAACTTTTCTGAATCCTATATAATTTAAGCCCTGTGTTGCTAATCTTTTGAATTAAGTTAATATGTGAACCACTAGCCACCAGGGATGCAGATTTGAGAGCAAACAATGGACTCTGCTCCCTCTTTCCTTTGAGGCCAGGAGGGAGCTAATAGCTTTCCTTGCTGGGCATGCAGAACCAGGAGGGGGATGAGCAGCATGGATGCTGAGTTGATGCAGGCAAGCCTTCTGGAAGGGCTTCTGAAGCTGCCCTGTCTTTGAAGTGAGTGAGAATACCTCACGTGGAGCTATCCCGAGGATTGACAGGACCAGACCCACAAAATTTTCTAGCTGTAGTGGGGCCGTGAGCATCCCCTACAGCTTCCCCTTTGGACAGCAGAAGCCTTGAGAGCACACCCCATGGAGCCACCAAGTCTGCAAGAGCAGCGGGGAGCAGTTACCACCAATTGAATTCTACTCCCTGCTGTGGTGCTGAGTGGAGGGGGCTTCTCATCAGATGGAACTTTCATTCCTTCTAAGAGGATATATATATATGTATAGTTTTTCCTCTTAAAACCAAAGTTGGAATATTTATTTGAAAATGAATTCCTAGACTCTGGTTTTAGTTAAAAATTTCCATAGGGAACAATAGAACTATAGTACATTTCTAATTTAAAACTTTGCATTGTTGATGAAGTTTTGAAAATAGCAGAAGTAGGCAACCCAAACATCTGTTACTTTAATTTTTTTTCCTCCCTCAACTTGTAGCAAACTTGTGGCACTAGTCTTGGAATGTGGGCACTGTCTCTGATCAGTATTTTAGGGAGTTTTGGAATGCACAAGAAAATATAGATAAGATTCTTTGCTTAAAATTTATAATGCATTGCAGATTGCACTGTGGGTTTCTGAAACAACGAAAAGTCATGGTGGGTTTTAAAGCAGTTTAGAGGAATAGCTCAGATCTTTGATGCAGGGCACTTAAATTAATGCTAGTCACAACATAAAGCTCAAGTTCAAAATTTATGTCTCCCTCTGATTACCACACATCAACCTACTTGAAATGGAGATGAAATTGCATTTCTCTGGGGGAAACATGGTGCTATTTTGATGATCAAATGTATTGGGAACAGAGGTTCTTGTTAGCCACGTTGTGTGTGGTGTGGGGAAGTTTCAGGCAACTTGGCGCTGGACCAGTGGGTGGAGGTGGAGCAGGGTGGCCATTACAATTAGAGCCTCTGGTGAGGAAGAGGGGGCGCCAAACTCTTAGTTTTCATTGAGCTGGGTTACAGAATGCACTAGCTGCCTGGGCCATGGCTTCTGTGTCACTGGGAACAGGCAGCTCACTGTGTAGGTCCAGGAAATCTGCAGCGTCACAGCTTATCCTTCTAGAGGAAGCATTGGTCAAGGATTTACATTCTGGAATAAAGCCCTGTATTTCACCATTATTATTATTGTTATTACTATTTTCTGGCAAAAACTTCTTAAAATGAATGTGAAATTGAGATGATCATTATGTAACCAAAGTGCTATCGCAATATAACCTGCCAAGAAGTTATCATTCTGCTCAAAATATTAAAGGTCATTTTCATCCCCTTTTAAAATGTCCTTCTGACCCTGCCACCCTGCGTTGGGCAGGCTGCAGCCTGGCAGGTATAGGGCTGGGAGGCCACACCGAGATGGTAGTGTTCTTTGATCACCTGCCATGAGGTACTGGGCAGATCTAGTTGGGAATGAAAGATGACCAGGTAAGCTGGCTTGGTCTGGCACTATTTCTAAAGGAGAAGCTATAGAGGTATTGGTGTTTGCAGTTAGATGGCTCCTGCCAAGATGCTTTCTGTGCTGACTAGGTTCACTTCTTTTCAGGGCTCTGTCTCTTGGGCAGACCTTTAGGTCTTAAGCAGACAAGTCTGCTTGGCTCCTTCAGCTTCACAATGGGCCCTGTTTTTTCACAGTGAGACATTTTCTCTTGATAAAGTGAGTGTTGATCTTCCTGGGAAGAGCAATGGAGGGAATGTAGGTTCTAATAGGTTCTGGACATTCTTCCCACTTCAAAAAAATGAACTTCTTTTTCTCAATTCCTAGGGCCTGGAGTTTTTTCCTATGTACTTCTCTTATGAAATAATAAGCTTCCAATAGGTGTGCATTATATTTCTAAGGCAGAATTAAAAACCAGATATCTATTAGTTTGGAAATCCAGGGTCTGGCTGTTATAATGACTAACCTGTTTTTATCTCTGCAGAAATTACTGTTTAATATTATATCATGTTGAATTTTTCCCAATGGTAATCTTATGATGGCTGCAGCTACCTGTTAACTTCAACAAGCACACTGGCCTGGAGACTACATGATGGTGTATCAGTAATGGTAAGAGCATCCTTTTCCCTAGTATTACTAGGTAAGTTGCTACCTACCTGAGAAGCATCTTATATATGGATTACTAATTTAGTTCCTTATTTCTGGCTATAAAAGGCAATTGAAATATAGGCTTGCCAGAGATTAAGGAGAAAAGTTAATGGCCAGCCTCTACTTTTTCTTACTTTAGAAGTGAAAACAGTGGTTATTACTATTATTAATTACAACCAAAACAACCACAAATTTAAGCAGCCTTCCAGACAACTTAAGGAGTATTTTTAAATAATCAATTTTACTTTAAAATGTTTAATTAAAAAGTTTAGAGAAGAATTTCCAATTTTGGTCATTGCTCTTAAACAGTGATGTGACACAGTTTATCTTTTCTGCCTTTCCCTCCATGTCCTCTCCTAAGAGCAGGTGCCTCTCCATCATTGCCCATCAAAGACATTTCTGATGCTCCAGAAGGATACCCTTGAGGTCATCCTGTTCTCACCTCCAATATTCATTATGATCTCTAACATCACTATATACAACATTTTTGTATATATAGAATAATTTCTGGTGCCTTCATGTGGTTGGGGGTTTCTTTACATGAATATTTGCTCTTTATCCTTAGGCCTTCCTCTTGGCTTTGCTTTTGCAGATATATTCACACATATGATTATACTCATGTAAAATACACATGCCTATATGCATACAATTGTGTACAAATTAATGTACATGACTCTCAGTAAAATTTTGTTGAATCAATTAATAAACGTACACACACATGTGCTTGTGTGTAAAGGGTGGTTTGTTTTGCTTGTACTCTATAGATGAAGGCACTGAGAATAGTTTTCTTTTGTCCCTGAAGTTTTTATTGTATAGCTTCAAAGATTTTCCTTGCTGGATAATTTCTTTTAAGAAATTTTGATGAAAATGTGCACAGCAATTTTGACTTACTTGTAGGTGGAAAGAAGAATAATTTTTACACTTTGAAGCAATTTTGGATTTTTTCACACGTGGATAATTCTCTGAGCTTTCAAAGCAAACATTTCAAAATTTCCTTTTCTTCAGATTGAACTGGTTGAAAGTAATATTATAATGTTTGTGCCTTGCTTTTTATAATTACTTATATATGTACACTTATATTTATGTAATTAATGTTACTATACATTTCTAATTGCTAATTAGTTGCTTACTTTTTCAGTGCATTTTAAAATGCTCTGAAATCTATTCATCTATATATCTATCCTAGGGACAAAGGTAATATTCTTTTCATTTTTGAATCTCTGGGAAATTTATTTATTTGCTTTTAGCAGTGGAAAGAATTTTATTTTTTGTCTAAGTAGGCATTTATTTTGAGGTAAATATAAAACATAAAATTTTCCCCAAAGTCTATTTTCATATTACCTTTTAACTATGTGCTAGTAATGGGTACAGGGTTACTGTCACCCTCACCCCATCCATTTTACCCTAGAATGGTTGGCATTATGTGGAATTGGTCCTCTATGCAGGTGAAAGCCTGCCCATGAAGTTTACAATAGCTATGAAGCCCTATGGAGGGAATTAAAAATTCTCTCCCTTTGAAAGTGGAACATCCTCCACCAACTGGTAAAAATAAGCCTTTTTTTTTGTATTGGAAGAACTTCAGGGATTCTGAAAACTAGGAGGAAAACATACCACACAGTCTGCGAATACTGTGTTTAGGAAGGTTTGACAACAGAGGGAAAAAAGCCTGTTTCAGGACTCTCAGGCTGGGAGGTAGCTGTTTTAGTGGGGCTATTGAAATCTGAAATGACCTCTTTTTATATCTTGAAGAACTAAATCTACTGCAAAAAGGTAAGATTTTCAAGTTGTAATAATAAAGACTAAATTTTAACTTATGAGGTCTTTCAGTATACTAACTCAACTCTAATTCGATATTATTAGTAAACTGGATAATAGTTTAGAGTATACTGAATAAAAAAATGTAGTAAACAGGCAAAATATTGTTATGACATGAATCTCATGTATTGTATTCCCCTTCCTTCTCTGTATAGGATTTACAACTGCAAACATCTCAAGCAGCAGTGCCACATCCCTGCTACCTCCCTGCTTGTGCGTGTGTCCCTACATTATCCAAAATAGGGGTGGGCTAATGACGATTGCAGGCTAACTCCAGCCTACCACTTGCTTCTATAAATAAAGTCTTATTGTACACAAACATAGCCATTTATTTAAGCACTGTTTGTGGCTGCTTTTCTGTTAAACATCAGGGTCGAGTAGATGAGACAGAGAGCATGTGGTTTGCAAAGCTAAAAATATCCTTGCCCTTGTAGAAAAAGTTTGCCAACCCCTGACCTCAGATATTAATTTTCTTCAATTGATATGAATTTGCTTCACTGATGGTATCATAGAAAACTGTGATGTGTATTCCTTCTCCTGTGACTTATCTCTTTCTTTTGATAGGAAAACTAAAAGCAAAACAAGGAGACCTAAAAAATGGGGCTGGGGGAACTCCCAAAACAAAAACAACTAAAAATCCTTAAAAAATTTAAGAAGTGCTGATCAGAATCATGAAATAGGCCCATTAAAATATACTGATATTATTGAAAAATGATATTTTTGCCCAACAACATAATAAGAAAAGAATACTTAGAACACTTACATTCTCTTTCTAACTTTGCCATTCTTCAACTCAGAGATCAGCAAACCTTTCTGGTAGAGGACAAGATAGTAAATATTTTAGGCTTTGTAGGCTATATTTATTTTGTTTTATATACGACAAGTGGTGGGCCACATTTGGTGAGCAGGCCCATAATTTAACTACCTCTTCTCTAACTCAGTGGTCTTGATAGACCACAGCTTATACAGGCTGCATTTTCAGAACACTGAAATCAACATGCCTTTCGAGTTTTAATGATTTTCTATCTTGTGTGAATCAAAACCAATGTTGATAAAATCCACTACATTTTCCATGGATTGTTTTCTTACCATGTGGAAAACAGAGTCAGAACAATACAGGGGAGACAGCATTTCCTGCTGTATAAGTTTCTATTGCTGGGTAATAAATGACTTCCAAATGTAGAAGTGTAAAAACAACAAATATTTAATTTTACTCTAGTTTTGTGGGTCAGAAATTCAGGAAGAGGCTGGTTGGCCATCTTCACTTTGTGTTTCTCATTTGGTTGTAGTTAGGTGTCAGCTAGGGCTGTGGCCATTTGAAGCCTGGCATAGGCTGGTGGCCGGCAGTTGATGCTGGCTGTCAAATGGGAGCTTAGCTGGGACAGTTGGTTGGAGTGCCTATACATGGCCTCTTCATCAGGGAGGTCTTAGGGTAGGCAGACTCTTCAGATGGTGCCTGGCTTACCCCCGTGTGAACATTCTTAGAGAATAAGGTGGAAGTTGCATAACCTATTCTGATCTAGCCCAGGAAGCCTGTGCTCTGTAAGTCAAGAAGTCACAAGTTTGCCCACATTCAAGGGGAGGAGAGATAGACCCTACCTCCCAATGGAAGGGCTGTGAAATCATCTGGGGCCATATTTTAAAATTACCACACCCAGCTTTGGTGATTTTAAGTTTATAACTCAAACATGGATTTAAGAGAATTTTAAAATTCAATATTATATAATTGTACCAGCTATTGTATAATTAACCAAGATTATTAAGGGCAAGACATCATAACTAAGATCATCTCAGATATCCAATTAAACTGATAAAAAGAACAAAATAGGCTGATTTTCCAAGAAAGTAAAATAGTTGTAAGATTTCAAAAAGATCTGTTACCAAGTTTTTGTCTTAATGGGGTCACATATTTATCCCTTCTGACAGAATAACATTCATTCAGGTATAAATCAGATCTGAGTTAGTGAAAAACTTGGTTATGGAGTATATTAAGAAAAATGAATTTGTTATTTTTAAGTAACTAAAGTAGGCCATGAAAGGCATTACTAAGCAGAAGAAACCATCCATTTTTATATTCTTGCTGAGAATTTACTATATGCCGGGCACTATTCTCCATGCAGAGGGTATAGCAGTGAATAAAAGAGACAATAATCCTTCTTCTCAGAGAGACTAATTGGTTTTCCCCTCTCAGGGAAACAGATATTAAACAAAAGCCACTTCTAAGTCACACCCTGAGAAGTATTGTGAAGAAGAATAAAACAGGGCGAGGAGGATACAGAGTGGCTGAGACATTAAGGATGGAATGTTATTTTAAATAACATAACCAGGGAAGGTGGCATTTGAGCTGAGAAGAAGAGTGGGCAGACAAGCCATGTGGCATTCTGGGGGAAGTGCATTTCAGGTAGGTGCAGAGCTTATGTGAAATGCCCATGTAACTAGGGTGGAAGGACCAACTGGCAGAGTGGTAAAAGATGAGGTTAGGGAAGATGTGATGGTAGTGGGGGTGTGGGTGGGGGTAGCTCATGTGGGTCTTTTTGGCCACAAGGAGTCTGAATTTTATTGAGTGAAAGAGGAAGTCATTAGAATTTCTATTAGAGGAGTGAAATAATCTGACTTAAAAAAACAAATCACTCTGGTCTCTATGTAAATAATAGCCTGTTTTTTGGCAGCGGGGGGAAGGTGGAGTAGGCAAGAATGGAGTCAGGAGAACCAGTTAGGAGACTTTTGTACTATTCTAGGCACAAAATGTTTGTAGGTTGGAATAGAGTGCTAGCAGTAGCAGTAATTAGAAAAAATAAAGAGATTGTACCCATTTTACAGATGAGTAAATGGACGTTTAGAAATTTTAATCAATAAGTTTCCAAGTGGTGAACTGGTATTCAAATCTAGATATAATTTCACAGATCAACTTCAGCAATGTGGATTTTCACATATTTAAAATTAATAAATTCCAAATAGATGATATTTTATTGTACTTTTAGTGAATTGGGTTAAATTAAAAGTGGTTGGCCATGGTCCTGCTTTGTAGACATTTTCTCTGAACATAGTTCCTCTTCATGGTCTCCATGTAGAAAACATTTAAAATCCAGTAAATTGAATAAAATTTAAATTACATCATCATTGTTTATATCATTTCTATGGAAAAATGAAGGAATGACTGCAGACATAAAACCCATAAACTGCATACAAACATTCAGCATAATCATGATGAACAAGGTTTAACAGTTAATCTAAGAACTGCTGTCGTCAGTTTGGGGAATTGATAAGTGATCAATAATATATTAGAAACTTTTTTTTCCAGGTTCAATAACAAGAGTATTGACAGTCATTTTGGGAGGAATTTGGAAGCGAATCTAAGAGGTCCATACTTTCCATTGAAAAGTGGACATTAGTAGAACTATTCATTATGATACTTTAGGCATTCTGGAGCATCTCCTGTGATTAGCTCTTTCTTCCTTTGGGCAAGGGGTGGGACGGAGACTCTTTTCTTCTATTCTTGGTACAGTGCTTACAAAATGTTTATTGGAGAAGAAATTGATTCCTTTATCATCAAGTTCACGAACTCTTTATTTTATTCACCATGTTTACCTTCTTTGTGAGCTCTCTGAGTTACTTACATGGTGGTTTACTTGTGTCTCTAAAACCTCGCTGTTCCTTGATTTATAGGTTACATTGTACCTTTTCTCTTCCACATGATGGAGATCTTCAAAGTAAGCATCTTTCAAAGCAGTGACAAGCAAAATACAGCTGGAAGATCAGTAACTCCCTGTTAAGCAGCTTTGCTTGCTGTCATTGTTGACTGCCAGGGAGTGGTGATCCATGTCAGTCACTAAAATGACACCTTGGCAAGACTAAAGTCTGCTCCTGGAATTTTTGTGTATGGAAACAATTTTAAGGTAATGAGATTTTCATATATTTCTAGCACCTTTCACAGGGTCTGGAACATAGTAGGTACCCAGCAAATATTTATTAATGTTAATTATAAAATCATATTTTGAAAGCTGTACTAACACATGGTAGGTAGATTTGTTGCAGATTGGAGCAATGCAAGAATTTCTTGTCAATCCTAAAGTTTATTAATAGTAGAATAAATAACCCTCCAAGCAGGCAGAGTCATTTAGTGAGACCCAATGAATTGATATAAACTTATATTTTTAAGCCATCAAAGTAAGAAGAGATTAAGACTAACGTTTACTTATTAAGTTAATTTCCTAATCATTCTTATAAGAACTTAATGAGTGACAAACTGACACTGGATATAAATTTATGATTTCCCAAAATAACATTTGATTGGTTTGAGTGATGTCTTACATCAAGTAATCATAGTTAATTTTTGCTTCTGGAGAGATTTGACTTTACCAGTCTATCATGTCATCAGATGTATTTCAAGAATGATTTCTTTGTCTGTTGATACAGAGTTAAAGGATTCCTATGGATATTCTTGAATCTATAACTTGTATTTTTATTGGGGCAGATGGGACAAATTCTGAATAGTGGCAAAAGATTCCATCTTCATTTGAAATGTACTGCAAACATCAAAAGAATGATTTCACATTAAAAATATTTTTGTCATAAATCAAGGGCAAAGATAGGATTTTTTCCCACACACTTATAGTTGACAATAGTGCAAGAAGCAATAGGTCACTTATTTTAAGTTCAAATAAAAGCCAATAAATGCTGCACCTTTGAAAGATTATAGTTCTGTTACCAGTCACTGCCCTAACAGTCAAAGCTCCAACAACACCAACAACACAATCATGAATGTCACAATGATAATTGAAAATAGGGATAATCCTTACCAGTTAGAAATAACTTGGGTAACATATAGAAATGGAAAGGTTAGGCTGGGTGAAGAAAAGAATGTTCCCTCTATTCTAGCACTTGCTGCTAGAGATGACATGAAGAATCTGGCTGTCTCTTGACCCAGATTCCCATTTTTCCTCCTGGACCAGGCACAGTGCAGGCCTTTCTCAGGTCTCTACCCTTCTCTGGAGCAGTGGTGGATGCTTATTTTAAGAGCTACTGTGGTTCCCCACTTTGCCTTTGAGATCTGGTGGTTATGACATCACACTCGTTCTCAAACCCTGGCTGCGCACTGGAAGCACCCAGGAGCTTTTGTAAACTCCCCATATCCCAGCTCCATCTTCAAAGATTCTGAGTTTATTGGCCCTGAGTGTGACTCAGGTTTTGTCATTTTTGGAGAGTTCCCCAGATACTTTTAGGTGCAATTGGAATTGAGAACCACTGGCCTAATCAAGTTTAGAAGAAGGAAGAGAGCACAAACTTTGAGTTTTGCCTAAGTTCTCATCCTCGATTTTGTTTTCCCACAGGTTCCTTGGAGTCTCAGAAAAACCCAGTGAATCCAGTCTCAAGTGAACCCAGTGATGGTGATTCATGGTTCCTGATTCTTTTCTAAACTGCTTTCTCAATTCTCTTTGTTCATAATCTTTCCCAGGCAGGAAACTCAAAAGAGAGGTCAGAGAAGGACAAGAATCCTCATGCTATTTGGCATCTTATTGTAAGACGTGGTGGAATATGTTCAGCAAGTAAATTTGGCAGAATTGAAGAGTAAAGGATTGGCATATCAAAATGCATATACAAAAAAATTAATCAAAGCAAACAACTTCATTCATAGTGTTACAGTAAACAAGTTTTAGTATGGAATTTTAAAAGTCTTAGATTCAGGTTGTGGCTTCACTATTTCCAGGAGCATGACTAGTTTGATTTATGTACCCACTCTGAGCTTTAGTTTTCTTATCCGTAATATAGAAACAATATCTGCTGTACTTTTCTTTTTTTATTATTATACTTTAAGTACTAGGGTACATGTGCACAATGTGCAGGTTTGTTACATATGTATACATGTGCCATGTTGGTGTGCTGCACCCATTAACTCCTCATTTATATTAGGTATATCTCCTAATGCTATCCCTCCCCCCTCCCCCCACCCCACGGTAGGCCCCGGTGTGTGATGTTCCCCTTACTGTGTCCAAGTGTTCTCATTGTTCAGTTCCCACCTATGAGTGAGAACATGCAGTGTTTTGTTTTTTGTCCTTGCGATAGTTTGCTGTGAATGATGGTTTCCAGCTTCATCCATGTCCTACAAAGGACATGAACTCATCATTTTTTGTGGCTGCATAGTATTCCATGGTGTATAGGTGCCACATTTTCTTAATCCAGTCTATCATTGATGGACATTTGGGTTGGTTCCAAGTCTTTGCTATTGTGAATAGTGCCACAATGAACATATGTGTGCATGTGTCTTTATAGCAGCATGATTTATAATCCTTTGGGTATATACCCAGTAATGCGATGGCTGGTTCAAATGGTATTTCCAGTTCTAGATCCTTGAGGATTCACCACACTGTCTTCCACAATGGTTGAACTAGTTTACAGTCCCACCAACAGTGTAAAAGTGTTCCTATTTCTCCACATCCTCTCCAGCACCTGTTGTTTCCTGACTTTTTAATGATCACCATTCTAACTGGTGTGAGATGGTATTTCATTGTGCTTTTGATTTGCATTTCTCTGATGGCCAGTGATGATGAGCATTTTTTCCTGTGTCTGTTGGCTGCATAAATGTCTTCTTTTGAGAAGTATCTGTTCATATCCTTTGCCCACTTTTTGATGGGGTTGTTTGTTTTTTTCTTGTAAATTTGTTTGAGTTCTTTGTAGATTCTGGATATTAGCCCTTTGTCAGATGAGTAGATTGCAAAACGTTTCTCCCATTCTGTAGGTTGCCTGTTCACTCTGATGGTAGTTTCTTTTGCTGTGCAGAAGCTCTTTAGTTTAATTAGATCCCATTTGTCAATTGTGGCTTTTGTTGCCATTGCTTTTGGTGTTTTAGACATGAAGTCCTTGCCCATGCCTATGTCCTGAATGGTATTGCCTAGGTTTTCTTCTAGGGTTTTTATGGTTTTAGGTCTAACATTTAAGTCTTTAATCCATCTTGAATTACTTTTTGTATAAGGTGTAAAGAAGGTATCCAGTTTCAGCTTTCTACATATGGCTAGCCAGTTTTCCAAGCATCATTTATTAAATAGGGAATCCTTTCCCCATTTCTTGCTTTTGCCAGGTTTGTCAAAGACCAGATGGTTGTAGATGTGTGGTATTATTTCTGAGGGTTCTGTTCTGTTCCATTGGTCTATATCTCTGTTTTGGTACCAGTACCATGCTGTTTTGGTTACTGTGGTCTTGTAGTATAGTTTGAAGTCAGGTAGCATGATGCCTCCAGCTTTGTTCTTTTGGCTTAGGATTGACTTGGCAATGCGGGCTCTTTTTTGGTTCCATATGAACTTTAAAGTAGTTTTTTCCAATTCTGTGAAGAAAGTCATTGGTAGCTTGATGGGGATGGCATTGAATCTATAGATTACCTTGGGTAGTATGGCCATTTTCACGATATTGGTTCTTCCTATCCAGGAACATGGAGTGTTCTTCCATTTGTTTGTGTCCTCTTTTATTTCATTGAGCAGTGGTTTGTAGTTCTCCTTGAAGAGGTCCTTCACATCCCTTGTAAGTTGGATTCCTAGGTATTTTATTCTCTCTGAAGCAATTGTGAATGGGAATTCACTCATGATTTGGCTCTCTGTGTGTCTGTTATTGGTGTATAGGAATGCTTGTGATTTTTGCACTTTGATTTTGTATCCTGAGACTTTGCTGAAGTTGCTTATCAGCTAAAGGAGATTTTGGGCTGAGGTGATGAGGTTTTCTAAATATACAATCATGTCATCTGCAAACAGGGACAATTTGACTTCCTCTTTTCCTCATTGAATACCCTTCATTTCTTTCTCCTGTCTGATTGCCCTTTCAACACTATGTTGAATAGGAGTGGTGAGAGAGGGCATCCCTGTCTTGGGCCAGTTTTCAAAGGGAATGCCTCCAGTTTTTGCCCATTCAATATGATATTGGCTGTGGGTTTGTCATAAATAGCTCTTATTATTTTGAGATACGTCCCATCAATACCTAATTTATTGAGAGTTTTTAGCATGAAGCGCTGTTGAATTTTGTCAAAGGCCTTTTCTGCATCTATTGAGATAATCATGTGGTTTTTGTCTTTGGTTCTGTTTACATGCTGGATTACATTTACTGATTTGCTCATGTTGAACCAGCCTTGCATCCCAGGGATGAAGCCCACTTGATCATGGTGGATAAGCTTTTAATGTGCTGCTGTATTTGGTTTGCCAGTATTTTATTGAGGATTTTTGCGTCAATGTTCATCAGGGATATTGGTCTAAAATTCTCTTTTTTTGTTGTGTGTCTGCCAGGCTTTGGTATCAGGATGATGCTGGCCTCATAAAATGAGTTAGGGAGGATTTCCTCTTTTTCTATTGATTGGAGTATTTTCAGAAAGAATGGTACCAGCTCCTCCTTGTACCTCTGGTAGAATTCGGCTGTGAATACATCTGGTCCTGGACTTCTTTTGGTTGGTAGGCTATTAATTATTGCCTCAATTTCAGAGCCTGTTGTTGGTCTATTCAGGGATTCAACTTCTTCCTGGTTTAGTCTTGGGAGGGTGTATGTGTCCAGGAATTTATCCATTTCTTCTAGATTTTCTAGTTTATTTGTGTAGAGGTGATTCTCTGATGGTAGTTTGTATTTCTGTGATATTGGTGGTGATATCCTCTTTATCATTTTTTATTGCATCTGTTTGATTCTTCTCTCTTTTTTCTTCTTTATTAGTCTTGCTAGCAGCCTATCAATTTTGTTGATCTTTTCAAAAAGTCAGCTCCTGGATTCATTGATTTTTTGAAGGGTTTTCATGTCTCTGTGTCCTTCAGTTCTGCTCTGATCTTAGTTATTTCTTGCCTTCTGCTAGCTTTTGAATGTGTTTGCTCTTGCTTCTCTAGTTCTTTTAATTGTGATGTTAGGGTGTCAATTTTAGATATTTCCTGCTTTCTCTTGTGGGCATTTAGTGCTATAAATTTCCCTCTACACACTGCTTTAAATGTGTCCCAGAAATTCTGGTATGTTGTGTCTTTGTTCTCATTGGTTTCAAAGAACATCTTTATTTCTGCCTTCATTTTGTTATATACCCAGTAGTCATTCAGGAGCACGTTGTTCAGTTTCCATGTAGTTGAGTGGTTTTGAGTGAGTTTCTTAATCCTGAGTTCTAGTTTGATTGCACTGTGGTCTGAGAGACAGTTTGTTATACTTTCTGTTCTTTTAGATTTGCTGAGGAGTGCTTTACTTCCAACTATGTGGTCAATTTTGGAATAGTGCGATGTGGTGCTGAGAAGAATGTATATTCTGTTGATTTGGGGTGCAGAGTTCTGTAGATGTCTATTAGGTCCACTTGGTGCAGAGCTGAGTTCAATTCTTGGATATCCTTGTTAACTTTCTGTCTCGTTGATCTGTCTAATGTTGACAGTGGGGTGTTAAAGTCTCCCATTATTAATGTGTGGGAGTCTAAGTATATTTGTAGGTCACTCAGGACTTGCTTTATGAATCTTGGTGCTCCTGTATTGGGTGCATATATATTTAGGATAGTTAGCTCTTCTTGTTGAATTGATCCCTTTACCATTATGTAATGGCCTTCTTTGTCTCTTTTGATCTTTGTTGGTTTAAATTCTGTTTTATCAGAGACTAGGATTGCAACCCCTGCCCTTTTCTGTTTTCCATTTGCTTGGTAGATCTTCCTCCATCCCTTTATTTTGAGCCTATGTGTGTCTCTGCACCTGAGATGGGTCTCCTAAATACAGCACACTGATGGGTCTTGACTCTTTATCCAATTTGCCAGTCTGTGTCTTTTAATTGGAGGATTTAGCCCATTTATATTTAAGGTTAATATTGTTATGTGTGAATTTGATCCTGTCATTATGATGTTAGCTGGTTATTTTGCTCGTTAGTTGATGCAGTTTCTTCCTAGCCTCTATGGTCTTTACAATTTGGCATGTTTTTGCAGTGGCTTGTACTGGTTTTTTCTTTCCATGTTTAGTGCTTCCTTCAGGAGCTCTTTTAGGGCAGGCCTGGTGGTGACAAAATCTCTCAGCTTGTGTGTAAAGTATTTTATTTCTCCTTTACTTATGAAGCTTAGTTTGGCTGGATAAGAAATTCTGGGTTGAAAGTTCTTTTCTTTAAGAATGTTGAATATTGGCCCCCACTCTTTTCTGGCTTGTAGAGTTTCTGCCAAGAGATCTGCTGTTAGTCTGATGGGCTTCCCTTTGTGGGTAACCTGTCCTTTTCTCTGGCTACCCTTAACATTTTTTCCTTCATTCCAACTTTGGTGAATCTGACAATTATGTGTCTTGGAGTTGCTCTTCTCGAGGAGTATCTTTGTGGCGTTCTCTGTATTTCCTGAAGTTGAATATTGGCCTGCCTTGCTAGATTGGGGAATTTGTCTTGGATAATATCCTGAAGAGTGTTTTCCAACTTGGTTCCATTCTCCCCATCACTTTCAGGTACACCAATCAGACGTCGATTTGGTCTTTTCACACTGTCCCATATTTCTTGGAGACTTTTTCATTTCTTTTTACTCTTTTTTCTCTAAACTTCTCTTCTCACTTCACTTCATTCATTTCATCTTCCATGACTGATACCCTTTCTTTCAGTTGATCGAATTGGCTATGGAAGCTTGTGGATTCATCACGTAGTTCTCGTGCCATGGTTTTCAGCTCCGTCAGGTAATTTAAGGACTTCTCTACACTGGTTATTCTAGTTAGCCATTTGTCTAATATTTTTTCAAGGTTTTTAGCTTCTTTGTGATGGGTTCAAACTTCCTCCTTTAGCTCGGAGAAGTTTGATTGTCTGAAGCCTTCGTCTCTCCACTCGTCAAAGTCTTTCTCTGTCCAGCTTTGTTCTGTTGCTGGCAAGGAGCTGCGTTCCTTTGGCAGGGGAGAGGCGCTCTGATTTTTAGAATTTTCGGCTTTTCTGCTCTGTTTTTTCCCCATCTTTGTGGTTTTATCTACCTTTAGTCTTTGATGCTGGTGACGTACAGATGGCGTTTTGGTGTGGATGTCCTTTCTGTTTGTTAGTTTTCCTTCTAACAGTCAGGACCCTCAGCTGCAGGTCTGTTGGAGTTTGTTGGAGGTCCACTCCAGACCCTGTTTGCCCGGGTATCAGCAGCAGAGGCTGCAGACCAGCAAATATTGCAGAACAACAAATGTTGCTGCCTGATCTTTCCTCTGGAAGCTTCATCTCAGAGGGTTACCCAGCTGTGGGAGGTGTCAGTGTGCCCCTACTGGGTGGTGCCTCCCTGTTAGGCTACTCCAGGGTCAGGAACTCACTTGAGGAAGCAGTCTGACCATTCTCAGATCTCAAACTCCATGCTGGGAGAACCACTACTCTCTTCAAAGCTGTCAGACAGGGATGTTTAAGTCTGCAGAGGTTTCTGCTGCCTTTTGTTTGGCTATGCCCTGTCCCCAGAGGTGGAGTCTACAGAGGCAGGCAGGCCTCCTTGAGCTATGGTGAGCTCCACCCAGTTCGAGCTTCCTGGCTTCTTTGTTTACCTACTCAAGCCTCAGCAATGGCGGGCGCCCCTCCCCCAGCCTCGCTGCTGCCTTGCAGTTTGATCTCAGACTGCTGTGCTAGCAATGAGTGAGGCTCCGTGAGCATGGGACCCTTGTAGCCAGGCACGGGATATAATCTCTTGGTGTGCAGTTTGCTAAGTCCGTTGGAAAAGCACAGTATTAGGGTGGGAGTGACCCAATTTTCCAGGTGCCATCTGTCACAGCTTCCCTTGGCTGGGAAAGGGAATTCCCTGACCCCTTGTGCTTCCCAGGTGAGGCGATGACTCGCCCTGCTTTGGCTCATGCTCGGTGGGCTGCACCCACTATCCTGCACCCACTGTCTGACAAGCCCCATTGAGATTAACCTGGTACCTCAGTTGGAAATGCAGAAATCACCCATCATCTGCGTCACTCACACTGGGAGTTGTAGACTACAGCTGTTCCTATTTGGCCATCTTGGAGACGCCCCATGCTGTACTTTTCATATGTGATTGTTGTAAGATTAAATTAAATTATACAATTAAATTATAAATTATGAAAGTGAATTATGAGATTAAATTAAATTATAAAAGTTTACAAAACACTTTATATTATATGTGATATACAAATATTGTTATTATGGAATGAACTGCTTTATTATGTGTTTATGTGAACACAATTCATGGTTCACTTTTTCCATAAAGCAAAAATTCTGAGGAAACAATGCTTATACAAATGTAATTAAATCAATGTGTTAGAGTCTTCAATCTGCTGGGTGGGATGCTTCTTTTATAAACCTGGATGTTTCAACCTTATATGGGATATGATTGGTTACTGCTTTTGAAAATCAAAGTTTCATATTATTTTCTCATCACTTAAACTTGTATTTAAGGGGCTTATTACAATATCTGTTGTGCCAATTGTAGCCATTAAGAGAAAAACAACAACAAATCTATAGGACTAGAAACATTTGTAATTTTGTTAAGTTGTGGAAGAAGCCTTAGTTTTGTCTTAAGTTGTAGTATTTCAGTGAGTTCAGGCTGCGGTAACAAATTACCATAGACCGGGTGACTTAAACACAAATATTTATTTATTTATTGACACCGAGTCTCACTCTGTCGCCCAGGCTGGAGTGCAGTGGCATGATCTCGGCTCACTTCAAGCTCTGCCTTCCGGGTTCCCACCATTCTCCTGCCTCAGCCTCCCAAGTAGCTGGGACTACAGGTGCCTGCCACCATGCCCAGCTAATTTTTTTGGATTTTTAGTAGTGATGGGGTTTCTCCATGTTAGCCAGGATGGTCTTGATCTCCTGACCTCGTGATCAGCCCCCCTCGGCCTCCCAAAGTCCTGGGATTACAGGCAAACAAACATTTATTTATCATAATTCTGGAGGTTGAGAAGTCCAGGATCAGAGTGCCATCATGACTGGGCTCTGGTGAGGGCCTACATTCAGGTTGCAGATGGCTGACTTTGACTTGTATCTTCACATGGCAGAAAGAGAGCAAGCTAGTTCTCGGTCCTCTTCTTCTAAGTGCACTAATTGCTTTCATGAGGGGTCCACCCTCACCACCTAATCCCTTCCCAAAGACCCCACCTCAATGTAATAATTATTGTAATGAATAATAATTGTTGTAATTAATATTTACATTGTAATAATTATTACAGTGAGGTGCGGTCTTTGGGAAATGATTAGGTCATGAGAGTGGAGCCCTCATGAATGGAATGAGTGCATTTAAGGATTATCACATAAGAATTTTGGAGGAACATAAACATTGAGTTCATAAGTGGCTATCAGAAAAGGAGTTCTTGCTAATGTTACCATTTGCTGAGTTAATGATAAGTGTCAGGGCCCAATCTTAGTGTTTCAGATACTCACCTCATTTAGGCCCACAAAATTTCTGTGTCAATTAGTGTATTAGTCTGTTCTCACACTGCTGTAAGAAATGCCTGAGACTGGGTAATTTATAAAGGAAAGAGGTTTAATTGACTCAAAGTTTCACATGGTTGCGGAGGCCTCGGGAAACTTACAATCATGGAAGAATGCAAAGGAGAAGCAAGTACCTTCTTTACAAGGCAGCAGGAGAGAGAGTGAGTGTGTGCATGAGGAACTGTCAAACACTTATCAAACCATCAGATCTCATGAGAACACACTCACTATCACAAGAAAAGCATGGGGGAAACCGGCCGTATGATCCAATCAACTCCCACCAGGTCCCACCCTCCACACGTGGGGATTATGAGGATTACAATTTGAGATGAAATTTGGGTGGGGACACAGAGCCAAACTGCATCAATTAGGTGCTATTACTACATCAATTTTCTTTTTCTGAAAACAAACCAAAAACTGAGGCACAGAGAGGCTGTTATTTTCCCCTTAAATCTAAACAGTGTGACTCACATCCTTTGCTTTTAACCACTGAACTCTACTGTTTTCAAGAAGTCACTGTTGTAAGGGTTTACAGGCATGTTAATTTTGCAGGATATGGTGAAAGGAGCTTGGAAGGGGGTAGGAATGAAAGCCTAGGCTTTCTTTCAGAAATACTTATCTTGACTGAATGCATGAAGTCACGTATGTATGGCTGTGTGGAGAATAGGGCTGCATATAATAGCTGAAGAAATTGTTCTCATAAGACACTCTGTGGATTATTGGTGCTCCATTGCCCTGCTCCAAGTGATAGAGTGTGACATTCTTGGATTTTTGAGAGCATCAGAAGGCATCGTCATAAGCTAGGACATGGGCATTCTCAGCAGTAGTAGTGACAGTGGTCTCTTGGAGGCATAGACAGGGGATATATGTCAGGGCTCCAGGCAGGAGAGGAAGAACGTGATGGATGCCTTGAGGCAGTTTTCCCTTGATCATGTGTAAAGGGAGTATTCTTTTTGGAGTTCCCAGAGGAGACCTGTGAGGACACTTTGCATTAAAAAGGGAGACACATAGTAGACAAGTGATTCCTGAGGATGTTACCTCATCTAGTACCTGAAGGCTGGAGTGCCTGTATAACAACAGCAAAAAAAATAAAGATAGCTAACTTTCCATATGCTCTTCTAAATGCTTTCCTTATGTACAATTGTCTTAATTTCAAAGCAGTTCAGTGAGCTAGAGAGCTACATAGTATTAATACCTGTTTTACTGATAAGAATCTCAGAAATAAATAACTCACTCAGGTTCACACAAGTTAGTCAGTGCAAGGAGAGACTGAAATCAGGTCTTTCTGATTCCAGCGCCCATACCATATATTACACTTTGTTTTTTTCAAACAAACAAACAAACAACAAACAAACACACACACACACACTGGCTGTGGAGGGTGTTCTATATATACCTTTTGCTTTGAACTACCATGAGTGTTGGAAGTAGATGAATGTCATCCAAGCAAGAATGCCAAGAGCATGAACACAGGGTTGGATTAATTAATAAAAAAGACACAGCTGGGGCTTCTTGTTTGCTATTGCTCATAGTTTCTTGGACTAATCCTGTGACCTGTAGAAACTGTTAGTTGTTTAGGAACCATAAGTGAAATTAATTACCATTAAATGCAGATTAAGTCAGAAAACAGCTTTGAGTAAAGGGATTTTAATTGTTTGCTTTGCACTAGAAAGACCAGCATTGATCAGCAATTCTAAATTATCATCACAAATATCATAGAAGTGGGTCCCTAATCCTGTTACAGGACACCTTAATTCAAGATTAAATTTTGGTTAGAATGCAGTAACAGTTTCTGCCTCATTATATAAAGTAGATAAATATTGAAATATTGAGAGCCAAATATCTACAAGAAGAGAGAATAATAATAGGGCAAAAGGGATTCAGTGATTAGAATACTAAGTTATAACATAACATGGCACACCACACCACATCATTTATTCCTAGGATATATGGGGCCTGACTCACTTATCAGCCTCAGAAATTGTCTTCTTTCGATGTCAAAGTCTTATTGACTCCCAGTTACAGGCCTGGCCCAACAACCAGGCACTCACCATAAGGTCACCTATGTGGCCTGTTTATCTTTGACTTTAAGATCAAGTTATCATTTAAACTTTTTTCTCATTCTTGTCACTTGGTCATGCTCTGTCTTTCAGCTCCGGTCCCTTAATGCTGATATTTTCCTCTGTGGCAGAATCTTGGCTTGACAATCTGATAAGGATTGCAGTCCCTTTTCTTGAATAACTTGAATCTGTTTCAAAACTCCAACCCAGTTACTGGGAATTCACTCAGGGTTCTTTGTTGCTGACTATCTTTCCATACAGACACATGACCATCTTTAGCTCCTGGACCTTGGCAGCCACCAGCATGAAGGGGTTACTTGTCATTACAGTGGTTCTCAAACTTTAACTTTTACCAAAATCACTTGATAAACTTTTACAATTCAGTACTCTGGACTCCACCTCAAGAGATTCTAATTCAGCCAGGCTGGGTTGGAGCCTACAAATCTGCACATTTAGCAGCTCTGCAAGGTGGGACTCTGCAGGTGGGTGGAGGACCACAGCTGTGTGGAGAAACACTGCTCCACTGGCTGTTGCCATGGGAAGACTCTGCTAATATCAAACTTCCTGTTCTAGCAGATGGGTCACTCTTCTTCAAGGTCTAATCGCTTTGTAGTACTCTAGTTGTCTCCCAGGTCTCATTTTATATGTCTTCCCCTTCAGAATGCCTTCTGTGGCCTTCCAGGATGGTTAGATGCCTCCTCTGTGTGTGAATGTAGCTTCCTGTCCTCATCTCTGCCTAGCACATATTTCACTGTATTTCTCTATTCACTTTTTAATATACCTACCAGGCTATGACCTCTAAGGGGAGGGTTACATATTGTTCACCTCTGAATTCTCACTGCAGCATAGTACCAGGCACAGAGGAGGAGGTCAATAAGTATTTATCAAATAGCAAGGTCTAAATGGTTTCAGGTAGTGGCTGGGTCCCAGTCAACCTTGTTCGACTGAGTTCACTGGACTACTTCAGAGTCCCAGTTTAGACTGCTTTAAGGATGCTGGTCTAGACAAGTGTCTGGGATGTGAAAATGCTGAGTTAGTTAAGGACACAGTCCAGCCCAACCTGTCTGTTGATTGCTGGACTATGACAGGACTTCCCGCACGGGTTCTCAAGTAAGGATATGCCTCATGTAACAATAAGAAACCCAGCCCATGTGATTTCTTACAATTCAGAATATTCTAATTGTCAATGTGAGATAATACATTCTGGACATAAGGCATTTCACATTTGAGAAAATGAGAAGCCCTCATTTTGATTCTGAGGTGGACTCAGTGTTTTGAGATGATTGCTGATAAACTTCAGAAAGCAGCAGTTTCCTCATTTATAAAGAGCTCTTCTAATTGTAGTATGACTCTGATTCCATGTCCCTGAAAACCTTAAATTGTAGAATCATTGCATACTAATCCTGGAATGGACTTTTGAGATTATCATTTTATAGATGAGTAAAGTTGCATCAGATATTTATTCAGTGTCTTTAGTGTGCGAGAAAACAAAATAAAACAAAACCAAAAATCACTCCAAGACTGGAGACTGTCACACACTTAGGCTCTCATAGCTGCTTAGTTTTATGTTTCAGCTGCATCCCAGATCTCATGATCTCCATGAGAATCCGGCTCTGTCTGGAAATTTCCACGCTTCAGTGGAATCATGGAGACCACAGTCCATACCTATCTGACTCAGTCCTGTACCGCAGCCGTATTATTTCACCCTCCACTGGATCGTCATGATTTCTTTTTATAATGCATTATTTTTTCCTCAAGGTCTTGTCTTATTTTAATAGTTGGCCTGTTGAGTGTGTATACTTCATGGCTAATTATCTTATTACTTATTTAAGACACATATCTGGAATTGGCAATAAGGGAACATTTAAGTGGCGCTTAAGAAGGAAATGGAGGGTAGTTGAGAATGGCCATACTTAGGCAGTTAGATGTTTTTTGGCTTGTGTTTTATGAGCATAGATTTTATGTTTTTGTATATCCCCTAAAATATAATTAAACTATTGCCAACTGCTGATGATTTTCTCTAATGGAAGAGAGCCGAGGTTTGGGTAATGTAAAATGGAGGATAGTCCAAAAATTATTAATATTTGATATTTGAGTGGTTTTTGCTCATTTTTTTTTCCAGCAAAACTTTGCTAAGCATCTGTTATGTGTCAAACACTGTGCTAGGCACTGGAGACATTTGTATTTATCTGAATATAAATATGGAAGCTGATATAAAATGTCATCTTAAACAAAATATTAGGGGTATAATTTGGAGTAGAGAAGCTATTGAGTTTTGTCATTCTATATTTTACTCTACACAGAAGTTTACTCTTGCTGAGGACTGGATTTTTTTTTTTTTTAGGTTAAGATAAGATTTATTTTCTTTCAAATTGTTCCTGGAAGAATCCTTCTTGATTAGCTGTTGTCCTTTTTATGCAAGTTGCATAGAGGGACTTGAGATGTCATTGGGGCTGTCATTAAGTATTAAATAGATTAAATGCTAGTTGTTGATGTTATTTCTGAGATAGAACCCAAGCAAATATTTAGATACAAGTGTTCTGAATATATTAGGTAGAAAATTCTGCTTTTGACAAACCATATTGTCTGGTCAGGTGATTAAAATTGAACTGTACCATTATGGGGAAGTGTGAAAAAGATTTAATGATGCTGCATTAGTTAGTGCACTCTTAGACTAAGAATGCAGTCACACACAAACCAATAAATGGTATTAGGTAACTTTCTTTTGCCTCTCAAAGCTGATATTTCTAAATGGTTACAGTAAGAATATCATATGTCTTACGCTTTTAATCATTCCAGAACTGATGACAATTAGTCAGTTTTCTTGAAGATGAAGCACAGAGGATCAAATATTCAAAGACTAAATAAAATAACTAAAATGCAAAAGTATTATCTAAAATCTAAAAGTAAAGGAAAATGTAAAGGACCTATATATTAATTAAAGTTAGAACACATAAGTAGAAACCTAGAAAGCATTTTTCTTAAAGGGATACACATGCATACACAACAAACACACACACTTTTTAGATGATAAAGAAGAGTGAGAGGTGGTAAAGCTTCATTCCAATTGTGATGGTTAACATTGAGTGTCAACTTGATTGGATTAAAGGATGCAAACTATTGCTTCTGGTGTTTCTGTGAGGGTGTTGTCAAAGGAGATTAACATTTGAGTCAGTGACTGGGAAAGGCAGACCCACCCTCAATCTGAGTGGGCACCATCTAATCAGCTACCAGTGTGGCCAGAATAAAAGCAGCCAGAAGAATGTGAAAACACTAGACTGGCTTAGCCTCCCAGCCTACGTCTTTCTCTCATGCTGGATGCTTCCTGCCCTCAAACATTGGACTCTTGGGATTTGGACTGGCTTCCTTGCTCCTCAGCTTGCAGACAGCCTACTGTGGGACCTCAGTTTGTGAACATGTGAGTTAATACTCCCTAATAAACTCCCCTTTATATATAAATCTATCCTATTAGTTCTGTCCCTCTAGAGAACCCTGACTAATACAGATTTTGGTACCAGGAGTGGTTCTAGAGGAACAGAATATTAAGGATGGAGTTCTTTCATTGGTAAAGTTTCATTCCAATCTACCCAGTTTACCTTCTTCACTGGACAGACCCAGCGATTAGGTAAAGCCTACAGTTGTCTAATGTCATTTAAAGGACATCCACAAGATCCTCCTGCTTATTGTATTTTTCCAGCCATTATTTTTGTACTAAGACATCATCTTCATATGTCATGTATTATTAGTTAATATATCAAATATATCTGCATATTATATGATATATGAAATATATCATCTGTTTCATCATCTCCATCAAAATATATTTTTTATATTTCAAAATATAAATATAAATATAAATATAAAAAGTATATAAATATAAATATAAAAATAAATATAAAAGTGACATGCAGAGCATACTAAACGTGTAACAGAAAGTCTTTTATTAATTCTGTAGCTCAGCATATAGACTAAGACATGGGATTTTGGAAAGATGAGCAAGTTTGAATGTGAGCTGATGGGGCAGTGGATAATGGATGCAGCCCTAGAAGAGACAAATGAGGGCATTGAGGATATGGGACTGTTCAGGAAGACTTGGCCAGATGGAGCTCCATGAGTGGCTTCTCCACTCTGGATAGTAATCTGTCTGTAGGGAGCCAGGCCTTGGTCCAGGGATCTGGTAGTGCTGTCACTGTGTGCTCTCTCACTCTTATTAAGTGGGACATTTAAAATTGCAAAGAAAATAGTTCTACCTGCCTTATGTAGCTGCTTTGAAGATTAATGAGGTAATGCTTAAAAGTGCTGGGGATGAAAGGTTCAATATAAATGTTTGTGCACTCTGCCAAGAAGAGTTCTCTTTTCAGCTGGTGTTTTAAAAATAAATGTAAACACCTAGTGTTCTTGGTGCCTTTATCCTATTATCAGGGAGCTACCACATTGGCAATTGGACAAAGCACTGGTATTTGATCCTCTTTGATGTTTGTTTTTACTGTTTCCCTGGGACATTCTCCACAAGGATGAGCCATGTAATTTTGGGTCTGTCATTTTACATAGAAGTCAAGTCAGAGAACAAGTGTCCAATCCAGGAGCCACAGGCAAGGCTAGGTGACACACTGATGCTCAAGACCCCAACCCTTAGGATCCCAGCAAAGCAAACATAGACACTTCAGCACGAATATTTGTAGATTTAGAAAGAACCTAATTTAATTTTCACAAATGTGAATCTGGGGTAATTTTCAAGAATATAAACAATCACTCATGGTGTGCTGGTCTTCTTTTGAATGATGTGTTGGGGCTGGGAGTGAGGGGCCTATAGAGCTCTGAGGGCCTCTGAGGGTCATAACTCTTCGCTGGCCAGGAGAAATAGTAGCTGAGAGCCACTGAGTGGCTCTTCTTGTAGCTGTAGGAGGAGGAAGTCAGTAACGTAAGTCGGGACGATTTCCTGAGTGTAATCTGTAATTTTTTCTTGCCTTCCTCCATGTCAGAGTTCTATGCTTGATCTGTAATTGGGTGCCCAAAAAGCAAATCCAGAACTGAATCGCCAACTTTCATTTTATTCTGCAACAGGACCTGATGGGACAGCAATGGTGTCACTGGGGGATTGCAAGAGGATCAGCAACTTTCTAGGGAGACTATAACAGATGGGAAAGACCTAGACCATCTTCTTATTTCACTGGGCTATATTAAGCAGAGACGAGGGGAGTGAAAAAAGAATACAACCATAAAAAAGGATGAGTTCATGTCTTTCGCAGGGACATGGATGAAGCTGGAAACCATCATTCTCAGCAAACTAGCACAAGAACAGAAAACCAAACACCGCATGTTCTCAATCATAAGTGGGAGCTGAACAATAAGAACACATGGACACAGGGAGGGGAACATCACACATCGGGGTCTGTCAGGGGGTGGGGGGCTAGGGGAGGGATAGCATTAGGAGAAATAGCTAATGTGGATGATGGTTTGATGGGAGCAGCAAACCGCCATGGCATGCGTATACCTATGTAACAAAACTGCATGTTTGCACATGTATCCCAGAACTTAAAGTATTAAAAAAAAAAAAAACAAAGAATGGGGAAGGGGATCATCATTTCTACAAAGCTGGGAAAAAGTAGTGAAATATCGTAAGAGGAAAGAAGCAGGACTTCTAGACAAAATAGTTAAAAGCAAATCTATTTCTTCTTCTGTCCTCAAGGTGTGACCTGTTTTCTCTACCCCTTGTATTTCTCCTCCCAAATACAGTTGATGGTGGTGGCAGCCCATCTGGAATGGCCACTGCAAAGATGCCAGTTACAGCAGGGGAGGCGTGGCTAGGTCTGTGCACTCCATGGAGCCAGTGGGGGCTGGGAACAGGTGGGAGCCCCGCCCCCTACCTAGTTGGCAGGGTGGGAGCCCCGAGGACCGGGGTGCAACTGCAACCACCTAGCTGTGACTCCAGAGCTGGGCATCTCTGTGCTCTTGGGGGCCCAGGAAGCCCCTTGCCCCTGCTGCAGGCTTGAAAGTGCCTGCTCCCACTGCCTGGCCTCTCCCCACTCCCAGCACCCGCTCTGGGGTGTTGCAAAGTTGTGGCTGAGCCTGGGAGCTGTCTTGACCTGACTAGGTGTGCACGTGCTCGGGGTGGGGCTAACATGCCAGCCCCCTGCTGCCTTGGCCCCCTCCAGACTTTGGGAGTTGACGAGCACAGGAGGGAGGCTGAGTGGGGGCTGAGGGCAGGTCGGCACAGACTTGCAAGTGCCCCTCGGCATGAACAGCCTGGCACCTTGGACATGTTGGTGGTGGCAGGAGGCAGATGGGCTCCTGGGTGGAAAGGGGCAGGTCCCCAGTGAAACCCCAACTTCAAGCCAAGGAGGGCCTGAGGCCTGGAGTCCAGGCTGTCAGTTCCAGGTGGAGTCCACAGCCTGGAATGAGAACTTATGGTGCTTTCTCCAGGCCAGCCCATGGCTGCCCATAGACCAATTAGTACACACTGCCTCCCTTCTGAGCCCATAAAAATCCTGGTCCCAGATAGACTCACACAGAAGTTGGGACTACCAGCTGCAGAAAGGAGCTACCCACTGTAGGTCTCCTCTCCACTGAGAGCTGGACATTGGTCCGGATGACCACTGCATGTCTCCTGTCTGCTGGGAGCAGGACACTCATCTGGACAACCTGTTTGCACAAAGGAGCTTCTTTGTGGGTCTTCTGAGAGCTGTTCTGTTGCTCAGTGAAGGTCCTCTTCACCTTGCTTACCCTCCAGTTGTCCATGTACCTCATTCTTCCTGGATGCAGGATGAGGATGAGAACTCAGGATCTGCCAAATAGCGGGATTGAAAGAGCTGTAACACCAACAGATCTGAAACACCCCCCTCTGCCCCGTGCTCACCACATTGTGGGTGACCAAAAGGAGAAAATAGCTGTGGCCCTTTGGGGAGCCTAGACCTAGGGGCTCACCAGAGCCAGGGCTGTGACACCCTCTTTGGGGCTCTGTGGTTCCTGGCATCTCCAAGCTTCCAGCAGCTGCAGCCTTGCATGGAGCTGGCACCTGTGCCAGTGTCTGAAGCTGCCTGCCCCGCCACAGCAGTTGGCATGTCTGGCTGTGTGCAGTGGCTGACCCTGTGCTCACTCGTCCACACACCCCTCTCCACTCTGTGCCTGGTTTACCCTTCGCAGGTGTGGGATCTTGGCCAGTAGTGCAAGCTGAGCGCAGCCTGCTGGGCTGAGTGGGCATAACAAGCCCAGCAGACACAAGCAACTCTCAGCAGAAGGTGCTGCCGGCTGGCGAAGCAACACCACAAGGATCCTGTGACACAGTCATGAACTGCTTAATGACATTTTGGTCAATGATGGACTGCAAATACAACAGTGTCCCATAAGATTACAATGGAGATGAAAAATTCCCATCACCTAGTAACACTGAAGCCGTGGTAATGTTGTAGTGCAACACTTGATCTTTTCTGTGCTTAGATATGTTTAGATACACAAATATTTACTATTGTGTTACAATTGGCTACAGCATTAAGTGTAGTAACATGGTTTGTAGCCTAGGAGCAATAGGCTATACCATATCACCTAGGTGTGTAGTAGGCTATGCCATCTAGATTCGTGTATGATGTTTACACAATAAAATAGCCTAATGATACATTTCTCAGAATGTATCAGGTTGTTAAGCAATGCATGACTGTATTGGACTTTGCATTTAAAAATAGAATACTAGAAATAATACACCGGAAATATTTCCAGAAGGAAGCTTCTAAACCTCTTTGTCTTTGCAGGTTCCTAGAAAACAAATATATTTAACTACATTAGTAAAGATACACTGTAATTCTAAGCCCTTGGGTTCAGAATGGGATAAAGAATTCTTCAGAACATGAAAAAAGATACAGGGGGAGGTTAAACATGGTAAGGGTTTTCTAATGCTGGGGTTCTTTGGAGAAGGAAAAGTGGATCTATAACTTTTCTAGGAAGCAAAACCAAAAGGCCAGAACCACCTTTCCTTTTATTCTTGCCGGTCTGCAGAAACCTGTGCTTGCCCACAGAAAGAAACTCAGAAACACTTGGGCCTATAAACACTGGCATCCCAACTGTACTAAATCTCTGCCCAGCTATTTTGGGTAGGCTAGAGGAAAAATAGCAGACTGCAAAGGAGGAAGCTTGGGGACCCGCCAAGGCCATGACGTACAGTTTTCCAAGCAAAGGTTATGGCTGAATCAGAAAAAGCATGTCTGAGTCAGGCTCAGATACAAGGCTTCCTCTTCTCAAGTTCCTCTGCTTATCTCATGGGCAGAGAAGGCTGGAGTTCACAGTGACTCTCCACCTCTCAAAGGTGATCCGACAGGTCACCACACAACATTGTGTTGAACTTTCATGAACCTAGAAGGAGGTGCTGGTTGGAGGTATTCTCTGTATCGTTTTTGTTTTATTTTGCCATTTGCCCAACAAACCACCCATTTACCTTTTTTAATGAAGCCAAAGATTCCCAGTGGAGAAATAATTAGAACCACTGTCATTTTTCTAAAGTCATTTGATGTTTCAACAGCTCCAATGAGTGGCTGCACAGCAGTATTATTCACACTACTCTTAGCTTGGAAAAATAAAGAAACTTTGAAAAAGAGTATTTTTCTTATGTTAGGTTCTTCTTAGTTTCTGGATCCAATAGCTGGGCAAGTGATTTATTTTTCTTTTATCAGATGTGGATGGAATTGGTAGCAGGGTCATCTACTGGATAGTGAATAAAATAACTCAGGAAAAAAGTCACTGCATTCCAAACTTACATGTAAATAAATCAAGTGAATTCTGTCTTTTTTCTTCTTGTTTCTTGTGGGAAGGATCCAGGTAACCTCTGTCAAAATCTCAGTTTTTCAGAAAAATGGCTTTCTATCTTAAATGGCCAGGTAACTCTTGGACAAATGATTTAAATAATGGATCAGTTTTAAGTATAAGTATCTTAGGACTATGCTGCTTCTTTGTCCAGGCTCAGTAAGTTCAAACATGCTCAGTAATGATGTGAATGCTCAACTTGAAATCACACAACTAATGTTTTAAAATGTGAACTTTTTTCATAAAGAAGGACTATATTTTAAAAACAATTGTATTAGTCAGCTCATGCTGCCAAGACAAATACCATAGACTCAGTGGCTTAAACAACGGACATTTATTTCTCACAGTTCTGGAGGCAAGGTGTCAGCTGATTTGGTTCCTGGTGAGGGCTCTCTATCTGGCTTCCAGACGGCTGCTTTCTCTATCTCTTCATATGACAGACAGAGAGAGAGAGAGAGAGAGAGGGAGAGAGAGAGAATGAGAGAGAGAGAAAGAGAAAGAGAGAGAGAGATCTGGTGTTTCTTTCTTACAATTATACAAGTTTTATCAGATCAGGGCTCTACCTTTATGACCTCATTTAACCTTAATAACCTCCTTAAAGGACCTATCTCCAGTATAATCTAATGGGAGGTTAGGGTTTCAACATATGAATTTTTGCAGGGCACAATTCAGTCCCTAACACCAATTGTGGGTAGTATGAAACCGTTTGCCTTACCAGTAAGTCTTGACTTAAGAAACAGATCAGTGAAGGGCCACACAGAAGTAAACAGCAACTTTGTTTTGACATTTTCTTTTGTGGGAGAAGAAACATAGATGTATAAAAAGGTACCTCCTTCTCCCATATCCATTTTAAATTAAGAACAAGGGATATATAATGGAGTCACCATTTTAAGAACTTACTTCAACTGCATATTTAGTTTGATTTAGAAAAAGGGAGTAAGGAACTAGGCACAGTGGCTCATGCCTGTAATCCCAGCACTTTGGGAGGCTAATGCAGGTGGACTGCTTCAGCTCAGGAGTTTGAGACCAGCCTGGGTAACATGGTGAAACTCTGTCTCCACAAAAAACAAAAAACGAAAAACCTCCAAAATTAGCCAGACACAGTGGAGTGTGCCTGTAGTCCCAGCTGCTCAGGAGGCTGAGGCAGGAGGATCACTTGAGCCTGGGAGATTGAGGCTGCAGTGAGCCATAATCATGCCACTGCACTTCAGCCTGGACAACAGAGTATGACCTAATCCAAAAAAAAAAAAAAAAAAAAAAGAAGAAGAAAAGAAAAGAAAGAAAAAAGAAATGGGGAGTGAGGGAGAGTGAGAGAGTGAGAGAAGAGAAATGTTGAAAAAGAAAGAGAAATAAATGGAGACAAAGATAGTCTTAAAGAAGGAAAGCCACACGCTAGAGAGGAGAGGCCCGTGCAGAAGAGTAGATGATTGAGGGACATGGAAAGATTGACCCATGAGTGGTGAGGTCGGAGGAGCAGCCACCTGTGGTTGTCTAGCAAATGGGTTAGTAGAGGCTCTGGCAACAAGTATATGGATTTGAAACCTGCCTGATCTCACCAGTTATTCACTGTATGGCCTTCAGCAAATTAAGGCCTGAACTCAATTTGGTAATTATAATACTTATCTCATGATCTTATGATAAGGATTACATGAGATAATTCTTAATGCCTGACACATAGTAAGAGCTCAATAAATGTTGGCTACTATTATTACCACTTGTCCCCCTTTGACAAGTGCTATGTAGCTGTTGTTGATAGCTCCTCACGTGGAGATCACACCCAGGTTATTTTGTCAGGATCTGGAATTTGTTTCCCATGCTGATTATGGACTCTGAGTTTTTTTTCATAGGATGTTACTCTAGGCATCTTAATTTGATGTAGACTCTCCCCTACACCAGATTGTAGCTATTATAGATGGTATTCCTGACGGTAAGATTTTGACTTATTGAGGCTTATTATAGTTGAGGCCTAATGAAGATCTCTTAGTGGATATGTATCATTTGATATATCCATTCATGCATTTAAGAGAAATGAGAATTGGCCGTTGGACTTAAAGTACTTCAAGTCTATTTGTGTTAAACATGATTTGGGTAAATCCCATATTTTTGAATCTAATTTCCCCTTTATTAAAAAGATATTTAAAATGTTTGTAAAATATGATTCACTGAGTGAGTGGAAGTTCTGAAAGTTCTTGTTTATCTTCCATTTTTGCTTTTTTAAAATTCCAGGTTCCTGTGTTCTAGAGACAGGCAGTTTCATTGGGGATTTCAACTTGTCACCAGAAGCAGGAAGTATCAGAAAGCTTGTGATGTGACCTGCTTTTGTGAAATTTGCAGTTTGGCTTGACAGATGAGGATGCTAGAAAAAGGGTCAGCTAAGACAGACTTGAGAGATGCTTGTTACTTTGCCTGGCATCCCCAAGACTGCAGTCCTGATCATGTGGCCCTGCATGTGTGTCAGAATTTGTGAGAAGTGTATAGGCAAATGGAGGCATGACAACAAAACCCTGGTTCTTTTATAACCCCTCGTTCCTTCTTACTTTCTGTTCTCATTCTTACTTTCTCATGTTTCCTCTTTTTCTTGGCCTTCTTTTCTGCTGCATTTCAAAGAACAAGGCCTGTTTGGATTGTAACACTAGTTCTGAGAAGAGACTCATAACAGGCAGTGGAGAGAAGGTATGCAGAGGAACAGAGCAATGAAAAGGAAGCTATTCCAGTGCACATAAAACCAAAACTATGCTCTCTGTTACATTCTGTCTCTATTGAGGGTTTTTATAGCAGATCCTTTGGAGTTTTATTTTACATGGTGATCTCTCTCTCTTTCTCTTTGACTTTTAAATTTATACCCTCTCTCTGCTATTGGCCCTACTAGAAATTGCATATTCATACACTATTACCATGTCTGCATGAATAAACAGATTCCAAACCTCTGTTGTCTGATATATTACACCAGGAATCTCATCATCTGAGGTAAGACTCAGATGATGGGGTGGTTGTGGCAGGATGGGGGACTTGGGGATACACTTAGCAAAAGTTATGGGAAGGCAGAGGGGAAAGGTTGGATTGCACAGCACCACTATTTCCCTTGAGAACTAGTCACCCCCATTATAACTATTTGCATTCTCCGCAAAGCCTCCATTTCTCCCTTTCTGCTTTTCTAATTTTCTCAGCTGCTCTGCTGCTGGGATTGGTCTGACTGCAGATCTCTGGGTTGCGGTTCTGGGCCTGTGTGCTTCTTGTGTAGTGTGCCTCTTTAGACTGACTTTGCAGCTCTTCACTCAGGGATGTGGCTGGCATACTTTCTTTTCTATTAGTATACTGTTCAATTAGTGTTGTGTGACAGGCCATGATAGTGTCTACAGCCTCGCTGGGGAGTGGCAGAAGAAACCTGCTTTTTGTCTGGTGACCCTACAGGGACTTCTCCATCAGGATTTGAATCTCTGATGCACAACTCACTGCATCTCATTCTCTGCTAATTTGCATCTTAAGCGAAGCATCTTACTTTCTAGTCATCCATATTTATGATCTATCACAGTACATGGGTGACTCTTTTCAGTGCAATTTTCCAATGCCATTAGTTTCTGTATTCCAAATTAGGGCCACCATGATAAATAGGCAAATAATTTAGCAGATTTCAAATAAGGATTAGATAAACAGCGGTAAATAAGAAAAAGATAATAATTGTACCTAGGCCAACTTAGAGAAAAATATGCACATTTGATGTCAACATCTGATTACCTTAAATATAGTAATAAAATGTGCCTTAATATTTGTATAATATTTTAAAATATACCAAACATTTTCACATGCATTTTTCATGTGTTCCCATCTAAAAATCTGTGAAGCTGGCAGAATGGGAATATAGGTGACAAGACTATTAAAAAAAGGCTTATCAAAAAGTTACAGAGTAGAGCTGAAACCCTAACCTTCTGTCTTAGACCTGTACTCTTGGCACTATAATATGTTGTTTGATAGAGTAATTTTAGATGCAATAAAGGTTTAGACAATTTAGTTCAATTCAACAAAAAACAACTGAAGCTCCATGGTAGGAATTGTGTTAGGTTCCAGGAACACAAAGATGAAAAAGAACTGAACCTTTATATTTGCGTGGTTTACTAATTTCTGCACCAATATACATACATGCTCAGTGATTAGCCTGGGCTTGTATGGTCTGGATACATGACTTAGCATCACCTCTCTTCAACAGCATTCTAGGACAGAGCTAGCTCCCATGTGAGAAATGAGGCTCTATTCTCTTTTAAACCAAAGAGATCTTGCATCCCAGGCCACACTTGCTATTCTCAGCTTAGTAGAAATAGCTCTTTCCATATGTCATGAAGGTGAATCCTAAGATTTGGAAGGTATTGTGGCCACCTTGATGTCCTGTGTCAGATGTGTCAGGATGGATGCACTTAACCTGTTCAACTTTGTCATGGCTTCACTAGGAAGTGTGTCTCCTAGTGAAGGAGAGTGAACGAGACAGAGTTTGGATGGGTTGCAAGTGGAAGAGGTTGAAGGGATCTATGGTTTGATTGGCCGTAAGAGATACTGTATTATCCTTGATCATCTCTTATTAGAAGGTTCTCCTCGACCTTGAGAAGTATATTTCTTGTTACCTTATTGTAGTGACCATCTGATTTCTCTCCTTTCTTGCTTGGATGATTTAGTCTGTACTTCTAACTCCTTTTTTTTGTTGTTGTTAACCCTAATTCTTTCTTGTTAGCAAAAAATATGGCTTTCCCCTCTCCTCCTTCCTTACCTTCTCAAGGGTACAAATGACCTAATTGCTCAAAAAATACCAATATTTTTTCTGTTCTCATCTTCTTTGATATTACCATAATAGAAGACAGAAATTACCAGAACTTCTTTCTTAAAACTATTCTTTTCTTGGCTGAGACTCACAAATTCTCTATCCTTCAAGTTTTTCTTTTCTCCACCTCACTATTCTTATTTCTCCTGTGGGCCCCTGGAGGTAGATGCCACATATTCACTAGAGTGTTTGTCCTCTAACTGGATAATTATATTTATGTTCACTGGTTCAATAACCAACTATGTGACAATCTTTCACAGATCAGGAAAGCCATTAAATCACTTTAGACAGAGGATTAGCAACTTGCTAAAAAATATCTGTATTAAAAATTTCCACAAATCCCCGTATTAAAAAACAAAGCAAAAAAAAAAAACAACCTGTTATTGTTATCTTTTCTGACCTAAACCTGTTCTTACTCTTGTATTTTCTGTTTTAATGTCATTACCATCCACCCCATGTTGCAAATGAGTCAACTTTGACTTCTTTCTCATATTCCAAATGCAATAATTTACTAAAACTAATTTAATTCATAGGTGTCTCTCAAAGCCCTCTTTATCATCCCTAGTTTTACTGTTCTACTAGGGGCCTTCATCACTGTGCCCTTAGATTATTGTAACAGCCTCTAACTACCCTGTAATTTACTTGTTACTTTTCATGCAGACATGACTTTGTTTCCAAGTAGTTAGCATGCTTGTGAAAACATCTTGTGTCTTCTTGTGTGTGTTTTTTTCTTTTTTCTTTTGAAGACTAAGTCTTGAACATCTGTGCTCAAGCAATCCTTCTGCCTCTACCTCTGGAGTCACTGGTACTACAGGTGCACACTGCCATGTCTGGCAAAAGTGTGGAAGTGTGCCATGTCTGTGCACACTTCCATATTTTCTGTGGTAACTAGGAAACTAGGACAGTTCCTTGTGCATAGTAGAGACTCAGTAAATATTTGTTTATTGATTAAAAAAATCTCAGTTGGCTTTCCTTTAATTTAAGAATGGCCTAGAGGCAAGCTGGATCTTTCCAGGAAGAATACATATTGAATTATTCTTTCTTCTGTCTTATGAAACCTTTTGCCATAAAAAGCTAGGCCTGCTCTCGTCTCATCAGTGTGGTGGGGAAATGCTCATTTACTGGGCATCTCCAGTGGATTTTAGTACTAACTTTTTGAATTGGGCTGTAGTATTAAGCAAATATCAATTTGCATTATAGATATGTTCTACTTCTATGTGAAATCTTCTTTGAGATGTAAATATTCATATTTATTGAGATTTACATATTCAAAGGAAATTGCATTATGAGTATGCAATGCATTATGGGTGTGTGATGCTTCCATGTGAGATGTAAATGTTCAAATATAATCTAGTTTTTACTGAAGAAAAATGTTTCTTGGCACTATGGAGAGATCAGGAGTATCTTTGTGATAACAGGTCGTTGCAGTGAGGTTAGGTACAGTGGAAACTTCTTTTATGTGAGAATCAGGTTCTTAAATGAACAAGAGGGGCAAAAATTGCATAGGGCCAAAATAACACTAAAATTCCCTTAAGAAGTTGTTACATGGGACATGGATATAACCTATTGTTTCGCTGAGCCCCAAATATTGATATTTTACTCCAAGTGTTTAAAATAATTGCTCTTTCCTTAGTTGAGAAGCAGATGACTGGCTAGCTTTTGCTTACAAGACACACTAGAGCAAAAATGCATACTGTTAAACATCAGAATTATACTCAGCATGATGGGATGCTCAGATTATGGGAGGCCTACATGAACTGTGATGATCAAGAGGACAGGAAGCCATATCTCCCCTTTCTGCACCCTAGTCTACTATATGTGCCCATTGAGTGCAAAAGTAAGGAAAATTGCCTGCCCTACTTAATTTTTATATAGTTGGAAATGCATATTGGTAATTTTGCATAAATGAAATGAGCTTAGTATACAAGCTATTGACCATGCAATCATTTATGCATACAATATACTTTGAGCATCCTGACAATGTTTCTGCCTGATTCATTTTCAGAACACTTCTAACACCTGAAACAACTTTTAGCAATGAATCTTGAAGATGAGACATAAAATTTAGGTTATTCCAGAAATTAAAGATCACATGGTCTTTATTTAATTTTTTAACAGAGAGGGATGTGTTACAGTGTCCTTTCAGGGCCTTGGTCACATTAACAAAGGCATAAAATGTTATATTCTCTGAATTACATTGGCCCTATCAAGTTCAAAAAGGTATAACTATTGAATTTACTTTCATTGTACAGCACGATATCTTCTGGAATAATGTAATTCACTGTTAAATCATAGGTATATTTTGCCTCAGATTTCTGAATATGTGTAAATAAGTTTCTGGGACTCCTACAGATTCAACAGTCTCTATTAAAAATTGCGAATATAAGATGCATTATAATCATCTAAGTAACGTTTTAACCTGGTCAAAATTTTATAAAGTAAATGGGTGTGAGGTTCAGCAGGATCAAAGGTAATTAATGTTTTCCAGCAGTAAGTGTAATAAATACTTGCTTGTTAAGTCAATTATATCCAGACAAAACTTGAATATGAAGTAAGGGTGTACTATAAGAAACTGTAAATAGCATTTATGTGATAGATCCACTAATTTGCCACTTGTTATTCCAGCAAGATTTGAAAAATTAGATAGCTGAAGTTGTTGTAAGGAACACAATTTACTGCAGAGATGCCTCAGGAGAAAACTTTAGACCTCAACTTTGCCTGTTGATTTTTGCTAAGTAGTCATCAGGGTCTGTTTTGAAACAATTTGTGATTATTCACACAAAAACAATAGTTGTATAGAAAAATTTGAAACAAACATTGTGCTTATTAGTACTGTAATGCTATTTGGTTAAAGTCTGAAAGTAGTTGCTACAGAATATCAGTGGTATTGGCCTAAAATACAAGTATAATAGGAAAATTGGAGGAAGAAATGACAGCATTCCCCGTTGAACTGAAATTTAATGAGGATGGTGGAAAGATGTAACTGTGCGTTCTACCTGACTCAACTTTTAATTTAACTGGAATCTATAATATGTGCTCTAAAAGTTATTGGTACTTAGTAAAAATAAGTTACAATTCTTGCTTCCTCCCATTTACTTGGGGTTAAAAAAAGTAATCAAGCCAAAATTGGAAAAATAAAAACTTTACTATCTGGTCCATACTTTTGTATTCACATAGCCAGGAATTTTTAAGATGAGGGATTCAATTTATTTAAAAGTTAGTTATGGTCGATTTAATAACACCCAAAGATAAAAATTCATAGGATTTATTTCATTGATTGTGGGCCCTCTTGGAAGTGTAATATGTAGTACTCTTATTTGGCATTCAGATACCTTGGTTTTCTGGTCTATGGATATTTTCAACTTTTGACATTTATTGATAAAGAAATTGAAAGTGTGTGTGGAAGATGAGAAAATATCTCATGATTATAAGTAATTGAGTTCTCTTTCAAGTTTGATTTTGTCCCAAATGCTTAATTTATGTGTGCATGTATGCATTTCTTCACTATCTTACTAATTTACTTATTTACTGACTTGTTTTTGGTGACTAGGCTTAGTTCTCAATTAACACAAGCTCCCCTTTTCACCTGGGAACTGTTTAAAGTAGGCTTCATGAAATACTGTAGTCAATGCTCAGCATGAGTAGAATAATTTTCCACCTGGAAGTGTGCAGAAAAACATTCTAAAATCGTGTATAGTTTTAAATGATAAAAATCCAACACATTTCTGGAGGAATGGATCTGTCTGTGATGAGAGAATGCTTGGAGAGCTCTGTCTTTTAAGTTAAAAGTTTCATAGAAACATGCTCTTTCTTGCCTTGTGTTTCTCTGCCCCTCCTTCAAAGCTCCCGGTGTCACGTAGTAGGTAAGAGCTTGAACTGACATCAGGTAGACATGGCTTCAGGTTCTGCCTCTTTCCCCCACTAGTCATGGGACTCTGAGCAAACACTCTCTCTGGTGAAAATGTAGGTTGATAATAGAGGGGTGATGATAATAGCTCCAATTTTCCAGGGTTGCTGTGGGGACTACAAGAGCTAATGTTGGTAAAGCATTTAGCACAAACAATGCATGTAGTAAAAGCATAATCACAATTCCTTCCGTGATCAGGACCAAGGCTCCTACTTGTCTCAGCTTCATTTACCCAGCCTTTATCTGTATCCCAGAAAGAATCAATTCCACATCTCTCAGTTTGCATAATGTAGGCCGAGAAAAATCTATCCTCCACACATTTTTCTTTCATTTTCCCCCTCAATATCACATCCTTTATCTGAGCCCTAATTTTTCCTTGCCCAGTTGATAATGTTAAATAACTCAGGTGATGACGATGAGGAGGAGGAGGTGAAGGAGGATAAGAGCAACTCACAGTTTTTTAACACTTATGATGTGCCAGGAACTGTATTAAGCATTTTGCCTGCATAATATTATTTAATCGTCAAAAAATCTTGATATAAAAAGTATTAATATTGGCTGGGCACCGTGGCTCACGCTTGTAATCCCAGCACTTTGTGAGGCTGAGGTGGGCAGATGATGAGGTCAAGAGATCGGGACCATCCTGGCTACCATGGTGAAACCTCGTCTCTACTAAAAATACAAAAATTAGCTGGGTGTGGTGGTGCACGCCTGTAGTCCCAGCTACTCGGGAGGCTGAGGGAGGAGAATTGCTTGAACCTGGGAGGTGGAGGTTGCTGTGAGCCAAGATCATGCCACTTCACTCCAGCCTGGTGACAGAGCAAGACTCTGTCTCAAAAAAAGTATTAATATCTTTATGATAAATGAATCATATATTTAGAGGGGTTAATAAGCAATTTTGTTTTACTTTTATGAAAAAAACTTCAGGCTCTGCAATATTGGTTACTACGTAACACAGACATTGGAAATGAGATTGGTATTTACATTTTTCTAAGACCAATTCCAGAAATCCACTTCTGAATAAAAGTAATAACAATAATATCAGCAATTAACTGTATTCAGTGCTTATGTCATGCTCTGTATTAAAAACTTCAAGTGTTATTTCTTAATTCTATGACATTAGGTAGGGGTTTAAAATTATCTCCATTTTACACAGGAGGAAACTGCAGGTAAGCACCTTGTCAAAGGTTATGGAGGTATTTGACCCTGGGTAATCTGATTTCACTCATCACCACTCTACTGCCCTGTCCCCAGTGTGTGTCATGATATGGATATATAATGGATTGTGTTGTCTATCTTCTTCCTAGCACTAAGCAAAATTTCAACAACTGTCAGAAATTTTTTTTTCATTTCTTCTTTCTGAGGTTTTGCAATTCCTGTTTTCAATGATCAGTATAATCAGTATACTTTCACACTCTTTGCCAATCACAACTCTTTCATTCTTCCCTATGTAACTTGGTACAATTTGAGTCCTGTTGACTTCAGTCAGTCTTTATGGACTGACAAGAAAAGGAATGATATGGCCTGTAACTCTCATTACCAATTGTCCTGTGGCCAAATCCATACACTGAAGTCTGCATGTTTTTAATTTTCACTTTTGTGCAAGGTCAGGTGCATATTTGCTTCTTTGTCTGCATTACTCCTTTTGTAAATTCTGAGTTCAACAAAGGGTAGGAAACAAGTTTCTTCTTGGTTCCTCTGTGAAGTGTGGTGCATGCACTCATAGAGCTCAGTAAATAGATTTTCATGATTTTATATACCTAAAAAGAGCATAAATATTAATGAAAACTGCTTTAACAATTTAAACCTGCATAGGCCATCTGCGTTTTGTCTGTGTACAACTCTGCATACTAAGTGTTAATTTTTAGATTCTATCTTACTCTGGAGGCATAGTAGAAATTATTAGTTTGAGAATCGCAACCCTGATAATTAGCTCAGAGATTCTGAATCAGGATGTATGCTGCAAAAAAAAAAAAGTGATTTTTTGGAGCATTTGGCCCTAAGGGGTTGGATAACCAGCTGTCTCAGATTTTATACCTGCCAACATCTGGTTCGGTCAATAGGTACTAGGAAAGGTAACAGAGCAGAAGGGCGTTCTCCTAACTTTATCTTGACCTCTGGAGAGTAGGACAAGGCCTTGAATCTCTTCTGGGAAGTGTTGGAAAAATATAGAATGATTTATATTGTATATTTGCAAAATGATTTAAAAGCATTTTTTAAAGCTCTTGCTCTCAACTTTATTTGAAGTGAATTTATATGTTATCCCTATTTTATAAAGTTTAGTAAGGTGAAAAAATGTCATTTATTTGCTTTGGTATCCAAATGAGTTAACAGCAGACTAGAACAAATACTCATATGCTTTGGAGGGCCATTCTGTTTTTTTCAGTTTCTATGTCATCTTATTTCAAAGGCAAATAAAACCAAAAGGGGAGGATAATGAAGAAGAAAAATAGTTGAGTGACTAAAGAGAAAAAGGTTAAAAAACAGAGAGGATTATTTATATACTTTTCATCTTTTTGAATCTCAAATGTGCATTGGTTCTGTAGCGGTTTAAAATTTTATTCACAGTCTGCTTAGATGTTTAAAGAAAACATTACTTCTTTATTCTATAACTGGTATAATTTTGCTCACTAAAATTTCCCCATCCTGTGCTAAATGTGCTATGTAATAGAGGCTTTAAAAATCCACCTAACCTGTAACTTTAAATTTATGGGTTTGGGGTACTTCTGACTCCTCCAGTTTAATTGGCCTCTTGAGCAGTCCACAGACTAATCTCTTTCTCCCAAAATAGCACCTGGGCTCAGGAGAAATATTGATAATCTCAGGGCACTGGTGTGGGAGAGGGGTACCCTGGATTTTGTGCTGGTCTTGGCTGCTGAGTAACTATGTTGATCTCAGGTGAGTATTGGCTGGCCTCTGCTGAGGCATGGCTGGTTGATAATGTATGGGGTGTCCTGGTCTCCCACTGTTGTAGTTCAGAACTGGTATACCTCGTGGTCTATTTTCATGGCCTGGGTTTTGTACTTCTCAAGAGACTTCCCTCACTTTCTAATGAGTTCCATCCTAGCTTCCCCTAGTTCTGGAGAATGTATAGGGAGAGGCTGGGCCTCCTATTTTCCATTTGCCCTTCCTATGCTATGGGCATGTCCTCCAGCTGGACATTCAGTTACCTTCTATTCCTGCCCCACGGCACAAAGAAGCTGCTAAGTCCCTTCTGCACCACATAGAAGAGGACAGCTTCCAAGTATTAGCTCAGGTTCTTTGTCTGCCCTTCACCAGTATTCTGCTTTGGTAACTCCCAAGTCAATTGTGGTGGTGGAATTGCTGCAAAGCCATCTCCTCCTAGAGTTCCAAATGAGAAGTGGGGCCAAGTCTTTTTGTTTTTGGTATTCTCCTCAAGATATCGAAGACAGCTTCTTTCTCCAGTGCCTTGGGCACTGACGTCAAGACATGAATTTCATTTGGTTCTTCTATCTACTTCTTCACACAATTTAACACCCAAAGCAGCCAGTCTTTCCTCATTCTCTTCTCTGCAAGAAATTTCTTCCGTTTCATAGCCTCCTTTCGTTTACTTCAGCCTCATAGTATCAGACAAAGAAAAACTTAAAATCATAATGTATTAGAAAATTATAAAAAAACTGAAATCATGATATGTTACAAAAATGTACACCACTGGCCCCAGAAAGAGCAGCAATAGAGGTTGAAAGGTATTTAACAACTGAGCACTTGATTACCATGACTTGAAAATGTCTTTCCAATTTTTAGTATACGTGCTGCCAAAGCGAGCACCATGACTTGAAAATAAAGGAAGAGAATGAAGTCTGATTTCACTGGTTTACTTACTTGCTATTTGTGTTGTGTTCCAGCATAAAAATTTCATTGAGGGATCAATGCATTGTTGGAAACATTTGTGCTCAGTGTGTCTATAGAAATACTACCATCTTGTAGTTGGACCTGTGGATTCTAACCTTGACTCTATCACTTTAAGTAGCTTACTTAACCTAACATAAACTTATTTCTTCATCTCTAAAATGGAATACTAATTGCTCTTTGTATATTGTATGGTTTCTGTGAAAATTAAAATTAAAATATGAACAATATATATGAAAATGCTCTGGAAGAAAACAACTCTAGTGGGGATAAAGTACTCACTTATTATGAGCACTTGGACAACTTGGGGGTAGAACTAAAAGTTTTTGACACCATTGCCAAGATTCTCATTCTTCCTATCCTCATGCATTTATGCCTGACTGTGTCCCAGGTTGTTCCTTCATGATTCTTCATTTATTTGCATCTATAACTAATTTGCATTTCTAAATAGAAAGATAGTCATTTGTTTACAATTTGTTGTCTAAAAAAATTTAATCCTGTATATTACTTGATGGATATAGCAGGACATGTAGGGTTCTAGAACATACTACCTGCTCATTATAAAACTTGTCAGCATCATAAATGAGTCACTGGGGAATAAGCTGTAAAATTTTTGATGGGTTCTAGTGTGTGCCTCATAATGGAATATATATTTATAAAATAGGTTTACATGTTTAATAATACCATAACTATATTTATATATGTATATATAATTCATACATATGCACAAAATACATACAGCAAACATATACATATGTATATGTAATTTTAAAGAGTTGGTACAATATGAAAATTCAAGCTCATGAGTGCTCTAAGTTGTGGGCCTATTTTCCTAAGTAAGTGAAATAGATAAGCTATACATAAATTACCTTTTGGCAGAAATTTTTATTTCCTGTGTCATTGAGGGGTCTTCATACTCATTCTTTAAGTCAGTTCTGATTTGAAGGTTTGCCAAAATAAATCCTTACTAGTCACAAGAAACTTTATACTTAGCTGACCTCTGTAATACTAGCTTTTGGAGGCTCCTAATTTCCAAACCAAAAAATTTTGCATAATATTTGCAGATAGAATCAGTTTGTGTAATGAGAAGGGGAAATCGAAGAGAAAGACAGTTCCAGTTAGATTGGTATAATGATAAGATGCATGAACTTTTTTTCTTTCTTAATGTTAATATCTGTTTCCACAAATCACTGAAGAATATACCTTGGTTGAAAGCAATGTTATAGGATAAATATTTCATTTAAATATCTGCTATAACGTAAAATCTACAGTATGCTTCTGAGTAGGCTTATTTTCAACGAATGAAAATAGTCTTAAAAATGAAGATTCTTTCAGATATATACATTCTTTCTGAAATGAAGACATTAATCTGGACATTAATTTTACAAGTACATCCAGTAAAATAAACTATAATTTCTCTTATTTTGTTGTTATATTTCTCTAAAAAGAAAGAATATATTACTCCAAGACAACAATATTATAAAAAGTAAGAGAAAAAATAAAATGCAGTCAAGATACATTTTGCAAATATTAAGGAAATTATACATATACTCTGTCATAAAAAAGAGGTCACAGACATGAGTTTCAGACTCAGAATTCCTGACATAGATCCTTTTGAATTTATAGCAATTTGGCATTATATTATAATGAAGGAGATTTGGTTTCAAAGGACTTGAAAATCTCTTTTACACTAGTCTTCCAAATGTGAGTTTTTTGGACAGGAAAAGAACTTTACTTAATTTTGAAAAGTCATGGAAAACACAAAGACAACATAATATCCAAAATGAATTATCAGCCTTCAAACTTAAAGTTTCTCTTTGAAATTGAATCCAAAAGCAAGTTACATATTGGTTGCATAATTTTTATCTAGGGGACTTCTTTTAGATTTTTTGTATCCCTGAACAAGCATAATTCCAAGATTTATTGAGATTAATAGTAAAGGTAAATATTTACTGAGTGTCTGCAACGGGAGAGATGTTGAAATCTAGTATGTCTTAATATTTAGTTAAAGGGATTTCTTTTTCATCAGGGTAAATAAGGCCTATTTCCTATTACTGAGAAATATAGCAGCCTCATGGGTTGAATTGGGAAAAATGCCAGTTATGCACATATGTTCAGCTACCTTTAGGGCATCTTACACATTTCACAATTCTTCTTGATTTCTTTTGGCCAGTTTCTTGTCTTTTTTTTTGGATTACATAACTTCTTCTTTGGTATTTTCTAACCAAAAAGATATGTATTTCTTAGGCCTGTTCTTCTCAAATATTGGCCTAATTTTAAAGTTATGTGAAGTATTCATAGAACAAACATATTCAGCTTTATACAAGACAGTTTCTTTGGCAAAGATTCTTTCTTTCCCTTTTTCTCTCTCCCTCTCTCCTTATTTGGACCTGTTGCTCCTCCCATTTGGAATCCTCCCTACATCACCCCCTACTTCACGGCACCCCATGTTGAAGGTAGTATAATCTATATTTTATTATTTAAGTACTTGTTCTGCAATTCAAAATTTGTCAACCTTTGAGACTTTTTAAAATAATAAATGGGAAATCAATATTAAAAGCATATTGTCTACTTATAAAAAGTAAAATACATTAAAAAGTAACTTTCAACATTCTTTTGAATACTTTCTGGAGCACCATTAAACCATGTCTAAATATTGTTCTACTCTATGGCATGGGTGGATATTGGTTTCATCAAATGCCTGAGACTTGTCAGCTCAGAAAGCAGTGAGGTCAAACTGATACACTGTGACTGCCTATAGTATAGTTATGCAAAAGTCAAAGTCTTTTACCTTGATTGCTTCTGAAAGAATTATTCAGAAAAAATACATTTAGAATAAAAAAGTTTCCATGTGGCTTTTAAAAATAATTTCATGGCTCATAATAGTTGTATAAAGTGGCTTCTGCATTGGTGATTCAAGTCAACTTTCCCCTTACTTCCCCACATCCACCCAGCCCCATCATCTTTAACTTTAATAATATATATAATTACATTAGATAATTTTTTGCCTAAGAAAATCATGAAATCTTTCTTTCAGGTTTCATCAAACCTGTCCTAATGAATTGTTAATTTCCAAAGAAATTTGATTTCTTTTTTTTTTTTTTTTTGAGATGGAGTCTCGCACCATTGCCCGGGCTGGAGTGCAGTGGCGTGATCTCGGCTCACTCCAAACTCCGTCCCCTAGGTTCAAGCAATTCTCGTGCCTCAGCCTCCTGAGTAGCTGGGATTACAGGCACCCACCACCACGCCCAGCAAATTTTTTTGTATTTTTAGTAGAGATGGGGTTTCACTATGTTGGCCAGGTTGGTCTTGAACTCCTGACCTTGTGATCCGCCTGCCTTGGCCTCCCAAAGTGCTGGGATTACAGGCATAAGCCACTGTGCCTGACCCAAAGAAATTTGATTTTGAAAAACAGTAATAGAAGCTTCAACACAGAAGTACAGCACGATGTGGGACATTTTGGTACTAGCTACTCATGTGTTTTAACTGAAGTGTAGGGCATGGATGACAGAGAGAGAGAGATACAATGTCTAAAAACAACATCATCACAAAAAATTTAGTTTTGTGCTATATGAAAATGTTTGGATTCTCTTCTGAAAGTCATAGAGATCTACTGGAGGATTTTAAATGGGTGGGCGTGGGTCATGACATAATTGGATTTGCATTTTAGGAAGGTCCTTCTGGCTTCAGTTATGAAATATCAGGGAGATCTCTTAGGAAGCTGTGTTAGTAATCTAGGTTAAAGGCAGTCATGGCCTGATCCAAGGAGTGGTTGTGGGAAAGGAACGGAGAAAAGCTACAATACAGACGTCAAACCTTCAGAGCTTGGAGTTGGGATTGAAAGTAAGGATGCGTTTGCTATAGGTTTAATTGTGGATGCGTTCTCTAGTCTTAACATTTGAGTTTCTAACTTGCTTCAGAAGCCTCACCTCTATATTGTTAAAAAGTAACTTTCAACATTCTTTTCAAATCTATCTTGTGTTCCAATTCTGGTATTCTATATTGTATATTGATTTATATGAGACATCTACCTCAGTTAATTAGAGTACAGAGTTAGAGAAAAACAAAGGGGAGAATTTACTCTTTATTTTTATTATTATTTTTTGGAGATGGAGTCTCACTCTGTGCCCAGGCTGGAGTGCAGTGGCACGATCTCGGCTCATTGCAACCTCCACCTCTTGGGCTCAAGCAATTCTCTCACCTCAGCCTCCCGAGTAGCTGGGATTACAGGCGCATGCTACCACACCTGGCTAAGTTTTGTATTTTAGTAGTTACAGGGTTCCATCATGTTGGCCAGGCTGGTCTCGAACTCCTGACATCAGGTGATCTGCCTGCCTCGGCCTCCCAAAGTGCTGAGATTACAGGCGTGAGCCACCATGTCTGGCTGCGAATTTACTCTTTATAAGAACAAGTTAGTTTTATACAGACTTGTATAAGAATTAGAGTGGTTGCAATACTCTATGGTTACAACCACTCTAATTGTTAGAGGGTATGTCACCAAAAACTAACATTCTCTGGGCCATAGATTGGGCTGGGCAACAGATGTGCTAAGGGCCCAGTATAAACATATCACCAACATGAAAATAAATGCACTAAACCAAACTATTTCCTAATACTGGGGACTGACAAGGAGTCAGTAGTGTTAACATTCATTGCCTCAAATTGAACTTTGATGTACTCTTTGTATTTGCATACGTACACTAGAAATCTACTGTCAGAATTCCACCCCACAACAGATTTCTATGCAAATTAAGTTCAATTAGAAAAGAGCAGATGGTCAAAGTATTTTGTACTCTCTAGACTTTGGATAATTTCTTGTTTGGTAGTCCAGAACTGTCTAGGGGGATGTGGGGAAGTCAGAAACCCTGTGGGATCTGGGGACTACCACCGGACTTCACTGTGGAGAAAACTGTTAGCCCTGCTTAGTATTAAAAAGGGCCTACAGAAGCACTTTCCTATGATGCGTTGGAATTGATATAGTTTCCTGACTGAGCAGACAATGTCTTTAGGAAAGGACCGTAGCTTACTCAGTTAGGCTTCCCTTGCAGCCTTCCTCTATGTCAGAAGCATTGTAGCAGCTTTCTCCTAGGGAATGAAAAAATTCAGATCTTGTTTTCCTAATGGCTAGAAGCAATTGGTGAGAGTACAGGGGGCAAAAATGGCATCAACATTGGTTGTCCAAGATAACAGTGGTGGCCTTGGGGCTGTTTTTGGATGTGAAGCATTGATCAAGTTTGCGTTGGGGGTTAGAATTAATGAAGGAGAAAGTGGCTCTCCTAGAAGAAGCTGCAGAATAACTTTGGAGGAGCCTGTGTTCAAGACAGTTTATCTATAGTGTTGAAAACAGAAACTAGAATGGCAAGGCAATGAGAGGGCATGGCGGGTGACTGGAGTATCTTCAACTAGGAGATTAATGTCTTGTCTTCCTTGAGCAATTGCAGGCAATTGAGCATCAACAGAGACCATGAGAGCAGGAAAAGGAGATAACCATGTGAATTATTTTATTAGCTCTAATTGCTCCAAGATTTTCTTTTATTACTCTAATTTACCCTTAAATCTAAATGTAAACATTGAGGCAGTGCTCATTGTTATGGTTTTGTTAGATTTATGAAATGTCCATGAAGTGCTTATATCTATGCTGGCTTGAATAGTAGGTAGAAGCAGTTTTTAAGCAAATCACTGGAAATTGCAGGAAAATATTGCAATATGTCAAATGATTTAAGTTGTCAGTAAGGATCAGGGATTAGTTCAGTTACTGACTTTCATGCTTCGTTTTCTTTTTTTGCCAAATAATACCAGAAAACAGAGGTTAGCTATTACTCTTACTTTAATATTTCGCTTCTTGATTGAAATTGACATTTTAATGTGGACCACAAAGTGTATAAAATACAGCCATAGTCTTCTTTCTTAAAACAAAAAGAGATTATATAAAATAAAATTTAGACCATGCACTTGTCTCCATTTTTTTTACATTCTGATGCTGGCAGTAAAGAGTCTGTATGTATTTTTTATAGAAGATAGTTTTAGTAATGCCTATTTAGACTGCTGGAATACATTCATTTAAAAATTATTTTTGAAAGGTCTACTGCATGCCAGGCACTGTCTTGGTGGTCCGAGCACATTATTGAATAAAAACCACAAGGATCTCTTTTCTAGAATTTACATTTTTAGTAGGGGGAGGAAGACAATGAATAGTCAAGTAATAAATAAGTAACTTATAGTATCTTAGAAGGTGATGAGTGTTATGGATTTAAAAAATGTATAGGAGGGTCAGGGGAAAGAAGTGATAACTTTGAGTTCAGTTTTGGCTTCACTGAGATGGTATTTGAACAAAATCTTGAGGAAGTTAGGAATATAGCTATGAAGATATCTGGGGTAAGAATGTTCCAGAAACGGGGCAGCCCATGCAAATTTGTATTAGAGGAACAGCAGGGAGCCAAAGGGTCTCACTATGTCCAGCATGCTTTGTTAGGCTTCTGACAGTGTGGGAAGTTATGGCTGTTTCTGTCATTCAATAAATTCATAGAAAATGCCTGCTTATCCCCAAACACTCTGCTAGGCTTTTGAGACAACATGTTTACTGACCTCTCAGAGCTTACAGTCTCTCAGGGAAAGTATGCATTAAACACATAAAACCAAAATTATAACTGTGTAAAGTTTTCCAAAGAGTTAGGATGCCACAGAGAAATATGACAGGAAAATTTAACCTGACCTGGTAATCAGCATTGATTTTCTGACTTTCTGGTGAGAGGTAAAGAATGAAGAGTGAGTTGGGCTAAGAAGTGAGTGTCACTTTCCAGGTAGAAGAACTAACATGTCCGGGAGGGATTGAAGTAGTAAAGAGGCGAGGAAGTTTATAACACTAGAAAAAGGCCAGTGTTGCTTGGGCACAGAGAAGAGGAAAAGTGGCTTGAGTTGAGGCTGGGGCCAGAAAAATGCAAGTCCTTAGGCCACCTTGAAGAGTTTGGATAATGTCCACAAGGCCAAAAGAAGCCATTGAATGAGTTGTGCAGAGGCTTTAGCAAAACAGAAAGAGCAGCTAACTGGGAATCAGTGGACCTGGATTCTAGTGCTGGCTGTGATACTAATGTGCTTCGTTACTTGGGTAAGTGAATAAAACTTCTCAGCCTGACTTTTTTTAAAAATTCACATTATATATATATATATATATTTTTTTTTTCATATTTATTTTTATATTTGTATCCATTAGATTGCTTTGTCTCTTAAGCCCTGTAATAGGTTGAATTGTGTTGTCCAGAAAGATGTGTTGAAGTCCTAACCCCTAATAACTTAGAATGGGATCTTATTTGGAAATAAGGTCAGTACAGATATAACTGGTTAAAATTAGGTCATACAGAGTAGGGTGGGCCCTTAATCCAATATGAATGATTTCCTTATAAGGAGGGACAGATTTGAAGGCACACAGAAGAAAGTCATCCATGTGAAGACAGGCAGAGATTGGAGTGATACAGTTACAGGCCAAGGAATGCCAAAGATTGGCAGCTTAACTAATTACATCTGCAAAGACCCTGTTTCCAAATAAGGTCACATTCACAGGTACCAAGGACGAGGACTTGAACATATTTTTTTGGAGGAAGACAATTCAATCTGCTATACCACCTATTGCGCCTATTCTCTAAACAATTGTCTATACTCATTGTTTTGTCTTCCTTACCATCCCATTTATTCCTGGATAAACTGGTTTTCAGTTCCACCATTGTAAAAATTGCTATGACAAAAGCTACCAATCATCCATACTCTAATTGCCACATCCTTCAGATAATTTTCAATCCTCATCATACTTAACTTCTAAGGCATATTTGGATCTGTTGACCATTTCTTTCTTCTTAGAGCTTCTTCTTCCCTTAGTTTCTAACCCAAATTCATCATTTTCTCATGCTTCTCTATTTTTAAAATTTTCTTTGTGCTATTTTCTTTCTCTCCCAGCTCTTTAAGCACCAGGTTTTCCAAGGGTCCTGCATGCTTTTTCTGGTTCATTCATCCATCCCTGTGTCCTCATTCACTGCATGTAAGTTGATGACTCTCAAGTTTGCTTCTTCAGCCAAGTCCAACCTGAGCTCCAAATTATATCAAAGTGTCTACTGGACACCTCTGGTCAACATAACTAAAACAAAACTTATTGTCTTTATCTCCTAACCTATTATGCTTACATTACTCTTTATCTTATGAATAGCATCACTTTTCACCCATTTATCAGAATAGGATACGTGTAAGTTTAGTTCAATCTCTTTGTCCCTGTCATTTCTCACAATCATTTAATCATCAACCCTCTCATCCCTTTCCATCTCCACTACAGTGGCTTTGGTTCTTAGAACATAGCTGCTCTCCCCCTTCCCAGCTTTGTACCTTCTTAATCTACTCCCCACTTTACCGTGAAGGGATTTTTCTTAACAAGAACCCCATGATGTATATCTTCTGTCTAACTTTAACCCCTCAAATTGTTTAAACTTTATTCCTTAAGCAAGCAGTAAAATGCAGTTCAAATGGTTAGGGTGTCCTTGGTCAGCCATCAGAATATAGCCTAGCCTGTTTTTCACCTGCCAGCCTCTAGATGATGCTTTCCTTATTTCCAGATGGCTGCAGTTTCCCAAATGCACCAGGTGGCTTTCACAGCACTGTCTTTGTTTATCCTCAAGCTCCTTCTCCAATCTAAACATCTTTCACTTTCCTTCAAATCTAACCTCTAGCATTATACTTTCTATGAGTTTTCTCTGATTGTCCCAATTCCCCCCCACCCCCCACTCTCCTTTGGAATGTTCTGTCATACCATCTATGATGCTCTATGAATTTAGTGTTTATACATCTGTTTCTTCTTCTACACTTCAAACACCTTGAGGAACAAGACTATCATTTCTTCTTTTTATTTCCAGGACCTAGAATGGTGCCTTCCTATAATTAGTGCTTAATGAATATTCTTTGAAAGCATAGCATATACAATCCCAGGTACTGCATTTTTAAAAGTAGCACAGTGATTTTAGGATTTTGATTTCTGTATATACCAGATTATTTCTCTGCTTTATCCAAAAAAGGGCAATTTTACAGAACATTCAGGAAAGAGAAAAGTATCCAGCTGACTATGAAAACATTTCTTAGAGCAATAGACAATGAAATACCATACACTGAAGTTTTGTCGTGGTCTGCATTTCAATATGCTTTGTAGTTAATCACTTTTGCTTTAAAAATTCTACATTGATTAGAAGGTCATCACACAACTCTGTCAGTAGACACCTTAGGAAGGAATATATTTCTTTAAGACAACCATGGCTGGTGAATGAGTATCTATTGTCTCTAATGGAAAGGACATAGCAACTTCGCCTTGTTATCATAGTGGAGGACATAGAAATAGCAACTTTAAGCAGTAAGCAGTAAGACCTGCTTGAAGAGAGCATGTCAATAGAGGTTTCCTCTGTAGCAAGGAAGCTGCTCCCAGCTTGTTCTGAATGCTTAGTGCTTTATTATGTTGTTTCTGGATGGCTTTTCTCTTTTCTTTTCTCACTCCTTGGGCCCCTCCTCTAGGGCTCAGTAACACGGTAAAGATGCTTTTTGACAGACAAGAGATAATCTTACACTTGACTTCCAATATCAAGGCATTTTAACTGGCACACTTTATATTGAATAATTCATGGTATTCAAGCTTTACTTCACTCCACAAAGAAAGTGCTTTCTCTTAGCAGCCACAGTAGATATGAGCAGCTAATTCATTATTTAAAGAGATTAAGTATTAGCAACTGGTACTGGCTCTTCAGAGCTCCCTTTATTCCCTTTGCTCCTGTTATCCCCAGCCTCTCAGCTGCCTAGAACAGTTTTTAGATTGATTTTACCATATTTAAGTCTTTTTTAAAAACAGATCTACCCAAAAACCTCACTATTTTCAGAGCTTCTTTGTCCTATTTTAAAAACGTAAAGCAATGTCTGTTAGAACGGAATCTCTGCAGGCTCACGGGAATACATACAATTGCAACACGTTTTGCTTTCAGTTAAGAAAATGTGGCAGGTGGGAGGAATGTAAGAAATCCGAGTTTGCTCAAATTTACAGACCACTTGCTGCAATAGGCCAAGGAAAGCTTGGGCGTTTTAAACAGGTGGTAAAAGTGGATGAAGCCTCAACTTTCAAGTATTGTTACTCTGAAAGGAAAAGTCCCCATGGAGAACTGTCCTCTATATTTTCAGAGAAAAAGAGAGAAGAAAGTGTTTGAAATGTGTTTCTCTTTTGTCGACATATCCTCAGGTTGGATCTCATTCAACAAAAATTTTCAGTCTTTCATTTCCAGTTAAGAAGAGAGAGGAAAGTTTGCCAAAAGGTTATGAGGTTTCACTTCCTGTAGACCTTGCCAGAGGGTAACATAACAACGTAATCAGGTTTGGAATGGTGAAATCGTGATATATATGTATGAAACTTCTTGAAAAAAGTGACTGAGTCTAAGGAAATATATTTCTAGGATATGAGATAAAAGAAAACGTTGGACATCATGTTGCTTAAAGCAGTAATAAATATTTTTCTTAATTTACATTTTAGATTAGGTTTAGTCTTTTCATTCTTTTTTTTTTTTAAGGGTTATCCTATTCTAAGAGGTTTCTCATGATTTCAACTTTCATTTTAGATTTGGGGGTACATGTACAGGTTTATTACCTGAGTATATTGTGTGATGCTGACATCTGAGGTATGAATGATCCTGTCACCCAGGTAGTGAGCATAGTACCCAATGAGTAGTTTTCCAACAAACATTCCTTTCAGTCCTCCCACCCCCTTAGTGGTCCCCACTATTGTTGCCATATTTATGTCTATGTGTACCCAAAGTTTAGCTCCTACTTATAAGTGAGAGCATGTGGCCTTTGATTTTTTTTCCGTCCCTACATTAATTCAATTAGGATAATGTCTTCTAGCTTCATCCATGTTGCTGCAAAGGACATGATTTGGTTTTTTAATGGCTGCATAATATTCGATGGTGTATATGTTCCACATTTTCTTTTTCCAATTTGCCACTGATGAGCAGGTAGCTTGATTCCATGTCTTTGCTATTGTGAATAGTGCTGCGATGAACATATGAGTGCCTTTTTGGCAGAATGATTTATTTTCCTTTGGATATACACCCAGTAACGGGATTACTAGGTAGAATGGTAATTCTGTTTTAAGTTCTTTGAGAAATCTCCAAACTGCTTTCCACAGGGGCTGAACTAATTTACACTCCCAGCAATGTAAGTAGTCTCCTTTCTTTACATCCTTGCCAGCATCTGTTGTTGTATGATTTTTAATAATAGCCATTATGATTGGTGTAGACAGTATCTCAGTGTGGTTCTGATTTGTGTTTCTCTGATAATTAGTGATGTGGAGCATTTTTTATAGTGTCTGTTCATGTCTTTTGCCCACTTTTTAATGGAGTTATTTGTTTCTTTGCTTGTTGAATAGTTTCATTTCTTTGTAGATTCTGGATATTAGATCTTTGTCAGATGCATAGTTTGTAAATATTTTCTGCCATTCTGTAGGTTGTCTGTTTACGCTGCAGATGGTTTCTTTTGCCATGCAGAAGCTCCTTAGTTTAACTAGGTCCCACTAGTCAATTTTTGTATTTGTTACCATTGCTTTTGAGGACTTAATCATAAATTGTTTCCCTATGCCAATGTCCAGAACTGTATATCCTAGGTCCTCTTCTAGGATTCTTATAGTTGGAGATCTTATGTTTAAATATTTAATCCATCTTGAGTTAATTTTTATTTATTGTGAAAGATAGAAGACCATTTTCATTCTTTTGAAGATGGCTAACCTGCTATTCTGGCACAATTTATTGAATAGGGAGTCCTTTCCCAATTGCTTATTTTTATTGATGTTGTCGGAGATCAAATGGCTGTAGGTGTGTGGCCTTATTTCTGGGTTCTCTAACCTGTTCCATTGGTCTATGTATTTGTTTTTGTACCAGCACCATGCTGTTTTTGTTATTGTAGCCTTATAGGATAGTTTGAAATTGAGTAATGTGATGCCTCTGGCTTTGGTCTTTTTGGTTAGGCTTCAGCTATTTGGGCCATTTTTTTTGTTCTATATAAATTTTAGAATGGGAAATCTGTGA